>NC_000003.12:53343333-53646363 GCF_000001405.40 Homo sapiens
ACGCAAAATAGTCTCACATTTTCCAAACACAGTTTCTTGCGTCTCCTTTAATTAGAATCAGTACCATATAAGCCTCCGTGAATTGTATTAAATCCAGCCACCCACTACACTAAATCTCCTACTTTCTACAATCAGTGCCTCTGTATGATAACAATAAAGCCAGTAAAGTACTTTTACCAAATATCATAGAAACTAAGGTTCTAATAACAGAGTTTCTAGAGATTTATATTGCTAATGAAGAGTAATGAAGGGAGTGAGGGTAAAGATCCTTTCCTATTAATTTATTTATTTTTTATGAGAGGGAGTCTCGCTCTGTCACCCAGGCTGGAGTGCAGTGGCACGACCTCGGCTCACTGCAAGCTCCGCCTCCTGGGTTCACGATATTCTCCTGCCTCAGCCTCTCAAGTAGCTGGGACTACAGGTGCCTGCCACCATGCCCAGCTAATTTTTTGTATTTTTAGTAGAGACAGGGTTTCACCGTGTTAGCCAGGATGGTCTTGATCTCCTGACCTCGTGATCCGCCCACCTCGGCCTCCCAAAGTGCTGGGATTACAGGCGTGAGCCACTGCACCCGGCCGATCCCTTCCTTTTTAAAAGCAGAAAGATGAATAGCAGGGAACAAAGAAAGTGTCTAAGAAAAAAGAGCTTGGTGTACAAATATCAAAGAATTACACTTAAAAGAAGAAAAAAATGAGTGCATTTAGACGAGATCTCAAAGCTTTGTATCAAAATTTAGAAGAGTATTTGACAAATTCTTTTAAATTGGCATCAATGGAGAAAGGCAATCCTTATGAAGCAACTCAATACAAAAAAAAAAGGGAAAAGACCAGATATCAGTAATAACTCCTGCTGACTCCCTAAGCTTTAGAAAACAAGGGAAGGAACCTGCCCTTGTAAGAGTTAAGACCTTAGAGGAATCCAGGAAAACAAGTACCCCATGACTATCATATACTGTCAGTTGTCTTTAGGCCCCAAAAGCTGCCTAACAAAAAAGTTGCAATTTGCAAACCAATCTTAAAGATAATGAATTTTTGAATAAGTCAAAAATAAAAAATACGCCATCATGAATAATCCAAGCTTTCTAAAGAACTCTCAAATAAGACACTGTACATAATCCAGAACTTCTGTGGGTTGGGAAAGAGGACAGAACCAGTCATAAAAGACAACCACTCATGTAGTAATGAAAGAACAGAGGGATCGACCTCTCAATAACATTATTTTACAGAGCCAGTCTATGTATTGTCTTTTCCCCAAATATATATCTTTCTTTTTCTTTCTAATATGGGGGTAGGAAGAGAGACGCAGGCATCCATTTTAGACTCAATCATTATTATTTTGAAATTGCTTTGCTAGGCTGGTAATATAAATTCTAGTTCAGTTTATTCTGAATCACAGAAAGGCTCAGAGAAAAGAAAGAACCTGGTTAAGATTTCACAGCTAGGGAAAGATGAAAACTTGAAGGGTACTAGCAGGACGGTTCCAAAGACAAATGTACAAGAGAATTGAACCGTTTCACATTGTTCACCACTAGACTGTTAAAAACAAATATACATATTTTAAAAACTTACCTTCGATATACGAATAAGGTCCCTTCTATATCAGTCTTCTCCTATGAAAGACAATGACTCAATTAGTTTTTTTTCCCCATAATCAGACCCCAAATAGTCCCCATGGAGAAGTAATGCTTCACGTTTAAGATCAACTTGTTTCATTTCATCTATTATAAAATTAACCACTTTTGAACAGGTAAAGTCTCCCTCTCATTCCACAAATTGTGGTTACCATTTCTAATGTATCCTTTCAGTGCATAAGCATATGCAATATTTAATCCAGCAACATATCTGTATCTGCAGTATTTTTCTTTTTTAATTAGTAAAGGAGAAAATCATAGAATAAACCTTCACTTTTTATAGCTAAAATATTTTAGCCAGATTTCTTAACTTTAAAGCTAAGGTCCTGTATACTGCAATTTCTTCTCTTTTAAGTTTATCCAAGTTAATTTTAAAAAAGGAAAGGAATGAAACTTTCTTATAGGATACTTTGTTTCATCACTAGGGAGTTTTCGTACATTTTGACAACTAGCAAATTTTGTGGTTAAGAATTACTACCAAACAAAATCAGCTTGTTATTTTTAGAACTTGAAGAATCTTGAATACTGAAAGTATACCCTGCCTCAGTGTAATTATTGGAGGCCTTTACCATAGTTCATTTTCTGTGACAAGAGTGTATTTAGGTTTTAAACACAGTTCAGTGTTTTTTAAAAAATAAATAAGCTTATTAGTCTGCAATTTACAGCCTACAATGGACCTAAATATTTTACTGTAATCAACGCATTATTAACATTTTAAATGTTAGTCATATATTGAATGTGTTGGGATTAAAAAATTTAGAAAATTGATCATCTCGATTTCTTCCAGAAGTACTACCCTAGCTTAAATATCATTATTTTCCTTCCTAAGGATTCAGAGGCTTTTTCTTACCTTTAAAATGTTAGGTTATTACTATAAGAAACTGGTAATCAACTGTCTTACAGTAAAAGAAAATTTGCCCACCAAAAAACATCATGCAAAGTTACAACTCACTGTAAAATAATAAAGAGGGAAAAGATTTTTGTCATGCTCTATGTGCCAGGATCCAAATAAACAGTAGCAGCTTATTTTTCAATTCAGGTTATTATAGCTTGTATTTCATATTTAAAACAGAACTCCACAATGTAAAATTTTAAAATATTGAAAGCCTTTGTGAAAAACTAGGAAAACTCTAGCCCCAAGTCTTCACCATTTGTCGGCAATCCATATTTCAAAATTTATATATAGGCCAAGAAAAGAAAAAAGATTCATAAAATTTCAAACTAAGGCAATGTCTAAAATAGCTACATTTAAAAAACAATCTACAATTTTATTCCTTGTGGCTTCCCATATCTCCTTCTCTTCCAGGAGGCAAAGATAAACAACGTGATTATAAAAACTCTTCATCTGAATTAACTGTTCATAAATGCCAAATGATTTTCGATAAATTACTGATAAATATAATCTATGCAACTGTATTATAGGGTAAACGACATACTACGGTCATCTTCCAGAGTTCTGTCAGTTTAAGGATTTCGTATCTTATTGAAATGTGAACTCCAGTCATTGGTGAATTCAATCCAACAAGCATTTACGTATTACTTTCTAAGTGTAAAGCCTGTAGCTGAATGAGTTAATTAGGAAGGGTCAATTACAAGAAAGTGGGAAATTATGCTTTTTAAACAACTAACAAAGCTTCAAGCAGGGGCTAACAAGAATCAGTGAACACACTGAATGTGACTTTTCGGACCCTCCCCAGTGCACGAAAGCCAGAAAGTACTGAGTCCGAGGGGAGCATTCAGAGATGACATCACCAGCATCATAGATGGAACAAAACACATTTACAGGGTCTCTCTTGTTTGTACAAAGGTCTTCGGGGATCCAGTGAACACGGAAGCCCTTTTCCTAAGTGCCTTGGAATCTTTTCCGAAACTCTGTGTAGTTCGATTAAAGCCGGACCCACCCACCCCCTCCTTCCAAGAATCGAAACTAATTGGATTTTAAACTTTAAACCCAAATGACCTCTGCGACAGGGGCTCTCATTTACGTTTGCCAGGGGGAGAGGAGGAGTGTTTATTTTATAGATAATGTACATATAATTTATCTAATAATCCGCAAAGCCTCAAACACAAGCTTTCAGGCACCCTTTTGACCCCACCGGTCTTATAACTCCCAATGTATCTGCAAAGAAGGCAGGTCGCCCACGTCCCCAGACCCGACGCCAAGGGACTGATCCTGCTCCAATCCTCCCCTCCACTGGCTTTTCCTTGGGATGTCTCGAGCCACTTCTCTCACTCCTATCCCCCAATCCCAAGCGGACCCGACACCCCTCAGGCTCTGGCTAGGCTCTTGGCCAGACCCTGGCCTCGTCTCCACCGCCCTGGCCTCTTAGTGTGCCCCCCCACCCCACAGTAACCCGCGCGGCCCCTTTAAGAGACGGCAGCGGCCGGGTGGCCGTCCTCAGGGCCAGGCGGCACTCACCCACTGGTTGGCCTTGGGGCAGAAGGTGTACAGAGCGACCTGGCCCGTGAGGTCTGCGATGCTGGTGATATAGGGGTCGTGTTGCTTCAGGGCCGCTAGGCTCATCTCCTGCCCAGCTCGACTCAGCGCCTCCATCTTGAATCCCAGAGCCTAGCCCCTCTGGTGGGGGCGGAGTCGCGGACAGGAAAGTGCCATCGAGGCAAAATTCCCCCATCTGCGTCAGTCCCCTCAACTTCCGCCTCTACGCGGGCCTCGCGGCAGGGCGGTACGTCAGCCATTCTGGTCCGCCGCGCGCACGCTCCGGGCGCCGGGTTCCGGCGTTGTCAGGGTCCGCGGCCCTACGATGTGGGCGGTGTCCAAGGCTGCGTAGTGGAGCTTGCAGGCTGGAGCTCCGGCGCTTCCTTTCCCTGAGCTAAAACGACTGGGTCCTGGGATCTGGCCTCTAGCTCGCCTGCCGAGCTCTTTCCAGGCAAAGGTTGGAGACCGCCGAAGTGCCGGCCTCGCGGTGCGCTGTCTGGCAGGGCCCGGGGCCACAGAAGGAAAACATGTCTGTGGAATGTGGAAATGCGGGACTCTACCGGGCCCGTTTAGAGAGCACAGAAAAACATGGGGGAAAGGGAGAGGCGAGAAGCCCAGAAAATTACCCTAGGTCTCAGATATGGATGTGTCGACCTAAAAGGAAGAAGACTCTGGGGCAAAATAAATGCAAGCAGAGAGTTTATTTGGGCCAAGCTTGAGGATTGCACCCCAGGAGCATAGATTCAAGTTGCCTTGAATATATACACTGATTAGCAGAAGGTACAAGTGGATTTTTTTTCTTTTTTTTTGAGACGGAGTTTCACTCTTGTCGCCCAGGCTGAAGTGCAGTGGCGCGATCTCGACTCACTGCAACCTCCGCCTCCAAGGTTCAAGCGATTCTCCTGTCTCAGCGTCCCCAGTAGCTGGGATTACATGGGCGCGCCACCATGCCCTGATAATTTTTGTGTTTATAGTAGAGACGGGGTTTCGCCATGTTGGCCAGGCTAGTCTCGAACTCCTGACCTCAGGCGATCCACCCGCCTCTGCCTCCCAAAGTGCTGAGATTACAGGCTTGAGCCACCGCGCCCGGCCCTTTTCTTTTTTTCTTTTTGAAACGGAGTCTCGCTCTTTTGCCCAGGCAGGAGTGCCGTGGCACAATCTCAAGCTCACTGCAACCTCTGCCTCCAGGGTTCAAGCGATTCTCCT
The DNA here is from genome assembly GCF_000001405.40 of Homo sapiens. NCBI lineage: Eukaryota > Metazoa > Chordata > Mammalia > Primates > Hominidae > Homo > Homo sapiens. The sequence continues at coordinate 53,348,607 of NC_000003.12, forward strand.
GCCTCAGCCTCCCAATTAGGTGGGATTACAGGCGCCCGCCACCACACCTGGCTAATTTTTTCTTTTTCTTTTTCTTTTTTTTGAAATGGAGTTTCGCTCTGTCGCCCAGACTGGAGTGCCGTGGCGCGATCTCAGCTCACTGCAACTTCTGCCTCCTGGGTTCAAGCGATTCTCCTGCGTCAGCCTCCAGAGTAGCCGGGATTACGGGCGCCCGCCACCACGCCCAGCTAATTTTTGTATTTTTTTTAGTAGTGACGAGGTTTCACCACATTGGCCAGGCTGGTTTTGAACTCCTGACCTCAGGTGATCTGCCCTCCTTGGCCTCCCAAAGTGCTGGGATTACAGGCGTGAGCCACTGCGTCTGACCCACATAAATATTTTTGTCCAGCCCTGGGAAGAGTCCATGAAGGGTTTAATTTGTCTTGCTTCATTTAAAGCATTAAGCAGATCACTCATTTCATTGGTAAGTGTCTGTTGAGCATTTTAAAGCGTTTGAAAGAGTTAGGCACTAGCTAACAAGTAAAACAAATCATGGAGACTATAGGGAGTTCTATCCCCGCCAGACTTCTTAAAAAGCAACATTTCTTTCGTTAAAAAGGTCATGGAGGCTGGGCGTGGTGGCTCATGCCTGTAATCCCAGCACTTTGGGAGGCTAAGGTGGGAAGACCGCCTGAGGTCAGGAGTTTGAGACCAGCCTGGACAATATGGTGAAACCCCGTCTCTACTAAAAATACAAAAATTAGCCGGGCGTGGTGGCGCACGCCTATAGTCCCAGCTGCTTGGGAGGCTGAGACAGGAGAATCACTTGAACCCGGGAGGCGGAGGTTGCAGTGAGCCAAGGTGGTGCCATTGCACTCCAGCCTGGGCGACAGAGCAAGACTCAAAAAAAAAAAAAAAAAAAGGGTATGGTAGCTAGATGTGTGGGCTCACGCCTGTAATCCTAACACTCTGGAAGGCCGAGGAAGGTGGACCACTTGAGGTCAGGAGTTGGAGACCAGCCTGGCCAACATGGTGAAACCCCATCTATACTAAAAATACAAAAATTAGCTGGGCGTGGTGGCACATGCCTGTAATCTCAGCTACTCAAGAGGCTGAGGCATGAGAATAGCTTGAACCCAGGAGACGGAGGTTGCAGTGACACAAGATTGCACCACTACACTCCAGAGCTTGGGCAACAGAGGGAGAAATTCCATCCAAAAAAAAAAAGGGGGGGGCATGGTGGCATGTAACTGTAGTCCCAGCTATTTGGTAGGCTGAGGTGGGGATCACTTGAGGTCAGGAGTTCAAGACCAGCCTGAGCAACATAGCAAGACTACGTCTGGAAAGAAAAAAAAATTGACATCCCCAACAGAATTGAAAATTTTTGTAAGATAAAACCATATTTTCAAGAAAATAACACTAAATATTTGTATTGCCTATGATTTTATATCCCAGGACCACTGTTTTTTGTCATTGTGTTGATGAGAAGAGTCAAACTCTGTAAAATAGTTGAAGAAATTTATTCTGATCCAACTATGAGTGACCATAGCCCTTGACATAGCTCTCAGGAGATCCTGAGAACATGTGCCCAAGGTGATTGGGGCACAGCTTGGTTTTATACATTTTTGGGAGAGATGAGACATCAAATACATTTCAGGTGTATATTGGTTCTGTCCAGAAAGGTGAAACAACTTGAATTGTGTGCCAGCACACCTGGCTAATTAAAACTTTTTTTTTTTTTTTTTTTTTTTTTTTTTAGAAATGGGGTCTGGCTCTATTGCCCAGGCTGGTCTCAAACTCCTGGCCTCAACCAATCCTCTGGCCTGGGTCTCCCAAAGTGTCCCTGATAAAATGAGTTTTTTCCCCACTGTGTATCAGTCACAAACAAAGAATATCCCATTGAAAAAGGCAATCAGGTTTTATTCATTTGCCAGGGAATGGAGAAGGTGAGCTCTTCCTCTGAAAGCATCTTTTCTTGAAGAATAAAAGGCAAGGGGTTTATTGCCTTTATTCCTATGGGGCAGGAAAGGAATGTTAGTATGTGCAGGGTGGGACTCCAGACACGCAGGCCCAATTCATAAACATGCATCTTCATATATCATATGTACACAAAATGGCAGAGATTTTCTTTTAGGGAAGGGAAATTAGCATTATAATGATATGTTCATGATCTAAAGGCACCCAGGGTTTGCCAGTTCCCATTTGCGCTGGTTTTATGGTGTCTTATCTTCCTCTGGCATCTGGTCAGGGGTCAAGAAGCTCTGGCGCCATCTGGTTTCTTTAAGCAGCAGTGTCTATAGATAAAGGGACCAAAGAAAAACAATAAGAAAAAGGAACTTTCCCAGTTATTTTGTCAGGGCTGTCCTGGTTAACAAAAATGCTGAGATTACAGGCTTGAGCCACCGTGCCCAGCCCCCCTGTTTGTTAATGTAAAGAGAAATTTAGATTCTTTGCAGAATCATGTAAACATGTACAAATGTGGACAAAGACACAGATATCATTCATTCACTCTTAAGTCAGTATTTATTGAACTCCTAATTGTGAGCTGGTGGCCCCTTGGGAGCATCTCACTCTGTTTAAGACATTCCTGGCTCTGAGGGAAAAAAGAAAGTAGGACAGTGCAAGGAAACAGGGATGATGCTAGAGACATTTCTCTTTGAAATCCAGAGGACAGAGCCGCTAACTTAACTGGCTGGGAAAGTCTAGGAGGGCTTCCTGAAGGAGATGATGTTCAAATTGGTGTTCTAGGGATGACTGGGAGTTCAGGGGAAAAAAGTAAGGCCTCTGGTTCATTTCACAGCTCAGTGGTGAGGTAGAGAAGATGTCGTCACCCTCATTTGACAGATGATTTAATTGAGACCTGTGGGGAGAATTCACTGGCTCAAAATTCCACACTAGTCACAGAGGATCCAGTATTAGAATCTAGGGACTCCTATCTTCTACCCTGGGATCCTTTCCTACACGCCCCAGATGCCTTTCTTCCTTCCAGTGGCTGGAGGTAAGAGCCCTATTCCTCTCTACTTACCTTCAATCTGTTTTAAAAATCCGCACCCTAATTTTTAAAAATCTGCACTTTAATGTTTAAAAAACATACATTCATCTGGTACAAAATTCAAAAGGCACACCTGAAACTTAGTTTTTTTTCTTACATAGATTTCCTAAAATAATCGAAGACATTTCATTTTAATTTACTATTTTTGATTGAGCAGGGCTAGCCTATTAAAGAACACCAAGTTATTTTAGGGAATTTTCATATTTGGAATAGAAAATTACTCTGGGCCGGGTGCGGTGGCTCATGCCTATAATCCCAGAACTTTGGGAGGCTGAGGTGCGCGGATCACAAAGTCAGGAGATTGAGACCATCCTGGCTAACACAGTGAAACCCCGTCTCTACTAAAAATACAAAAAATTAGCCAGGCATGGTGGCGGGCGCTTGTAGTCCCAGCTACTCGGGAGGCTAAGGCAGGAGAATGGCGTGAACCCGGGAGGTGGAGCTTGCAGCAAGCTGAGATCGTGCCACTACACTCCAGCCTGGGCGACAGTGAGACTCTGTCTCAAAACAAACAAACAAACAAACAAAAAAAGAAAATCACTCCGAAATACATATTTGCCTGCCTCTAAACATGCTCTGATGCCCCATATAGCTCTTAGGACATATTAAAGATAATATGAATATTTTGGACTTGAAATTCATCTTCATTTATCGTGAGGCCTAATTTTGCCTTATATTTGTGAGTCAAACCTTAAGACCTTTCTTGTGTCTTTAGACAATAGACTCTGAGAGGGCAGAGATGGCATCTTAGTCTTATTAGGTCCCCAGTACCTAGCTAGCCCAGCTCCTAGCATAGAGTAGACTCTCAATAAATATTGGTGATTGAATGTCCTCTTGAAACCCAACTACTTCCAGGCCACACAAAACACTACTAGGAAGGAGGGGAGGAAGCTGAGTGACAGAGTTGGGAAGGAGGCTCTATTCTAGACACAATAACCTACAGTCACTTTGTAATCGCCCGACGTGTTCTTCCTGCCTGCTGCACAGACAAAACCAATTTACTGAGACCATGGTATTACAGTAGAGAAAGAGTTGTTTTTTTTTTTTTTGGAGATGGAGTCTCGCTCTGTTGCCCAGGCTGGAGTGCAGTGGCATGATCTCAGCTCACTGTAACCTCTGTCTCCCGGGTTCAGGCAATTCTTTTGCCTCAGCGTCCCAGGTAGCTGGGACTACAGGCATGTGCCACCACACCCAACTAATTTTTGTATTTTTAGTAGAGATGGGGTTTCACCATATTGGCCAGGCTGGTCTCAAACTCCTGACCTCGTGATCCACCCGCCTGGGCCTCCCAAAGTGTTGGGATTACAGGCATGAGCCACCACACCCAGCTGAGAAAGAATTTTATAAATGCAGAGCTAGCCAAATGGAAGGATTAGAGTTATTATTCAAATTAGTCTTCCTGAGAACTCAGAGGTTAGGGTTTTTATGGATAATTTGGTGGGTAGTGGGCTAGGGAATGCGTGCTACTGATTGGTTGGTGATGAAATCATAGGGGTGTGGAAAACTGTCCTAATGCACTGAGTCTGCCTCTGAGTGGGGGCCACAGGACTAGTTAAGTCATGAGTCAGGGTCCAGGTGGGGTCACTCAGTTGCCAGAATGCAAAGTCTGAAAAAATATCTCAAAAGACCAATCTTAGGGTCTACGATAGTGATGTTATTTATAGGAGCAATGGAGGAAGTTACAAATTTTGTGACCTCTGGCCACATGACTCCTGAGCAGTAAGGGATTATAGAAACTATGCCTTCATCTTAGCAGAATTCAGGCCCCTCCCCTAATCCTAATCTCATGGCCTTTAGTTAGTTTTACAAAGGCGGTTTCAGTCCCTCATCAAGGAGGGGGTTGGTTTTAGGGAGAGATTATTATCATGTCTGCTTCCAAGTTAAACTATAAACTAAATTCCTCTCATTGTTATCTTGGTCTGTGCCCAGAAATGAGCAAGAAGAGCCAGCCTGTGAGGCCAGAAGGAAGATAGGGTCAGCCATGCTAGACTTTTCAAAGTGTCAGAAACTTTGCAACAGTGGTTTCAACTTTTTTTTTTTTTTGAGACGGAGTCTCGCTGTGTCGCCCAGGCTGGAGTGTAGTGGCATGATCTCCACTCACTGCAAGCTCCGCCTCCCGGGTTCACGCCATTCTCCTGCCTCAGCCTCCTGAGTAGCTGGGACTACAGGCGCCCGCCACCACGCCTGGCTAATTTTTTGTATTTTTAGAAGAGACGGGGTTTCACCATGTTAGACAGGATGGTCTCGATCTCCTGACCTCGTGCTCTGCGCGCCTCGGCCTCCCAAAGTGTTGGGATTACAGGCGTGAGCCACCGCGCCCAGCCAGTTTCAACTTTTGAGGTGTGTTCCATGTATGTCAACTTGTGTGTGTGTGAAATTGGGTCTTGCTATATTTCCCAGGCTGGCCTCAAACTTCTGGGCTCAAGCATTCCTCCCACCTCAGCCTCCTGAGTAGCTGGGGGTACAGGTGCATACCACCATGCCTGGCCTATTTTTTTTTTTTTTTTTTTTTTTTGAGATGGAGTTTCACTCTTGTTGCCCAGGCTGGAGTGCAATGGCATGATCTCAGCTCACAGCAACCTCTGCCTCCCAGGTTCAAGTGATTCTCCTGCCTCAGCCTCCCGAGTAGCTGGGATTACAGGCATGCACCACCATGCCTAGCTAATTTTGTATTTTTAGTGGAGACGGGGTTTCTCTATGTTGGTCAGGCTGGTCTCGAACTCCTGACCTCAGGTGATCTGCCTGCCTTGGCCTCCCAAAGTGCTGGGATTACAGGCGTGAGCCACCATGTCCGACTTGGCCTATTTTTTAAAAAATTAAAAATAATTTTAAAAAATGAAAACCTAAAACCCAATCAATCCAATCCCTCCTCTCCCCCAGTTGGAGTGGCTTTGTGGTAAAAAATCAAACTTGCCACTTTACATCGTGGGATCTAAGGGAAAGGGCACTGGAATTCAAGTCGGGAAATCAGTCCTTTAGTTCCTAACCTACCAGCTGTGTAACTTTTTCAGTTAGTCGCAGGCTTTCCATTTCTCCAGTGTAAAATCCAAAGCCTTTAACGGGTCCAGGAGATACTGTTTGGTCTGCCCTCCTGCTGTCTTTCCATTTCCATTTTCTATGAATTGTCCTCTTAATTATTTCACACTAGCCCACTGGCCACCTTGCTGTTCTGTATATTACAAAAGAAAAAAATTACAACAAATTTAGTTTAAAGATCAAATTGGCTTTCATTTGTCATTCTTGAATTGGGTATATAAAATAGAATGAGTATTCCAATGAGCTGATCAGAGGAGGTTGGCTTTACAGGCAGAGAAGGGCTGAAGAAAGCTGAAACAGGAAACAAAAAGCAGATTGGTCACTTCAAAGTTAATTTCCTTATAGTGTTAGAACAGAGAAACTTCCTTATGCCAGCTCAGGTAAACTAGGGCCCTTCTGATTGGTTGCTGTAAATCTCCTGTTTTTGGAAAATGGGCCCTTTTCCGAGTTCAGTTGGATTATGTCACTTAGCACAAGTGACTCCATTATGGTTTTGTCTGGTCTGCTGGGGCCTAGTGCAGGAGGCTAGTCCAAAATAATGGCCTCCCATACACTTTGCTTAACAATGCCAAAGCAGTCTTATCTCAGGTCCTTTGTACTTGCTGTTTCCCTTTTCTGAAACATTCTTCTTTCTGTTATTTCTTAGATATCCTCATGACTCATTTCCTTCACTTTCTTCATAGCACTTATCTGCAAGTTGTAGTTATTTATGTGTGGTCTGTCTCATTCATTTGATGAAGGTAGGAATCATGTCTGTCTCTTTGACCATTACATTCCCAGTACCTGGCAAAATCAAGGCCTAACATACGTATCTCTTGAATTAATTGGAATGTTAGGATGCTCTCTCTTCTTCTGTTGCATAAATCTTACAGAAGGGATGGTGATTTCAACTCCACCTCTAACAAACCATTTGTTTTTCATGAGTGCTAATTAAATAATAATGCCTGATTTACTTGTATTAATATATTCTCATTCTGAGGCTTTATGCTTCCTGAAGCAAACATATTGTTTTTAGTGTAGCCCAGAACAATCTTCAGCACCTTTTCAATCTTACAAGTTTCTCCATTTCCATTCTCTTCTTCTCTCCCCGCATTTCCCCTCTTCCCTGCCCTCCTTTACCTCTCCCCCTCCCCACTCTTTCCCTTTCCTCTCTCCCTCTCTCTGATTTTTTTTTTTTTTTTTTTTGAGACATAGTCTTGCTCTGTCACCCAGGCTGGAGTGCAGTGGCCCTATCTCAGCTCACTGCAACCTCCGCCTCCCTGGTTCATGCCATTCTCCTGCCTCAGCCTCCCAAGTAGCTGGGACTACAGGTGCCCGCCACCACGCCTGGGAATTTTTTTGTATTTTTAGTAGAGACGGGGTTTCACTGTATTAGCCAGGATGGTCTCGATTGCCTGACCTCGTGATCCTCCCACCTCAGCTTCCCAAAGTTTTGGGATTACAGGCGTGAGCCACCGTGCACGGCCTCTCTCTCTGATTTTTAAAATTTATTCTGGAAGTATCCGCTTATTCCTGTTCGCCTTTTTGGGCCAGGAAACCAAAGCTAACTAATTTTCTCAGGGTCATATAATGATTCATCTGCTGAGTTAAGATTAGCATCTTCTAGCCTTGGCTTCCAGGTAGATCACGTATCTTGCTACCATGCTGCCTGGCAGGCTCTTAAATTACACTGGCTACACGTGAGTGAAACTTGTTATCCTTGTGCTGCTGTTTCACCACTGATATTTATTTTTCATGATTGATCCAAAAGATTGTGGACTTACTGTAAAATTCATTCCAGGTCCTTACCAGATATTTGGGACAGTAATGCTTTCTTTCGGTTTCTCAGAAAGGTCTCAGAACTTTGTATTTTAAAATGATACTTTATATTTTTAAAGGTGCTTGATGTTCTCTAGAATTATACTTCTGAAATGTGAACTAGTTTAGTCTGTCAGTTCTGGAGCAGAAATGCTTTCAATCAGAAAGGAAGAAATAGCTGTTCCATTTGGAGTAATGCACCTAGAATATAGGAAGGTAGGACTAGACAGCCTTTAGATCATCCCTTTATTACCAGGCAAGACTTTGTAACATAGTGTTCTTATGATGTTCTTAGGTAGAAAGTATTATGTTTTTTACTGTTACTTAACTCAGTGTAATGTTTCAAATAGCAATAGCACAGCAGTGGCATAAACAATAGCAATATAGTCAACGGATACACTGCTTATCCATGGAGCTCAAAGTACTTCCTAGGTATACCTATTCACAAGCTCTCAAAATAGATATTGGATGTACATAAATTGTTGCCCATTTGCAGATGAAGGAGTTCAGAGGTAAGAGGAGATTAGCTGACTTGACTGTGGCAGAGCTCTTTTGGGTTCACAACAATCCTTTGATCCTTCCCCATTGCATTGGGCACACAGCTAGGCTTCATTTCCCAAGCTCCTTTGCATTAGGCATGGCTCTATGACCCAATTCTGGTCAGCAGAATATTAGTGGAAAAGCTGTGTGCCATCTCCAGTCCCAGGTTTGAAGGAGCATGTTGTCTCTCCACACTTTCTTATTCCTTTTCTGTTGACTGGGTGCCGCAATGGTGAGACCATAAGGAATGGCAGAGCCAGGATTGGAAAGAGCTTGGACCTTGAATCACCATACTGAAGAGTGTTGCCTGATGACCAGACTATCCTTCTCAGACTGTTATGTGAATGAGAAACATAGCCTGTTGACTTTAAGAGATGATGAACTTTGGGGTCTCTTTGTTACCTCAGTGAAGCCTATCTCAGTTAATTACACCGCTCCAGATTGTTTAGAAAGTCAGCAATAAAACTTCAGCCTTCAGAAATAGAATTAAAATTAAGCACATGATTTACCAGAACACACTGCTTAGTGCTTTGACAATAAGTCAAGATTTTAAAAGAACTCCAGGCATAGCTCTGCATTTACAATCAGTTAGAGGCACAAATTTGCAGAGTCACAAAGTGGCTAAAGACCAAAAATGTTTTTGTCTATACCATTAGGCAATTGATTTTGCAATTGCATCATGAAGTAATCTGCTAAGCCAAAATGGGAGGTTGTCATTTAAAATGCACTTTTCCATGAGAGTTCCACAAATATGCTCAGAGTTCCTTTAATCCTGCCTTTCTTTTCCCCTCAGGCATACGAAAATACAAATATTTCTTAGACCAACAAAATAAGAAGAGTTTGATTAAAGGCATCTGTCCACTTTTTCAATTCTGAACACTGCAAGCTTCTTTGTTGTTTCTGCAGAAGTACCAACAGAACCTATAGACTCTTTCTGTTCCTGATGCTTTCTGTATCTTCCCAGTTTCAGTTCTAGGGTGCCTCTAATCTTATATTACTATTATTCATTCACAAATATTTATTTATCTGGCAAAATTAACGTAGTAATAATAATAATAATTCTTTTTAGAGATGGGGGTCTTGCTATGTTGCCCAGGCTGGAGTGCAGTGGCGATTCGCAGGTGTGATCATAGTGCACTGCAGCCTCCAACTCCTGGGCTCAAGTGATCCTCCTGCCTCAGACTCCCAAGTAGCTAGAAATACAGGTGTGTGCCACCATGCCTGGTTCATAATGATTTTTACATATGCATTTAATTCATTTAATAAGTTGTTTTTCTTTTTTTTTTTTTTTTTTTTTTGGAGATGGAGTCTCACTCTGTTGCTGAGGCTGGAGTGCAGTGGCACCGTGTTGGCTCACTGCAACCTCCGTCTCCTGGGTTCAAGCAATTCTCCTGCCTCAGCCTCCCGAGTAGGTGGGATTACAGGCACCCACCATCATGTCTGGCTAGTTTTTATATTTTTAGTAGAGACAGGGTTTCACCATTTTGGCCAGGCTGGTCTTGAACTCCTGACCTCAGGTGATCCACCCACCTCGGCCTCCCAAAGTGCTGGGATTACAGGCATGACTACTGCGCCCGGCCTCATTTAATAAGTTTTAGTTCCCTTGGATCTGCAATTTGATTGTTCGATGACCAGGGCATACTGATAAGCTGTTGAACTCCTATGGATCAAAACTGCACAGAAACACCCAGAGGAATGAATTATTTATCTTCATTGTATCCTCCCACTTTGAGGTAAAACCACAGTGTTACATAGTTAAAGGGTTCAGTTGCTTCCTATTTTTTCAATTGAATGCTATCTTAATTTAGGTCTCCAACATGTGGTCTACTTGGGGCAAAACCAATACAGGATTCATTAGGAGTCTTTCTTGTGTAAACCACTCATTATATGATTTGTGGAATAATGAACACAGTCCAGATAGTGGACTACATTTATGTTATTTTTGGTAAACTTAAATTCATTTATCCTGAGGGCTCAAGTGTTGAAAACATTGTGTCTTTTCCCACTCAATTGCACTTATAGAAATTAGTGTTAAACAAGATATATTGAAAATCACTCCGAATTACTGAAATGCTATAATTTAATGAAGATTAACTGTCACAATATGAAAAACCATTCACTCATCTGTATGTTGCCTGCAGCCTTGAATTTAAGGAATATTACCTGTAGCGGACCTTGAAGGAGATCTTAATGTTCATTATCTAAAGAGAAGGGCATAAATTATGCTTTGCTATTAAATAAGCATCAAGATAATAGAATAACCAATTTTTCTTGCATAATAAAATTGTTGCAACTACTGTGATAAAAGAGGTTGAACTGGGTGAGGAGTGGTCCTTTTTACATTGCTCAAGAACACTAGAAGAATTAAAAATTTATGAATTACCTCCTAGAAACAATGATCTGGGACGGAAATGTAATAAAACACCCACTCTCCTGTGTCCTCCTAAGCTGCTCCATGCTGCTTCATTTTGTGACTGTATTAGTGTGACAACTTTCTGAACCTCTAGAAACTGTCTTTTGGCAAAGACGAAGATTTACAAACCAAAAGATGTCTTATTGAAAATCCAGAGGCAGATGGTGTAGAAAGGTAATGTTAAAATGTGAACCAAATAGAATCTCATTATGTATGTTCTGTATATTTGTAATTTTATTTTCTTTGCATCACTGATAAGTAGAAGAAAAAAAGTGAAATAAGAAGATATGGCATCAAAATCTCATAAAATTAAATGTCTTCCTGGGTAAAATTGCATGAGAAATACGATATGGTTATTTTTGTTTGAAATCTTCTAGTAGCATAAGCTGCCAACATTACTTCTTAAAAGAGCTACCTCTAGTTTTGAAAAGTCATTTGTTAATGTTTTTTTGACCTCTCAGATACTTCTTTGTTTTTGTTCTCTTAAGAGTATGTTAAAGCACATGTATTTGTGTAATATTTAATACTGGAAAATAGTCTAATGTAATATTTAATACTGGAAAATAGTCTAAGTGAGACTGTTTGGTGATAGATGTAACTTAGTTTTAAGGGATGTTGGGAGGAAATTGGGGCTTTTAAATTGTAAATACCTACAAATTGTGTGTTTCTTAAGTATTGGTGACTTAAATGGATGTTTTCCTATAGAAAGGTTTTTGTTTTCTTATCTAGTGACCCCTTTCCTATTATTGTTTTCCACGGATGGCCTCTCATTCTTCAATAATGAAACACAGGAGAACGTACACAATTTCAAACTTTCCATTTATCTGTTTTTGAGCTAGATTGATGTCTAGTTTAGCAAAGGTAATGCAAGTACGATTGCTCAGGTGAAACATTACCATATCGGCATTTTCTGCTTGCTACAAATTCCTGCATTTAAAGTAATTTACTGAAAACTAAGCTTGGGAGGAAAAAATGCCCAACCACAGTTTATACTAATAGAATATATGTGAATAGGATTTCTAACTTTTTAGTCAGTGAATCCCTGAGTATTGACATACATCATCTATAGAAAGCAGCCAACAGATCTGTTGAAAGGCACACGAAGGAAACAGTGCCTTGTAGCTTGTAATTGTTAGAAATACGTCAGCTGCATCAAACTGACAGGTAATCTTAATTTTTTTTTTTTTTTTTGAGACGAAGTCTTGCTCTGTCTCCCAGGCTGGAGTGCAGTGGTACGATCTCAGCTTACTGAAACCTCCACCTCCCGGGTTCAAGCGATTCTCTTGCCTTAGCCTCCAGAGTAGCTGGGACTGCAGGTGTGCACTACCACGCCCAGCTAATTTTTGTATTTTTAGTAGAGACGGGGTTTTACCATGTTGGCCAGGATGTTCTTGATCTCTTGACCTTGTGATCCACCCTCCTCGGCCTCCCAAAGTGCTGGGATTACAGGGGTGAGCCACTGTACCTGGCCAAACTGACGGGTAATCTTAATGTCATATTTTGCTGTGCCTTCTCAGAATGAGCAAGGAGTCTTTTCTTCCCCTAAAAGAAATCAACTGATTTTTAATTAATTCATTAATTAATTTATTTTTATGTAATCCTCTTCCAGGTAAGCAACTGATTTTGAAAGTTACAATAGTATAGATCTTTTCTGATGTGGGTCAAATGATCTTTTTAAAAGGTATCCATAAAGGGTATCACTGACCATAAAAAAAGAGCAGTCTTTGGATTTTGTCCTTTCAGACCAGAGACTGGTCATGCAAAATAGGTTTCAGAGGCAAAACCAATGAGTTTACATTATTCTTAAGTCTGGTGGAGGGTCAACATGTTAACATTGTGAAACAAAAGAGGACTGACCTTTTCTAAAAATATGAGTTAGGCCCTGTCTTAGTCCATCTGAGTTGCTGTAACAAAATACCTTAGACTATTATAAAGAACATAAATGAATAGTTCACAGTTCTGAAGGCTGGCACCAGGATCATGGTGACAGTAGAGTCAGTGTCTGGTGAGGGCTCTCTGCTTTACAGATAGCACCTTCTTGCCGCATCCTCACATAACAGAAAGGCAAACAGGCTCCCCCAAGTCTCTTTTATTTTACTTATTCATTTATTTTTTCTGAGATGGAATTTCTCTCTTGTCGCTCAGGCTGGAATACAATGGCACTATCTCAGCTCACTGCAACCTCCACCTCCCGGGTTCAAGCAATTCTCCTGCCTCAGCCTCCTGAATAGATGGGATTACAGGCACCCACCACAACACCCAGCTAATTTTTGTATTTTTAGTAGAGATGGGGTTTCACTGTGTTGGCCAGGCTGGTCTCAAACTCCTGACCTCAGGTGATCCACCAGCCTCGGCCTCCCGAAGTGTTGGGATTACAGGCATGAGCCACCGCGCCCGGCCCAAGTATCTTTTAGAAGGGCATTAATCCCATTCATCAAGGTGGAACCCTCATGACCTAATCACCTCCCAGATGTCCACCCTCCCAACACCACTGCACTAGGGATTAAGTTTCAACATATGAATTTGGTGGGGACACAAATCTGCAGGCCATAGCAGGCCCACATCCATTAGACTTACTCACTTTATAGGACTGAGTGAGCAAAGCGAACTGCTGACTGTGTGACCTCAAGATGTGGCCATGGTGACTGGCTCTTCATCACTTCTGCTTTGCGGTCACCTGTCCTCTAAGATGCAGATAAGGAGAAAATGAAATGTTAAAAGCTAAGGGAGAAAACACAGACTTGGCTTCCCTATCAACTTCTACTCAATTTTTAAATCTTGTTTTATTTATTTATTTATTTATTTATTTTTAAAGACAGGGTCTCGCTCTGTCACTTAGGCTGGAGTGCAGTGGTGTGATCATGGTTCACTGCAGCCTCAACCTCCTGGGCTCCAGTGATCCTCTCACCCCAGCCTCCCAAGTAGCTGGGACCACAGGCATGCATCACCATGCCTGGCTTATTTTTTAACTTTTGTTGTAGAGTCGGGGGTCTCACTCTGTTGCCCGGGCTGGTCTCAAACTCCTGGCCTCAAGTGATCCTCCCGCCTTGGCCTCCCAAAGTGATTACAGGCATGAGACACCACTGCCCTGACTGAATCAGTTTTATTTAAAGCCATCACCATCAGATATTTGTATGGTGTGCTAAAATACTTTTTTTTTTTTTTTTTGAGACCAGGTCTCGCTCTGTTGCCCAGGCTGGAGTACAGTGGCGCGATCTCAGCTCACTGCAGCCTCTGCCTTCCTGGTTCAAGCAATTCTCCCACCTTGGCTGGGATTACAGGAGCACGCCACCATGCCCAGCTAATTTTTACATTTTTAGTAGAGTTGGGGTTTCACCATGTTGGCCAGGCTGGTCTCGAACTCCCGACCTTAGGTGATCCATCTGCCTTGGCCTCCCAAAGTGCTGGGATTACAGGTATGAGCCACCATCCCTGGCCAATATTTTTAACTTTAAACCAAAAACATAGTCAATATGCTTTTGAGGACTCAGTAGTGTTTCTTCCAATAAACATTTATGCATTTCAATTTTTGATCACATCCATGGTAGATTTATTAGAAATTATTGTGATTCTTTGGAAAAGCATTTATAGAAGTATGGAAGTATGGAAGTGTAGAAGTATAAAGAGGCCAAAGTTTACATGATGAACACATTAGGTAGTTCAATTTTGAATAGACAAAACAATCTTGGGCCTACAGTTCCAGGATAATAATACTGATAAACTATATCAGAGCTCTGCCACAATGAACAAAGCACCATGCTTTTGGTACTTTGATCTTCAATATATTCCCTGCTATATTAACCCATTATGTAGAATGTCCATATATATTATCTCCTTTAACTCAATCCGGGACAGGGCAAGTATGATTACCCTTGTTTTATTTAGGGAAAAATGGGCAGTTCGATATATGAAATGACAGAGCCTGTGTGCAGAGGTGGACCCAGCATTTACCACCACAGCATTCATCCCACAAGCTTGTTCTTCCTCACGACTCATCTGGGATCTTAACCCTTTGGCTTCCAAGAAATCACTTAGCAAAACCCATAAACAAATGCTAATGGACTCATGGTGGTCTAGAGGGCCATTGCCAGGTATTATGTATTTTACCTGATCTATCCTACTACTGGCTTTTATAGTGGATGTTTCACCAAAGCATGAAAGATAGTTTTTTGCTAGCAAAATAATAAAACTGAGCTGTGAAACAAGAAAGGAGAAATCCATAAAAATTCTAGTGTCCATAAAATTTTATTAGATAGCATAAGAACTCTGGGAACTATTTTTGAAAGATCCTTGTGATTGACCTAACTCTTAATTTTGTGACTGGAGCTGGCGTTGCTTTGGAGCTAGCCACAGGTTTCCTTGTCTCCTGCCTCCTCAGTGCTGAGTAACTCAGTGCATTCACTCCCACAGAACTGGACTTTGGAAGGTCTGTTTTTGGCTTTGCCTCCTCTGCAGATGGGGTGCAACCAAGTCAAGATGCTTCCTCTGGAATGGAGTTAATTCTGGATATCTTAGGAACATATCTGGATTCCAATCTGTGGAATGTCCATGATTTTTCTTTTTTTTCTTCCTGTTACCATTTATCTTCTCATTAAAATTTCCATGGTGGCATATGCCTGTAATCCCAGCAGTTGGGGATGCTAATGTGGGAGGATTGCTTGGGACTAGGAGTTTGAGGCTGCAGTGAGCCATGATTGTGCCACTGCACTCCAGCCCAGGCAACAGAGCGAGACCCTATCTCAAACAACAAACGAACAAAAAATTTTCATCAGGTAATTAGGAGTTAGAAAAAGAAGTTAGAAGAGGGGGGAACTAGCAATATAAAGTAGTATATGGTCCTGATATCTAGGGCTGGGTGTCCGGATGAAGAGCGCTCAGAGAAGCTATTACAGAAAAGGCAGTAACGCAACTGAGCCTTGGTGAATGGATAGGGTTAGGATAGCCTGAGAGGACAGGAGAAGATGCCACATCCAATTGTTTTTCTTTCTTTTTTTTTTTTTTTTTCTTTTTGAGACAGAGTGTCACTCTGTTGGCCAGGCTGGAGTGCAATGGCACGACCTCGGCTCACTGCAACCTCGGTCTCCCTGGCTCAAGCAATTCTCCTGCCTCAGTCTCCCGAGTAGCTGGGATTACGGGCATGTGCCACCACGCCTGGCTAATTTTTGCAGTTTTAGTAGATATGGGGTTTCACCATGTTGGCCAGGCTGGTCTCGAACTCCTGACCTCAGGTGATCCGCCCGCCTCGGCCTCCCAAAGTGCTGGGATTACAGGCGTGAGCCACCGCGCCTGGCTTCTTTCTTTTTTTAAGAGACAGGGTCTCACTCTGTCACCCAAGCTTTTGTGTTCAGTGGTGTGATCATGGCTCACTGTAACTTCCAACTGCTGGGCTCAAGTGATCATCCTGTCTCAGCTCCCCAAGTAGCTGGAACTACAGGCACACATCACAACACCTGGCTGATTTTTGATTTTTTTTTCCAGAGATGGGGGTCTTGCCATGTTGCCCAGGCTGGTCTTGAACTCCTGGGCTCAAGTGATCCTCTCACCTCAGCCTTCTGATTAGCTGGGATTACAGGTGTTAACCACTGCACCTGGCCAATTCTTTTTTGTTGTTTTTGTTTCAGAGAAAATCATATGAATTCTCTTTGAGGTTACACTCTTTTGGACTATGTCTTGGGCAGAACTTCTTCTTTTTTCCTATTTGCTGTGATATGTTTGATATGTTAAAGCAGTGTCTCACTGAAAGCTTTAAGACACCTAGCATCTGAGCATTCTAAATCAGAAACTCAAATAATCTTGGCTTTTCCATCTGATGGCTGGCCCCTTGGAAGAAGTCATTTAACTTGTCTGGATCTGTTTTCTTTTTTTTTTTTTTCTTTTTTTTTTTATTATTATTATACTTTAAGTTTTAGGGTACATGTGCACATTGTGCAGGTTAGTTACATATGTATACATGTGCCATGCTGGTGCGCTGCACCCACTAACTCGTCATCTAGCATTAGGTATATCTCCCAATGCTATCCCTCCCCCATCCCCCGACCCCACCACAGTCCCCAGAGTGTGATATTCCCCTTCCTGTGTCCATGTGATCTCATTGTTCAGTTCCCACCTATGAGTGAGAATATGCGGTGTTTGGTTTTTTGTTCTTGCGATAGTTTACTGAGAATGATGGTTTCCAATTTCATCCATGTCCCTACAAAGGACATGAACTCATCATTTTTTATGGCTGCATAGTATTCCATGGTGTATATGTGCCACATTTTCTTAATCCAGTCTATCATTGTTGGACATTTGGGTTGGTTCCAAGTCTTTGCTATTGTGAATAATGCCGCAATAAACATACGTGTGCATGTGTCTTTATAGCAGCATGATTTATAGTCATTTGGGTATATACCCAGTAATGGGATGGCTGGGTCAAATGGTATTTCTAGTTCTAGATCCCTGAGGAATCGCCACACTGACTTCCACAATGGTTGAACTAGTTTACAGTCCCACCAACAGTGTAAAAGTGTTCCTATTTCTCCACATCCTCTCCAGCACCTGTTGTTTCCTGACTTTTTAATGATTGCCATTCTAACTGGTGTGAGATGATATCTCATAGTGGTTTTGATTTGCATTTCTCTGATGGCCAGTGATGATGAGCATTTTTTCATGTGTTTTTTGGCTGCATAAATGTCTTCTTTTGAGAAGTGTCTGTTCATGTCCTTCGCCCACTTTTTGATGGGGTTGTTTGTTTTTTTCTTGTAAATTTGTTTGAGTTCATTGTAGATTCTGGATATTAGCCCTTTGTCAGATGAGTAGGTTGCAAAAATTTTCTCCCATGTTGTAGGTTGCCTGTTCACTCTGATGGTAGTTTCTTTTGCTGTGCAGAAGCTCTTTAGTTTAATTAGATCCCAGTTTTGGCTTTTGTTGCCATTGCTTTTGGTGTTTTAGACATGAAGTCCTTGCCCACGCCTATGTCCTGAATGGTAATGCCTAGGTTTTCTTCTAGGGTTTTTATGGTTTTAGGTCTAACGTTTAAATCTTTAATCCATCTTGAATTGATTTTTGTATAAGGTGTAAGGAAGGGATCCAGTTTCAGCTTTCTACATATGGCTAGCCAGTTTTCCCAGCACCATTTATTAAATAGGGAATCCTTTCCCCATTGCTTGTTTTTCTCAGGTTTGTCAAAGATCAGATAGTTGTAGATATGCGGCGTTATTTCTGAGGGCTCTGTTCTGTTCCATTGATCTATATCTCTGTTTTGGTACCAGTACCATGCTGTTTTGGTTACTGTAGCCTTGTAGTATAGTTTGAAGTCAGGTAGTGTGATGCCTCCAGCTTTGTTCTTTTGGCTTAGGATTGACTTGGCGATGCGGGCTCTTTTTTGGTTCCATATGAACTTTAAAGTAGTTTTTTCCAATTCTGTGAAGAAAGTCATTGGTAGCTTGATGGGGATGGCATTGAATCTGTAAATTACCTTGGGCAGTATGGCCATTTTCACGATACTGATTCTTCCTACCCATGAGCATGGAATGTTCTTCCATTTGTTTGTGTCCTCTTTTATTTCCTTGAGCAGTGGTTTGTAGTTCTCCTTGAAGAGGTCCTTCACATCCCTTGTAAGTTGGATTCCTAGGTATTTTATTCTCTTTGAAGCAATTGTGAATGGGAGTTCACTCATGATTTGGCTCTCTGTTTGTCTGTTGTTGGTGTATAAGAATGCTTGTGATTTTTGTACATTGATTTTGTATCCTGAGACTTTGCTGAAGTTGCTTATCAGCTTAAGGAGATTTTGGGCTGAGACGATGGGGTTTTCTAGATAAACAATCATGTCGTCTGCAAACAGGGACAATTTGACTTCCTCTTTTCCTAATTGAATACCCTTTATTTCCTTCTCCTGCCTGATTGCCCTGGCCAGAACTTCCAACACTATGTTGAATAGGAGCGGTGAGAGAGGGCATCCCTGTCTTGTGCCAGTTTTCAAAGGGAATGCTTCCAGTTTTTGCCCATTCAGTATGATATTGGCTGTGGGTTTGTCATAGATAGCTCTTATTATTTTGAAATACGTCCCATCAATACCTAATTTATTGAGAGTTTTTAGCATGAAGGGTTGTTGAATTTTGTCAAAGGCTTTTTCTGCATCGATTGAGATAATCATGTGGTTTTTGTCTTTGGCTCTGTTTATATGCTGGGTTACATTTATTGATTTGCGTATATTGAACCAGCCTTGCATCCCAGGGATGAAGCCCACTTGATCATGGTGGATAAGCTTTTTGATGTGCTGCTGGATTCGGTTTGCCAGTATTTTATTGAGGATTTTTGCATCAATGTTCATCAAGGATATTGGTCTAAAATTCTCTTTTTTGGTTGTGTCTCTGCCCGGCTTTGGTATCAGAATGATGCTGGCCTCATAAAATGAGTTAGGGAGGATTCCCTCTTTTTCTATTGATTGGAATAGTTTCAGAAGGAATGGTACCAGCTCCTCCTTGTACCTCTGGTAGAATTCAGCTGTGAATCCATCTGGTCCTGGACTCTTTTTGGTTGGTAAACTATTGATTATTGCCACAATTTCAGATCCTGTTATTGGTCTATTCAGAGATTCAACTTCTTCCTGGTTTAGTCTTGGGAGAGTGTATGTGTCGAGGAATGTATCCATTTCTTCTAGATTTTCTAGTTTATTTGCGTAGAGGTGTTTGTAGTATTCTCTGATGGTAGTTTGTATTTCTGTGGGATTGGTGGTGATATCCCCTTTATCATTTTTTATTGTGTCTATTTGATTCTTCTCTCTTTTTTTCTTTATTAGTCTTGCTAGCGGTCTATCAATTTTGTTGATCCTTTCAAAAAACCAGCTCCTGGATTCATTGATTTTTTGAAGGGTTTTTTGTGTTTCTATTTCCTTCAGTTCTGCTCTGATTTTAGTTATTTCTTGCCTTCTGCTAGCTTTTGAATGTGTTTCCTCTTGCTTTTCTAGTTCTTTTAATTGTGATGTTAGGGTGTCAATTTTGGATCTTTCCTGCTTTCTCTTGTAGGCATTTAGTGCTATAAATTTCCCTCTACACACTGCTTTGAATGCGTCCCAGAGATTCTGGTATGTGGTGTCCTTGTTCTCGTTGGTTTCAAAGAACATCTTTATTTCTGCCTTCATTTCGTTCTGTACCCAGTAGTCATTCAGGAGCAGGTTGTTCAGTTTCCATGTAGTTGAGCGGCTTTGAGTGAGATTCTTAATCCTGAGTTCTAATTTGATTGCACTGTGGTCTGAGAGATAGTTTGTTATAATTTCTGTTCTTTTACATTTGCTGAGGAGAGCTTTACTTCCAACTATGTGGTCAATTTTGGAATAGGTGTGGTGTGGTGTTGAAAAAAATGTATATTCTGTTGATTTGGGGTGGAGAGTTCTGTAGATGTCTATTAGGTCCGCTTGGTGCAGAGCTGAGTTCAATTCCTGGGTATCCTTGTTGACTTTCTGTCTCGTTGATCTGTCTAATGTTGACAGTGGGGTGTTAAAGTCTCCCATTATTAATGTGTGGGAGTCTAAGTCTCTTTGTAGGTCACTCAGGACTTGCTTTATGAATCTGGGTGCTCCTGTATTCGGTGCATTAATATTTAGGATAGTTAGCTCCTCTTGTTGAATTGATCCCTTTACCATTATGTAATGGCCTTCTTTGTCTCTTTTGATCTTTGTTGGTTTAAAGTCTGTTTTATCAGAGACTAGGATTGCAACCCCTGCCTTTTTTTGTTTTCCATTGGCTTGGTAGATCTTCCTCCATCCTTTTATTTTGAGCCTATGTGTGTCTCTGCACGTGAGATGGGTTTCCTGAATACAGCACACTGATGGGTCTTGACTCTTTATCCAACTTGCCAGTCTGTGTCTTTTAATTGCAGAATTTAGTCCATTTATATTTAAAGTTAATATTGTTATGTGTGAATTTGATCCTGTCATTATGATGTTAGCTGGTGATTCTGCTCGTTAGTTGATGCAGTTTCTTCCTAGTCTCGATGGTCTTTACATTTTGGCATGATTTTGCAGCGGCTGGTACCGGTTGTTCCTTTCCATGTTTAGCGCTTCCTTCAGGAGCTCTTTTAGGGCAGGCCTGGTGGTGACAAAATCTCTCAGCATTTGCTTGTCTATAAAGTATTTTATTTCTCCTTCACTTATGAAGCTTAGTTTGGCTGGATATGAAATTCTGGGTTGAAAATTCCTTTCTTTAAGAATGTTGAATATTGGCCCCCACTCTCTTCTGGCTTGTAGGGTTTCTGCCGAGAGATCCGCTGTTAGTCTGATGGGCTTTCCTTTGAGGGTAACCCGACCTTTCTCTCTGGCTGCCCTTAACATTTTTTCCTTCATTTCAACTTTGGTGAATCTGACAATTATGTGTCTTGGAGTTGCTCTTCTCGAGGAGTATCTTTGTGGCGTTCTCTGTATTTCCTGAATCTGAACGTTGGCCTGCCTTGCTAGATTGGGGAAGTTCTCCTGGATAATATCCTGCAGAGTGTTTTCCAACTTGGTTCCATTCTCCACATCACTTTCAGGTACACCGATCAGACGTAGATTTGGTCTTTTCACATAGTCCCATATTTCTTGGAGGCTTTGCTCATTTCTTTTTATTCTTTTTTCTCTAAACTTCCCTTCTCGCTTCATTTCATTCATTTCATCTTCCATCGCTGATACCCTTTCTTCCAGTTGATTGCATCGGCTCCTGAGGCTTCTGCATTCTTCACGTAGTTCTCGAGCCTTGGTTTTCAGCTCTATCAGCTCCTTTAAGCACTTCTCTGTATTGGTTATTCTAGTTATACATTCTTCTAAATTTTTTTCAAAGTTTTCAACTTCTTTGCCTTTGGTTTGAATGTCCTCCCGTAGCTCAGAGTAATTTGATCGTCTGAAGCCTCCTTCTCTCAGCTCGTCAAAATCATTCTCCATCCAGCTTTGTTCCATTGCTGGTGAGGAACTGCGTTCCTTTGGAGGAGGAGAGGCGCTCTGCTTTTTAGAGTTTCCAGTTTTTCTGTTCTGTTTTTTCCCCATCTTTGTGGTTTTATCTACTTTTGGTCTTTGATGATGGTGATGTACAGATGGGTTTTCGGTGTAGATGTCCTTTCTGGTTGTTAGTTTTCCTTCTAACAGACAGGACCCTCAGCTGCAGGTCTGTTGGAATACCCTGCCGTGTGAGGTGTCAGTGTGCCCCTGCTGGGGGGTGCCTCCCAGTTAGGCTGCTCGGGGGTCAGGGGTCAGGGACCCACTTGAGGAGGCAGTCTGCCCGTTCTCAGATCTCCAGCTGCGTGCTGGGAGAACCACTGCTCTCTGCAAAGCTGTCAGACAGGGACACTTAAGTCTGCAGAGGTTACTGCTGTCTTTTTGTTTGTCTGTGCCCTGCCCCTAGAGGTGGAGCCTACAGAGGCAGGCAGGCCTCCTTGAGCTGTGGTGGGCTCCACCCAGTTCGAGCTTCCCGGCTGCTTTGTTTACCTAAGCAAGCCTGGGCAATGGCGGGCGCCCCTCCCCCAGCCTGGTTGCCGCCTTGCAGTTTAATCTCAGACTGCTGTGCTAGCAATCAGCGAGATTCCGTGGGCGTAGGACCCTCTCAGCCAGGTGTGGGATATAGTCTCGTGGTGCGCCGTTTTTTAAGCCGGTCTGAAAAGTGCAATATTCGGGTGGCAGTGACCCGATTTTCCAGGTGCGTTCGTCACCCCTTTCTTTGACTCGGAAAGGGAACTCCCTGACCCCTTGCGCTTCCCAGGTGAGGCAATGCCTCGCCCTGCTTCGGCTCGCGCACGGTGCGCGCACACACTGGCCTGCGCCCACTGTCTGGCACTCCCTAGTGAGATGAACCCGGTACCTCAGATGGAAATGCAGAAATCACCCGTCTTCTGCGTAGCTCACGCTGGGAGCTGTAGACCGGAGCTGTTCCTATTCGGCCATCTTGGCTCCTCCCCCTGGATCTGTGTTCTCATCTGAAAAAATAGGGTTGATATTACCTTCTTCCCAGGCTTACAGAAATTGAGAAATTGGCCACGTTGTGAAAAACGTGGGCCTTCCACTTAGTAAAAAGCTCAGTCAAGAACAAGATTCTCTTTCCTCTTCACAGCCCATAAATGATAGATTCGTTTTATAAGTACGGGACAGCCAGCACGACTCCTGGCAGCATGCATTAAGAATGTGGTAACTCCGCTGAAATGCTTGGCTCTGGAATTTGGGTCTGCCTTCCTGGAAACTCAAGCCTGACCTTTCACTGGTGGCCGCCCAGAGACCCCTCATCCTTGTCTGGGAAATGGATAGTGGCACCACAGTTCACATTTCCCAGTACATTGCCATCCACAACCCTCTGGATCCCTTAAACACATGCTAGCTGTCAAGAGAAGTAAAGGACAACAGAGTTTAGGACTGAAAAGTGCTGAGTCCAGGCATCTATGTTAACAAGTGAGGACATTTGTTAGCCAAGGACAAGTGCATATTGCTAGGCAATCAGAAGTTTTCCACTGAGCTGGTCCAGCACAGAGCTATAGCAATTTTTCTTATGTATATTTTCCTGAATGACTTTCAAAAGGCCTACAGCAGTGCAATCAGATGAAGGAGACTCACTAGTTAAGCCCACTGTCTCCCTATAATTAAGGCCACTATGAGGGGGAGAACCCAAATCTGATTTTGGAGCTTGTGCTAAGCCTAGAAAGCAAAGAAAAAGCCCTCTAGCGAGCAAAATAACACCTCTTTAAAAGCTAAATGTAATTTCAGAGTGCATCAGGTACACACCTATAAGTCCTGTGTCCCTATGCTCCAGGGTTTCTGTTGAAAGAATAACAAAAACAAGTGACAAGTAATTCTAGTCAGAGAAACAGAACGAAGGCAAAAAAAGAAAAGAAAAAAACAAACAGCAACAACAACAACAACAACAAAAACCAAACAAACCCCCAAAACAAAACCTCCCAAACAAAGAAACCCTCCCCTTGGCTGGGCGTGGTGGCTCACACCTATAATCCCAGCACTTTGAGAGGCCCAGGTGGATGGATCACGAGGTCGAGATCGAGACCATCCCGGCCAACATGATGAAACTCTGCCTGTACTAAAAATACAAAAATTAGCCGGGCGTGTAGGCGCGCGCCTGTAATCCCAGCTACTCGGGAGGCTGAGGCAGGAGAATCGCTTGAACTCGGGAGGCAGAGTTTGCAGTGAACTGAGATCGCACCACTGCACTCCAGCCTGGCGACAGAGCACGACTCCGTCTCAAAAAACAAAAAACAAAGGAGAAAACCCCCTCCCTTAAACTTCCTAACATCTCCTCCTAACACTGGAAGGCGGGAACTTCTGTGAATTTGCTTCAGCTGCATAACCAGGCTCTTAATGCGCAGCAGGGTCGCCATCTTGCCGGTCTGCAAGGGCTTCGGTTCTCTGCTTCTTGCTCTAACATTCAGTGACTCAGCAGAGAGGGGGGCTTATGCTGAAGAAGGTGTTTAGTCTCTGAGTGATGAGGTTAGCGATGGTGTGGGGTACAGGGAAGAGAAGGTCTTAGAGGTGAGAACATGTTACGGTTACTATCTTCTGTCCCTCTTTTCTTCGCCTTGTCATTAAATAGTGCAGAAAAAGAGTCAGCTTTTGGAAGTGTTTGAAAATAGCCTTTTAATGTTTTAGGCAGCTGACTAAACTCTTGTTCAGAGCGGACTTTGGACCAGAAAATGGAATCATCACCTGGGGAAAAGGGAAATTAAAGGCTGTTTTAATTATGTGAAGAAAAACATTGATACAGTACTTTGCTGTTACTTAACGGTAATGCTATTTGCAGACTCCCTTACAATGAGGAAATCAGCCTTCTTAGGAAGGAAGAGGCTTTTTTTTTTGAGACGGAGTCTCACTCCTGAAGCCCAGGCTGGAATGCAGTGGTGCCATCTCGGCTCACTGCAACCTCCACCTCCTGAGTTCAAGTGATCCTCCCACCTCAGCCTCCCAAGTAGCTGGGATTACAGATGCCCACCACCACGCCTGGCTAATTTTTGTATTTTTAGTCGAGATGGGATTTTGCCATGTTGGCCAGGTGGGTCTTGAACTCCTGGCCTCAAGTGATCTGCCTGTGTTGACCTCCCAAAGTGCTGGGATTATAGGCGTGAGCCACTGTATCTGGCCAGAAGATGATTCTTAAGGCACCTCAGAAAAGGATACCCTAATTAGAATGGAAGATTTGAAAGATGGTAGAATAAAGGATTTTCTATATGGAGTGTTTTTTGCCCACCCCAAAGCCACAGAGTAAATTTTGTCTGCTCCTAAGGTTAATTATATTTCTGAAAGAAGTGATTAGTTGATGAGATGAATCCTGTATCCCCTCCACCACTCTTCACCGTATCCAAGTCTGGACTTCCCTTTGGTTTGGTTTTGTTTTCAGTGTAAGATGAGTGTCAAGTATCATTGTATAATATAAGTCAAATCTTAATTTAAATGTCTTTTTGTTGATCAGCCTTGTCAATGGAAAAGTTAATTCTCTAAAAAAACTGAAAGAAAATATTTCAGGGTTTTCAGATTTTCTGTGCTAATTGAACTTATACTGATATACCCACAAATAGCCAACTTAGCTGAGATTTGGCATATATGTTAAAAGTAAGAATGAATTAAAAGCATGTTGTGACACTGCTGGTAATGTAGATATACTTGGTATAGCAAAATCGGGGGACTAAATCATTATTGCAATGCTTTTTTTTTTTTGAGATGGAGTCTTGCTCTGTCTCCCAGGCTGGAGTGCAGTGGCGCAATCTACGCTCACTGCAAGCTCTGCCTCCCGGGTTCACGCCATTCTCCTGCCTCAGCCTCCCCAGTAGTTGGGACTACAGGCGCCCACCACCACGCCCGGCTAATTTTTTTTGTATTTTTAGTAGAGACGGGGTTTCACCATGTCGGCCAAGATGGTCTCGATCTCCTGACCTTGTGATCCGCCCGCCTCAGCCTCCCAAAGTGCTGGGATTACAGGCTTGAGCCACCGCGCCCGGCCCTATTGCAATGCTTTTTTACCTGGGGCCTGTGGATGGTCCTTAGAAGTTCTAATGAATGCCTTGGTATTGAAGGCAAGATTTTAGGTGTCTGTGCTTTTGTCACCGGAGAGGATTGGTAGCTTTCATCAGATTTTCAACAAAAGGGTCCGTGTCTCACAAAAAAGTTAAGAACCACAGACATTTGAACATACTCTGTACATTGGACTTAAAAAAAATTGATCAAAAGTAACTTACCCTAGCATCCATATCTTCTCTTTCCACTCTGAAAGGCTTAGAATATTAGATATTATAAGATGTACAACTTAACTTTCTATTTAGAATTTTAAATCCCAATGCAATGGCTATAAAAATTATTTCATGAATAAAGAAAGTCTGTAAAAATGAGACACAGTGGGGCCTGGCGTGGTGGCTCATGCCTGTAATCCTAACACTTTGGGAGGCCAGTGCAGGCTGACCACTTGAGGTCAGGAGTTTGAGACCAGCCTGGCCAACATGGTGAAATCCCATCTCTACTAAAAATACAAAAATTAACTGGGAGTGGTGGCATGTGCCCGTAGTCCCAGCTACTCGGGAGGCTGAGGCAGGAGAATTGCTTGAACCCAGGAGGCAGAGGTTGCATTGAGCTGGGATCATGCCACTGCACTCCAGCCCGGGCGACAGAGTGAGACTCCATCTAAAAAAAAAAAAAAAGAGACATATTGCTTTTGACTATGGGATGGTCTTAATAATGTGGATGAAAATTTTCCTGAGATCTGGTGGACTATGTGGAGGAAGAGGGTGTGTTGGATGGCCCCAGTAGTGCTGTGGGTGAAAAATGTCACCTGGACGCCACTGGGAGGCGCTGTGGTACAGGGAGTGACAGGAACCCAGTGTCTACTATTGCCTCAGCTTCCAACTCCCGGGAGACCTTGGACAGGTCACTTAATGTCACTCTGGGTCAATTTTGTTATCTGCAAAATAAAGTATTCTTTTCTCAATGTGTTTCGATGAGACTAAGATATGACAAATGGCAAAGCGCTTTTCTTTTTTTCTTTGAGACGGAGTTTCGCTCTGTCGCCCAGGCTGGAGTACAGTGGCGCGATCTTGGCTCATCACAACCTCTGCCTCCCAGGTTCAAGCGATTCTCTTGCCTCAGCCTCCCGAGTAGCTGGGATTACAGGCGCACACCACCACACCTGGCTAATTTTTGTATTTTTAATAGAGATGGGGTTTCACCATGTTGGTCAGGCTGGTTTCAAACTCCTGACCTCAGGTAATCTGCCCGCCTCGGCCTCCCAAAGTGCTGGGATTACAGGCATGAGCCACCTGCATGGCCTGGCAAAGCACTTTTTAAAACGTGCACCATGACCGTTAAAATAAATATGTAGATAAAAATTGCCAAGATATATTAAGACTGAGGTGCAGAGTAGTAATTTATAGCATGATGGGTTTTGTGTATGAATTTTTACTCAAACATATAGGTGATATATGCAATTTTTTTCTAGAAAAATAAAGAGCTGTGGTTATCTTTACGGAATAGACTAGGACAGGGGAGGGAGGCTTTACTCTTCATTTTATTATTTCTATTAAAAATATTAACAGGGGGCCACTGCTGTGGTTCCTGCCTGTAGTCCCAGACTTGGGAGGCTGAGGTGGGAGGAGCTCAGGAGTTTGAGGCTGCAGTCAGCTGTGATGGTGACACTGCACTCCAGCCTGGGCAACACAGTAAGATCCTGTCTTAAAATATATATATATAAGCCGGGTGCAGTGGCTCATACCTGTAATCTCAGCACTTTGGGAGGCTGAGGCGGGCAGATCTCCTGAGTCCAGGAGTTAGAGACCAGCCTGGCCAACATGGTGAAACCCTGTCTCTACAAAAAATACAAAAATTAGCCAGTTGTGGTGGTGTGAGCCTGTAATTCCAGCTACTCAGGAGGCTGAGACACGAGAATCGCTTAGCCCGGGAGGTGGAGGTTGCAGTGAGCCAAGACTGTGTCACTGCACTCCAGCCTGGGCGACAGAGTGAGACCCTACCACAAACACACACAAAAAATTAAAAAAAAATCATATATATGAAGTATATAAAAATATATACTATATAAAAATATAACTATAAAAATGTATGTATAATATATATTTTATGTAATATATAATATATATTGAAATATATATTAATATTATATATTATTTATATATTAATATATATCTGTACAGCGGGATTATGTTTTGTTTTCTCTGTCATTTCCTCTTGAAAAACTAAAAATAATTTTAAAAATTGAAAGACTCTTGGGAAGAGGGTACTGTGTAGTTGTTAGGTGGGACTGTTATTAATGAAGAATAATCATAGCTGATTTAAGGCCTGATCATAGGAGAGTGTTTACAGGAAGATGCTGCCCAAGGATGAGGACGCATCACAGATTCATTCTCTGGGTCCCTTAAATAGAACAAACCCAGTGACAGTTTTCCTCCCCTAAGAAATCTGTGTCCCTGGCATGCTGTCCTGTGAGACCATGCTGCTGGATTTATTTGCAGCTAACTGCTTCATGCCAGCACCGCTGGAGAGCATTGCCCCAGCAACTGTCCCCTCTCCCAGTTTTCTCCCCTTTCCACTGGATCATTCTCTCCTCACATGCAGGCCTTCCCTAATTCTTGCCTTTCTCGCAGAAGTCTTTGCTTCTGCCTTTGTAAGTTGGGGTAATAATGATGTCTAGGGAGCCTGGTGCATAGTAAGTGACTCTAAAAATAAAAGCACTTATTACTGTTGTGCACTTGAAGTTAAAGGAGAAGTTTCTGGGTTCAGCCCCACAGTAGTACCCTCGGAGGGGTGACTGAGGCCTCTGATTCTTGGTAGGACAGGCACTGCTGGTGAGCTTGGGTGCCTAGCTCCTGCAAACACAGGGTTCCGCAGAGGCCTCATTTTCAGAAAACCCTGTGTTGACCCTACCTTCTTTGTCTCTTTGCTTTCTTTCATTCATTGGGTTCTCTAAAGAGGATTCTGTACTGTACTGTCTCTCTCCAGGTCCTCTCCTCCCATTCTCTCTTTCAGCTTTGTTTTTTTATTGAGACAGAGTGTTGCTCTGTCACCCAGGCTGGAGTGATTGGCATGATCTCGGCTCACTGCAACCTCCACCTCCTGGGTTCAAGTGATTCTCCTGCCTCAGCCTCCCAAGTAGTGGGATTGCAGGTGTGTGCCACCACACCCAGCTAATTTTTTTGTATTTTTAGTAGAGACGGGGTATTGCCACGTTGGCCAGGCTGGTCTTGAACTCCTGGCCTCAAGTGATCCACCCACCTCAGCCTCCCAAGTGCTGGGATTACAGGCGAGGGCCCCTGCGCCTGGCCCTTCCTGCTGTCTTAAGGCCCCAGGGCTGGGGCATCTCTGCTCTTCTTCATACTCACTCTCCAGGGGCCCTCTTCCAGTCTCAGGGGCTTAAACCCCATACACATATATGGCATCAACTCCTAAATTTGGACCTTTCCTCTGATTCCAGAGCTAATCTATTCATCTACTCTTGGATGTCTAATATGCAATACAAAATCAACACGACCAAAACAGGACTCCCGAGTCACCACACCTTCCTGTCCTTCAACTTGCTCATCCCATAGCCTTCCCTCTAGTGGCTCAGACCAAACATTTTGTCGTCATGCTTTACTTCTCTGTTTTTCTCACTCCCTGTATTGCATATATCAGCAAATCCTCTTGGTCCTCCCTTCAAAATATATCCAGAATCTGACCCCTTCTCATGATCACAGCTACCCCCTTGTCTAAGCCCCTTTAGCTCTTGTCTGGGTAATTGCAATAAACTCCTCATTGATGTCCATGCTACCATCCCGTAACAGAGTATTCTGAGCAGCTCAAGAGATCACTTTATTTTTATTTTTGATTTGTAGTCATTCCATTTAACTTTAATTTAATTTTTTTTTTTTTTAGATATGAGGTCTCACTTGTTGTCCAGATGGGGCTGGAACTCCTGGCCTCAAGTGATCTTCCTGTCTTGGCCTCCCAAAGTGCTGGGATTACAGGTGTGAGCTACTGTGTAATTTTTATTTTAGATTTGAGGGTACATATGCAGGTTTCTTTTCTTTTCTTTTTTTTTTTTTTTTTTGAGTCTTGCTCTGTCACCCAGGCTGGAGTGCAGTGGTGTGATCTCAGCTCACTGCAAGCTTGGCCTCCCAGGTTCTCGCCATCCTCCTGCCTTAGCTTCCCGAGTAGCTGGGACTACAGGCACCCGCCACCAAGCCTTGCTAATTTTTTTGTAGTTTTATAGAGACGGGGTTTCACCGGGTTAGCCGGATTGGTGTCAATCTCCTGACCTCGTGATCTGCCTGCCTTGGCCTCCCGAAGTGCTGGGATTACATGTCTGCATGTACCCAGGGCTTAGCTCCCACTTACATGTAAGAACATGTAATATTTTGTTTTGTGTTTCTGGGTTGGTTTGCATAGAAAAATGGTCCCCAGCTGCATTCACGTTGCTGGAAAGGACATACTTTTGTTCTTTTTAATGGCTGCATAGTATTCTATAGAGTATATGCACCACATTTTCTTTATCCAGTCCACTGTTGATGGGCACCTGGGTTGATTCCCTGTTTTTGCTATTGTGAATAGCATGGCAGTGAACATACAAGTGCATGTCTTTTAAAAAATATTCCCTAAAACTAAGCAGAACATGTGTCTTTTTGGTAGAACAATCTATTTTCCTTTGGATATATACCCAGTAGTGGGATTGCAAGGTTGAGTGGTAGTTCTATTGTTAGTTCTTTGAAAAATCTCCAAACTACTTTCCACAGGGGCTGAATTAATTTACATTCCCACTAACCGTGTGTGAGCACTCCCTTCAAAGAGATCATTTTGAAACATAAGTCAGATCATGTCTCTCTTCTGCTTGAAATCCTTCAATGGATCCCCATTTGTTGAGAATAAAAGCCCAAGTCCTAAAGCCCTACACGATGTACCCTCTTCTCACTCTGTCACACTCACCTCCTCTGCTCTCTGCCTTGATGTCTCTGATTTGGCCACGCTGGCCTCTTTGCTATTCCTTATAGATGACACACGTGTTCTCAGCCCAAGGCCATTGCACTTACTGTTCTTTCTGCCTAGAATGCTCTTCCTCCAGGTCTCACCTTCTTGTCTTCCAGTTTTGTGTTTATATGCCACCTAATCCATGAAGCCTGCTCTGACAACCCCATTTACAATAGCAATGAACACTCAACTTTTTCCCCCGCATTTCCTATGCCACTTTCTCTGTTTTGCCTTTTCCTAAAGTGCTTACCATCTGACACATACATACATAAGTATATGCATGCACATATGCATACATGTATGCACACATGTATACACACATGTATGTAGAGCTACTCGCTTGTCTGTTGTCTGTCTTCCTCATGAGCGTGTCAGCTTCATGATTATGGGAGCTTTATTTTGTTCCCTGCTGTATTCCTGGTGCCTAGAATAGTGGCACATTATAGGCTGTCAATATATATTCACTGAATGAGTGAATGAGTGAATTAACTGTCTAAATACTTCTTTCCCCCCCAAGGCAAGTGGCAGGAGCGGAAATTTTAAAGCATTATTTTGTTTGCCTTCTGCTTGATGTTAGCTGGCCAGCTGGTTACCCTGTGAATCGGGAGGAGCCTTCTGATTCCTTTCCAAAACTTAGGCTGGTCAGGGACCACACAGTTCCTCCAAGTTATGGGCTCACAGGGATTCTCATGGGACATTTAGTCAGCACATCTTCCCCTTTGATCTCCCACAGCATACTTGGGGAGTCAACATTTATGCCTATCTGTGAGCCTGGCCCACAGCCTGCCTTCCCTTCAGATGTATCAATGTTTGGCTTTTGGGTAGAGATGCCAAACAAGGAAAAGAAGATTGTTATTTGGGCTAGGAATTACTTCCAAAAGCCAAATGTGAGAGAAGTGCTACCACAAAGGTTAGCACACACAAATAGCCTGAAAACTGGCTGGAACAATTCTGCTTGCTACAAATAGAGATGAAAAGACATTTCTAAATGTAGTCCCAAACAATCAGACTGCCAGAATTGGAAGGGCATTCCTTTCCCTCCCTCCTTTTTTCCCTCCCTTCTTTCCTTTCTTCCTCTCTCAAAGAGGACACCAAGGGCCAGTGAAATGAGACGAATCTCCAGGGTCACACAGTTAGTGGCAGAGTCAGAGCCAAAACTCAGGTTTCCTAATTCTTACTCTTTACAATATACTATTGTGGTGCCTTCCCAGTAAGCAGGGGAATAGTAAGAAAAAATTTCAATTAAATATACTGGAGAAGTTAATTGCTTAGTTCTCAAAAAGCTCAGTGCTAGTGAACAGCTAGCCAGAGTGTCACCCAAGAGATGGAAAAATGGACATTTCCAGCTGGGCACAGTGGCTCATACCTGTAATCCCAGCACTTTGGGAGGCTGAGGTGGGCGGATCGCTTGAGCTCAGGAGCTCAAGACCAGCTTGGGCAACATGGTGAAACCCTGTCTCTACAAAAAATACAAAAATTATAAAAATTAGCCGGGCATGGTGGCATATGCCTATAGTCCCAGCTACTTGGGAGGCTGAGTTGGAAGGATGGCTTGAGCCTGGGAGGCAGAGGTTACAGTGAGCTGAGATGGCGCCATTCCACTCCAGCCTGGGTGACAGAGCCAGACCCTGTCTCAAAAAAAAAAAAAAAAAAAAAGTTTTTAATGGTATAACAATATATCTATATTTATATATATCTTTGTAATAGATAAATATATAGAATGCACATAAAATTTGGAATACTCATTCTCAGTCAGGATACACAGATTCTCCAAGGAAGCTACTTAGACATGGTGCCTAGAAGTCCTGGAAGTCAAATCCATGATTTGACTCCAATGACTACATCCTATACCATCATGTGATAGAAGATAAGACTAAAATATATTTTTTGTATTTTCTTTATATTTTTGTGACCTTTGTAACCAGGGAGCTTTGGCATGATAGTCATCTTAAATAAATCAAAACATGATTTAATAAAAATGCCATTTTACAAAACTATAACTCTTAGCAGGAAACATAGGTGTAAATCTTCATGACGTTGGAGTAGGCAACAGTTCCTTAAACATGACACCAAAGGCATAAGCAACAAAAGAAGAAACAGGTCAATTAAACTTTATCAAAATAAAAAACTTCTGTGCAGAAAAGGACTATCAAGAAAGCAAGAAGCCTGGGCATGGTGGCTCATCCCTATAATCCCAGCACTTTGGGATCCTGAGGTGAGAGGATCACGTGAAGCCAGGAGTTTGAAACCAATGTGGGTAACTTAGTGAGACCTCATCTCTGCAAAACATTGTTTTTAAATTTAAAAATTAGCCTGGCATGGTGGTGTGCCTGTAGTCCCAGCTATTCAGGAGGCTGAGGTGGGAGGATCACTTGAGCCCGGGAGGTTGAGGCTGCAGTGAGTCGTGATCACACCACCTCTGCACTGCAGCCTGGGGACCCTGTCTCAAAAAAAAAAAAAAAAAAAAAGACAACTCACAGAATGGGAGAAAACATTTGTAAATAAAATATTTGTAAATCTTATCTCTGATTAGGATCTAGTATCCAAAATATATTTAAACAACTCATAAAAGAATAAAAAGACAACTGCATTTAAAAATGGGCAAAGAATCTGAACAGACATTTCTCCAAAGCAGATATACAGATGGCCAATAAGAACATAAAATGATGCTCAACATCATTAGTCATTAGGGAAATAAATCAAAACCACAGTAAGATACTACTTCACACCCACTGGGATGGCTATGATGAAAAAAAAAAAGAAACACCAGAAAATAAGTGTTAGCAAGGATGTCGAGAAATTAGAACACTCATAACATTGCTGGTGGGAAGGCAAAATCCTCAGCCACTTCAGGAAACAGTCTGGGAGTTCCTTATAAGGTTAAACAGTTACCTTATAACCCAGAAATTCCATTCCTAAGTATATACTCAAGACAACCGAAAACATACATTCACACAAGAACTTGTGCATGAATGCTCATAACAGCATTACTCATAACAGCATTACTTATGAATGCTCATAACAGCATTACTCACAATAGTCAAAAGAAGGAAACAACCCAAATGGCCACCAGCTGATGAATGGAGAAACAAAATGTGGCACACAGTGGAATATTATTTAGCCATAAAAAGAAACGAAATACCGATGCATGCTAGAACGTGAATGAACCTTGAAAACATTATGCTAAGCTAGAGAAGCCAGACAGAAAGGGCCACATACTGTATGATTAAATTTATAGGAAATATCCAGAATAGGCAAATCCAGAGAGACAAAGTAGATTAGTGATTGACGGGGGATGGGTGGAGGGAGGAATTGGGAGCACCTGCTAACAGGTATAGGGTTAATTCTTGGTGTGATAGAAATGTTCTGCAGTTAGATGGTGGTGATGGTTGTATAACTCCATGAATTTGCCACTGAATTATACATTTCAAAATGTTTAAAATGGTGAAAATTTTATCTCAATAAAAATAGTATTCTACAAGCTTTAAGTGATACATATATTTGAATCATCTAATTTAAATTAAGTTTCTGTGTTCTGTTTTTTTTTTAAAGAGATAGGGTCTTGCTCTGTTGCCCAGGCTGCAGTGCAGTGGCACAATCATAGCTCACTGCAGCCTCAAACTCCTGGACTTAAGCAATCTTCCTGCCTCAGCCTCCCAAGTAGCTCAGACTACAGGCATGTGCCACCACACCTGACTAATTTTGAAAAATTGTTTGTAGTGATAGGGTCTCACTATGTTCCCTAGGCTTGTTTCGAAATCCTGGGCTCAAGCTATCCTCCTGCTTCGGCCTCCCAAAGTGTTGGGATTACAGGCGCAAGCCACCGCACACAGCCTTCTGTGTTCTTTATTGCAAGCAAGCTTTGTTTCTTTTTTATAGTCTGTCAGGGTTTGATTTTGAGGCAACTCCAGGTTGGGGTTTGGGCATATGCTTGTTGAATTTTATGTGGTTGTTATACCTCACCTCCTGCCCAGCTAGTTTATAGTCTCACTTTCAGAAGATAGTAAGGGAATCTGGCCATCACTAAAATCATGTCTACCTAATGGCAAAACATTTGGTGAATTTCATTTAAAAAATCAAGCTGCAAAAACTAGACTCTTAGAAGTCAAGATTGTGGTTGCCCTTGGTGGGGGGATGCAGATGATAATAATTTGTAAGGAAACATGAGGGAGGTTTCTGCAGTGCTAGGGATATTCTATTTTGCTGGATGCTGGTTACAGGGGTGTGTTTGATTTGTGAAAATTCATCTTGTGGTACACTTACACAATGTGCACTGTTCTGCATGTTTGTTATACTTCAATACCAAGTTCATAATTCAATTCAACCTCCAGATAGGTATGTATGATATCAACAAATTGGTGTAATTAACTGGGTACCAGAGTTCACTAACTTGGCCTGCTGCCTTAGAGATGACACCCAGCCATGGCCATGGATTCCAAAAGGTTTTGTTTCCATGGACAGCTGCGTAGGTCAGAGCTCTGCACCAGGGCCCTGTCATCCTCACCATCTCCTAACAATGGATTTCAACAGCAAGGCCATGGCTCAGCTGTGCCTCCTATGTATTGGGGCTGCTGGAATGTAAACCCCCTGGAGGAGGCGATGCTCTGAGTCAGGAGTAGCACTACCAGGCAGGTGTGCCCCACTCCCTGCTCTGCCACTGGTGCCAGACCCCCAGAAGCTACCATGGAGCTTGCCCTTTCCACCTGGACCCAGAGATGTCATGGTGGGTGCCCATGACAAACTGACCCAACTGGTATTCTAGTGGCCTCAGGCCCACAATACTAGATCTAAAGTATTCCATGCTAAATGTATTTCAGCATTAAGGTATTTTTGAATTTTAGAAAGGTGATACATTGCATTTAGTATATGTTATACCATACTGCCAACATGGTCTGGGGTAGCTTTCTGTAATCAGACAGTGATGAATTTTTCCACTAAAGGGAATGAAGACTACAAATAGTCTCATTTCAATTCAGTCCAATGTGTGCTACTAAATGAGTTTGTGTCAAACTTCAAAAAGTTTTTTAGGCTGGGTGCAGTGGGTCATGCCTGTAATCCCAGCACTTTGGGAGGTTGAGGTGGGAGGATTGCTTGAGTCCAGGAGTTCAAGACCAGCCTGGGCAACATGGTGAAACCCGATCTCTACAAAAAAAATTAGCCAGATGTGATGGCATGTGCTCGTAGTCCTAGCTACTTGGGAGGCTGAAGTGGGAGGATCACCTGAGCCCAGGAGGTCAAGTCTGCAGTGAACTGTGATTGTACCACTGCACTCCAGCCTGAGTGACAGGGCAAAACTTAGTCTCAAAAAAAAGTTTTTTGGTATTCAGAGTTTGGGGATTTTGGAATTGCTCATAAGAGAGAACATGAGTCTGTCTCAGTCAATTTCACCACTAAATAAATGAGTTTCAGTTCTTTCTCGACAGAGGTTCATGGGCAGAGGTGCTGAGTGGCACCTCTGGGGAAAGGTTTACTATGGGGAGGAATTTCACAATTAGCTCAGGTTCCGGCTATGCCTCTAGGTCGGTTAACGTAGGTGGATGAGTGGCAAGATGATAACCTTGAAGGGACAGAGATGCCTGGGTTGCACAATCCTTTTTTGGATTCTACTCTCCTCTGTAGCACCTGCTAAGCTGTCAATGCTTGTTAACATTTCATTGATTTCTGTAGCACATTAGGGCCTTCCTGGAGTGTTCAACCATAGCCAAGTTTATAATGTAAAATTTCTGGAGGCTAATATTTATCTAAATTAAGTTAATTATAGGGATGATAAAGCTCACTGAGACATGTGTTTTGAAGAGATTAGAGTTGAATTTCCTAAACAAGAAGCAAGGGAAACCTTTCCTAGAAAATCAATTTGCCATCCTTCATGCTGATCATTTATGAGACATAAGTTCACTGTGGGAATGGCTTCTAAATGCCTCTGTTCAGAACCCTCTATTGGAGTGAGAGGGGAATAAAGAGACAAATCTCAGTTCACACTGGGAAAGTGTTCCCCTGCAGTCCCAAACATAAATCTTGGTGTAAACTCTTTAAAAGGAGCAGTAAAGAAGGTGATGGTAAGAGCTCATATATGTGTGTCTAGGGATGAAAGATGGTAGCCAAAGGGTGGGAGTACTTTGTAGGCTGATTCCAGTTGTAGTTGATAATTACATTTTACTGTGTTGTCATTTTTTTGTTTTTGTTTTTGAGACAGAGTCTTGCTCTGTCGCCCAGGCTGGAGTGCAGTGGTGCGATCTCAGCTCACTGCAACCTCTGCCTCCTGGGTTCAAGCTATTCTCTTGCTTCAGCCTGCCGAGTTGCTGGGAGTACAGGCGCCCACTACCACACCTGGCTAATTTTTGTATTTTTAGTAGGGACGGAGTTTCACCATGTTGGCCAGGTTGGTCTTGAATTCCTGACCTCAAGTGATCCGCCTGCCTCAGCCTCCCAAAGTGCTGGGATTACTGGCATGAGCCACCACGCCCAGCCTGTGTTGTCATTTTTATGGGTTGTGACAACCTCAGAAATCTTCCTGCCCTCCCCTTGTCACCACCACCATCTTCTTCCTATCATTAAATTTCATTTTGATTCATTTAATAGATGTTTACTGCATAATTTTCATGGTGCTGAAGGTGCCACAAAAATGGTAGGTGTTAGAGAAATGAAACTATTAAGACCTGGTCTTTGCTCTTTGTATCAGTCCGTTCTTACACCACTATAAGGAAATACTTGAGACTGGGTAATTTGTAAAGAAAAGAGGTTTAATTGGCTCATGGTTCTGCAGGCTTTATAGGAGCATGATGCTGGCATCTGCTTGGTTTTTGGGGAGATCTCAGGAAACTTACAATCATGGCAGAAGGCAAAGGAGAAGTCAACACTTCACATGGCTAGAACAGGAGAAAGAGAAAGCAGGAAGAGGAGGTGCTGCACACTTTTAAATGACCAGATCTCATGAGAACTCACTATCACGAGAACAGCACCAAGAGGAAAATCCACCTGATCCAATCACCTCCAACACTGGGAATTACAATTGACATGAGATTTGGGCAGGGACACCCATCCAAACCATTTCCTCTCTAAAGTTTATAGTCTGGTGAAGTAGACAAATAAATTCAGTAGTTGTGTATGTACAGTGAGGTAAGTTTCTAAATCTTGGGATAGAAGTATTCATAAAGTGTTATGGGAGCAGAGAGGGGATATCCAAATCAGCCCGAGTTAGAAGTAGGGAGAGCTTCTAATGAAAAATAATGCTGCTTCTTTTTTTTTTTGAGATGGAGTCTCACTCTGTTGCCCAGACTGGAGTGCAATGGTGCGATCTTGGCTCACAGCAACCTCCGCTTCCTGGGTTCAAGCACTTCTCCTGCCTCAACCTCCTGAGTGGCTGGGATTATAGGCACCTGCCACTATGCCCATCTAATTTTTGTATTTTTACTAGACATGGGGTTTTGCCATGTTGACCAGGCTGGTCTTGAACTCCTGACCTCAGGTGATCCGCTGCCTTGGCCTCCCAAATTGCTGGGATTACAGGTGTGAGTCATTGCACCCAGCGAAAATGATGCTTTTGAATTGACTTTTATCTTGTTGCCTAACATTTTAAAAAATTTAAATAAAATGCACAGATTGTGATATAGCTCAATGAATTTTGACAAATGTATACATCCATATTGACACCACCTCAATGGAGATATAAATCATAATCATTTTCATCAATACGGAAAGTTCCTTTGTGCTTCTTTCCAGCCAGTATCGCACCCCCAGCCACCTCCTCAGTGGCCACCAGATGAATTGCCTTTGGCCCGGGCATTTACAATTGGAAGGAGTGGTGGAAGGGCAGGTCCATGGAGGGAGCAGTGTACAAAGGCATGGATGTGTGAGAGATTGTGGCACGTGTGAGAGACCTCCAGCCCTCTGATCTCATCTTGTTGGGCTGAGGGCAAGTCGTCTTTGTTAAATGAATGTTTGACAGAGATGAGGCTAAGTGCCAGGTCACCAAGGGATGGGACATCAAGCAACTTGACTTTCATCCTGTAAGACAAAGCGGGCCATGGAAGGGTTTCAGGCAGGGTAGTGGTCTTCATGGTATACTAAGACATTGATTTAATTAATTAATTAATTATTTTAGAGACAGGGTCTTGCTCTGTCACCCAATCTGGAGTGCAGTGGTGCAGTCATAGCTCACTGAAGTCCTTAACTCCTAAGGCTCAAGTGATTCTCCCACCTTAGCCTCCCAAGTAGCTCGGACTACAGGTGTGCACCATCATGCTCAGCTTAAATGACCTTTTAAGCAGAGAAAACTTAAATGTCTCACTTGTCCTATGAACTATATAAAATTATCAGAAAGGTGCTTAAATTGTGATAAATTTTTTTCTGGTTAAGCTGTGACTCCAGACAGTATCTACAGAGGAGTTTTACAATCTCGTCTCTGGGTTTTATGGAGAATTACTTTAGCTTTCTGTGTTAGTCTCTTAAAGAACTATGAACTTGCATTTTAAAGTTCAAATGGTTAAAACATTTTGAGGGCAAAGTTCTATTTTATTGGTAGGAAACTGTTAAATTCATTCTTCTGTAAAAGATAGTAATCAGTCCTTTTATGTGAGGAGGGACAAATATTTAATTAAAAAATACTGCTTGACATCAAACAATTGATCAAATATTTCAATGAAGACAGAGTTTTATGCTCAGTGATAGTGTTGGATGACGTCTGCATTTAAAATGCTCTTTCATATTAATTCAATATGTCATTGATCTCTGTCTTTGATTTACACAAAGGAGTCAGAGATGATTCTTTTCTGTAGGGAGAATCTCAAAAGCAGAATCTGAACTGACACTACAGAAGATATGAAATAAGACTCATTAGGACTTTTTGAGAGAGTGTTGTTTGGTGCAGTGTCTTCTGACTGAATTGATAGTTCATTTGCTTTTGAGATATAAAAGGGAAAAACAGTTACCTGAAAGAAACTTCCAGTCCCTGGAGCAAGGTGGCCTACCTTTGGAAGTTCGTAGTCTAATGTTGACTGGTTGGTTTTGGGAATTGCTTCTGCCACCTTTCACCAAAGGAAACATTAGAATGCAAATTTGTTTTTAAAATTACATTGTTTTTCATACTTTGAAAAGTGAACTTGGATGAGTAACACTGGGTCTCAGTATTTTTATGCAAAAATTAAAGGGGTATAGACAATGAAAGCAACCCAGAAAGACATATTGAAAAAGAACAGTTAAATACAGTGACCTACTATCTGAAAAGAACTAAAAGACGTTAAGAAAGCAGTAAAAGACATGAAAGAGCATTATTCATCAGAATTAGAAAATCTTACAAATAGGGTGACAGAATTCAAGAAATAACTAGAAATGAAAAGAAAAAAAAATCATTTAAAAAATGACAATCAAACCAGAAGAAACTCTAGAGCAAATAGACACAAGAGAAGGCAAAAAGAAATATAAGTTCAAAGAAATGAAGAAACAAAAAACATTGAAGAAAAGTGACAAATATAGATCAGAAAGATCTGAAATATGGATAGTTAGAGTCCCTGAAGCAAAAGAAGACCAAAGAAAGGGAACAAAATGAGTACTACAACTGAAAGTCAAGAAAACTTGCCTGGCTGGGGCAATGGCTCACATCTGTAATCCCAGCACTTTTGGAGGCTGAGGCACGAGACAAATGCATCACTTGAGCCCAGGAGTTTGAGACCAGCTTGGGCAACATAGTGAGACCCTGTCTATACAAAAAATTCAAAAATTAAAAAAAAAAATTACCCGGGCGTGGTGGTGTGTGCCTGTAGCCCCATCTACTCAGGAGGCTGAGGTGGGAGGATGGCTTGAGCCTGGGAGGTCGAGGCTGCAGTGAGCGAAGATTGCACCCCTGCACTCCAGCCTGAGCAACAGAGCCAGACCCTGTCTCAAAAAGAAAAAAAAAAAAAAAAGAAAGAAAGAAAAAGAAAAAAATACTTTCCTGAAATATTTCCGGAGGTATTTTGAAATACAGATTGAAAAAGCACACCATGTACCTAAACATATTGACCCAGGGCTATTCTAGAAAATATTCTAGGACATGTTCTAGAAAAATTATTGGACTTTAAAGGAAAATAAACATTTCTTTTCTTTAGCAATATTATTTGGCTTTCAAAAAATTTCTATAAGCATTTAGACACAAATAGCATGTGACTTATGAAGAAAAGAAAATTAGATTATTATCAGACTTTTTGACAGAATAGCTTTGTGCCAAAATAAAATGGGGTAACATACTTAAGATACCCAAGGATATCAAGTGTGAGGGAAAGACCTTCTATCCAGTGAGATTGACACAAACTGTGATCAACATGCAAGAACTCAGGAACTCTTGTTCTCATGGGCTTTTATTAAAGCATCTACTCTAGATCAAGGCCACCAAAACAATTAGAGAAACATTGACACAAGAACTGGTGGTGAGCATGAAATACATGGGTGCTTATAGAACTAAGACTAAATGAGAGTTAAAAGAGGAAATTATTATATGTAAAGGTTTTACAGCCTGTCCAGATAGATCTACCATGACCATTAAAAAGGGGGAGAGAATGAAGTTAGCCTGAGAAAAATATTTTTAAACTGTTTAGTCACAATATATGGTGGTAATATTGTTATTGTTATTCTGAAATTGCCATACAATCCTTATAGGTTAGCACAAATGATGGGATATTCCAATCCTGTCATCCTCTGGGTCCTTGAGAACCAGGATTCTTGGTATGAAAGTGCCTAGTAACAATGGGAAAGCAGCCATAGTGCCTAGATTATGGTCTTGAAATACCGTGTTCTGCTAAAGCAAACCTGGGCTGCTTGGAGAAATGGCTAATTCCAAATCTGGAATAGGAAATGTAGGAGATGAACTGGAATATCTTGACCTACCACACAGTAGAGAAGTTATCAAAGACTACTAGAGTCATGGGCAGAAGATTCTTAAAATTATTTTGAAGAGAGAGGGTCTCCCTATGTTGCCCAGGCTGATCTCAAACTCTTGGGCTCAAGTGATGTTCCCACCTTGGCCTCCCAAAGTGCTGGGACTACAGGTGTGAGCTCTGCATCTGGCCTTTCAGGGGCCATTTTGAAGAGCCTTCCACAGGTTAAAAAGGAAACAATTTCTGCCCTAATGAGGATAATGTTTAAATATTTGTAAATCCATGAGTTTATAATAATCTTTGTTTTATTATATTATTATTTTTATTTTTTTTTATTTATTTTTTTTGAGATGGAGTTTGCTCTTGTTTCCCTGGCTGGAGTGCAATGGCATGACCTTGGCTCATTGCAACCTCTGCTTCCTGGGTTCAAGCGATTCTCCTGCCTCAGCTTCCTGAGTAGCTGGGATAACAGGCATGAGCTACCACACATGGCTAATTTTATATTTTTAGTAGAGATGGAGTTTCACCATGTTGTCCAGGCTGGTCTTGAACTCCTGACCTCAGGTGATCCACCCACCTTGGCCTCCTAAAGTGCTGGGATTACAGGCATGAGCCAGCGTGCCTGGCCTATTTTTTATTTTTCTATTGCCCAGGCTGGAGTGCAACCTCTGCCTCCCAGGTCCAAGCGATTCTCCTGCCTCAACCACCCAAGTAGCTGGGATTACAGGCGTGTGCCACCATGCTTGGCTAATTTTTGTATTCTTAATACAAAATTGTATTATTTTTGTATTATTAGTGGAGAGTTAAGTTTCACCATGTTGGCCAGGCTGGCCTCGAACTCCTAGCCTCAAGTGATCTGCCTGTCTTGTCCTTCCAAAGTGTTGGGATTACAGGCGTGAGCCACCTTGTCCGGCCGGTAATAATCTTTAAAAAGAAAATGAATTGGATCGTTCCAAGATGGCCGAATAGGAACAGCTCCAGTCTGCAGCTCCCAGCGTGTTCCACACAGAAGTCTTATGATTTCTGCATTTCCAACTGAGGTACCTGGTTCATCTCACCGGGACTGGTTGCACAGTGGGTGCAGCCCACAGAGGATGAGCTGAAACAGGGTGGGATGTCGCCTCACCCAGGAAGAGCAAGGGGTCGGGGGATTTCCTTTTCTTAGGGAAGGAAGCTGTGACAGACCTGGAAAATCAGGACACTCTCTCCTTAATACGGCGCTTTTCCAATGGTCTTAGGAAACGGCACACCAGGAGATTATATCCCTCACCTGGCTCGGCAGGTCCCACGCCCACAGAGCCTTGCTCACTGCTAGTTCAGCAGTCCAAGATTGAACTGCCAGGCGGCAGCCTGGTC
The DNA here is from genome assembly GCF_000001405.40 of Homo sapiens. NCBI lineage: Eukaryota > Metazoa > Chordata > Mammalia > Primates > Hominidae > Homo > Homo sapiens. Next base: position 53,391,563 of record NC_000003.12, read on the forward strand.
TGGGGGAGGGGCGTCCACCATTGCTGAGACTTGAGTAGGTAAACAAAGCCGCCTAGAAGCTCGAACTGGGTGGAGCCCACCACAGCTCAGGAAGGCCTACCTGCCTCTGTAGACTCCACCTCTGGGGGCAGGGCATAGCTGAACAAAAGGCAGCAGAAACTTCTGCAGACTTAAATGTCTCTGTCTGACAGCTCTGAAGAGAGCAGTGTTTCTCCCAGCATGGAGTTTGAGCTCTGAGAATGGACAGACTGCCTCCTCAAGTGGGTCCCTGACCCTCGTGTAGCCTAACTGGGAGACACCGGCCAGTAGGGACTGACTGATACCTCATACAGCCAGGTACCCCTCTGAGACAAAGCTTCCAGAGGAAGGATCAGGCAGCAATATTTGCTGTTCTGCAGCCTCCACTGGTGATACCCAGGCAAACAGGGCCTGGAGTGGACCTCCAACAGACTCCAACAGACCTGCAGCGGAGGGTCCTGACTGTTAGATGGGAAACTAACAGACAGAAAAGAATAGCATCAACATCAACAAAAAGGACATCCACACCAAAACCCCATCTGTAGTTCGCTATCATCAAAGACCAAAGGTAGATAAAACCACAAAGATGGGGAGAAACCAGAGCAGAAAAGCTGAAAATTCTAAAAGCCAGAGCACCTCTTCTCCTCCAAAGGATTACAGCTCCTCACCAGCAATGGAACAAAGCTGGATGGACTATGACTTTGACGAGTTGACAGAAGTAGGCTTCAGAAGGTCAGTAATAACAAACTTCTCCAGTCTAAAGGAGGATGTTCAAACCCATCACAAGGAAGCTAAAAACCTTGAAAAAAGATTAGATGAATGGCTAACTAGAATAAACAGTGTAGAGAGACCTTAAAGGAACTGATGGAGCTGAAAAACATGGCATAAGAACTACGTGACGCATGCACACGCTTCGTAGCTAATTTGATCAAGTGGAAGAAAGGGTATCAGCGATTGAAGATCAAATGAATAAAATGAAGCGAGAAGAGAAGTTTAGAGAAAAAAAAGAGTAAAAAGAAGTGAACAAAGCCTCCAAGAAATATGGGATTATGTGAAAAGACCAAATCTACATCTGACTGGTGTACCTGAAAGTGACGGGGAGAATGGAGCCAAGTTGGAAAACACTCTTCAGGATACTATCCAGGAGAACTTCCCCAACCTAGCAAGGCAGGCCAACATTCAAATTCAGGAAATACAGAGAACAACACAAAGATACTCCTTGAGAAGAGCAACCCCAAGACACATAATTGTCAGATTTACCAAGGTTGAAATGAAGGAAAAAATGCTAAGGGCAGCCAGAGAGAAAGGTCGGGTTACCCACAAAGGGAAGCCCATCAAACTAACAGCTGATATCTTGGCAGAAACTCTATAAGCCAGAAGAGAGTGGTGGCTAATATTCAACATTCTTAAAAGAACTTTCAACCCAGAATTTCATATCCAGCCAAAGTAAGATTCATAAGTGAAGCAGAAATAAAATCCTTTACACACAAGCAAATGCTGAGAGATTTTGTCACCACCAGGCCTGCCTTACAAGAGCTCCTGAAAGAAGCACTAAACATGGAAAGGAACAACCAGTGCCAGCCACTGCAAAAACATGCCAAATTGTAAAGACCCCTGATGCTAGGAAGAAACTGCATCAACTAACGAGCAAAATAACCAGCTAACATCATAATGACAGGATCAAATTCACGCATAACAATATTAACCTTAAATGTAAGTGGGCTAAATGCACCAATTAAAAGACACAGACTGGCAAATTGGATAAAGAGTCAAGACCCATCAGTGTGCTGTATTCAGGAGACCCATCTCATGTGCAGAGACACACATAGGTTCAAAATAAAGGGATGGAGGAAGATCTACCAAGCAAATGGAAAACAAAACGAAAAAAAAGCAGGGGTTGCAATCCTAGTCTCTGATAAAACAGACTTTAAGCCAACAAAGATCAAAAGAGACAAAGAAGGCCATTACATAATGGTAAAGGGATCAATTCAACAAGAAGAGCTAACTATCCTAAATATATATGCACCCAATACAGGAGCACCCAGATTCATAAGGCAAGTCCTTAGAGACCTACAAAGAGACTTAGACTCTCACACAATAATAATGGGAGACTTCAACACCTCACTATCAATATTAGACAGATCAATGAGACAGAAGGTTAACAAGGATATCCAGAACTTGAGCTCAGCTCTGCACCAAGCAGACCTAATAGACATCTATAGAACTCTGCACCCCAAATCAATAGAATATACATTCTTCTCAGCACCACATCACACTTATTCCAAAATTGACCACATAGTTGGAAGTAAAGCACTCCTCAGCAAATGTAAAAGAACAGAAATCACAACAAACTGTCTCTCAGACCGCAGTGCAATCAAATTAGAACTCAGGATTAAGAAACTCACTCAAAACCTCACAACTACGTGGAAACCGAACAACTTGCTCCTGAATGACTACTGGGTAAAGAATGAAATGAAGGCAGAGATAAAGATGTTCTTTGAAACCAATGAGAACAAAGACACAACATATCAGAATCTCTGGGACACATTTAAAGCTGTGTGTAGAGGGAAATTTATAGCACTAAATGCTCACAAGAGAAAACAGGAAAGATCTAAAATTGACACCCTAACATCACAATTAAAATAACTAGAGAAGGAAGAGCAAATGAATTTGAAAGCTAGCAGAAGGCAAGAAATAACTAAGATCAGAACAGAACTGAAGGAGATAGAGACACAAAAAACCCTTCAAAAAATCAATGAATCCAGGAGTTGGTTTTTTGAAGAGATCAACAAAACAGATCGACCACTAGCAAAACTAATAAAGAAGAAAAGACAGAAAAATCAAATAGGCACAATAAAAAATGATAAAGGGGATATCACCACCGATCCCACAGAAATGCAAATTACCATCAGAGAATACTATAAATACCTCTATGGAAATAAACTAGAAACTCTAGAAGAAATGGATAAATTCCTGGACACATACACCCTCCCAAGACTAAACCAGGTAGAAACTGAATCCCTGAATAGACCAATAAAAGACTCTGAAATTGAGGCAATAATTAATAGCCTACCAACCACAAAAAGTCCAGGACCAGATGGATTCACAGCCAAATTCTGCCAGATGTACAAAAAGGAGCTGGTACTGTTCCTTCTGAAACTATTCCAATCAACAGAAAAAGAGGGAATCCTCCCTAACTCATTTTATGAAGCCAGTATCATCTTGAAACCAAAGCCTGGCAGAGACACAACAAAAAAAGAATTTTAGACCAATATCCCTGATGAACATTGATGCAAAAATCCTCAATAAAATACTGGTACTCCAAATCCAACAGCACATCAGAAAGCTTATCCACCACGATCAAGTTGGCTTCATCCCTGGGATGCAAGGCTGGTTCAACATACGCAGATCAATAAACATAATCCATCACATAAACAGAGCCAATGACAAAAACCACATGATTATCAAAATAGATGCAGAAAAGGCCTTTGACAAAATTCAACAGCCTTCATGCTAAAAACTCTCAATAAACTAGGTACTGATGGGACGTATCTCAAACTAATAAGAGCTATTTATGACAAACTCACAGCCAATATCATTCTGAATGGGCAAAAACTGGAAGCATTCCCTTTGAAAATCGGCACAAGACAGGGATGCCCTCTCTCACCACTCCTATTCAACATAGTGTTGGAAGTTCTGGTCAGGACAATCAGGCAGGAGAAAGAAATAAAGGGTATTCAATTAGGAAAAGAGGAAGTCAAATTGTCCCTGTTTGCAGATGATGTGATTATATATTTAGAAAACCCCATTGTCTCAGCCCCAAATCTCCTTAAGCTGATAAGCAACTTCAGAAAAATCTCAGGATACAAAATCAATGTGCAAAAATCACAAGCATTCCTATACCCCAATAACAGACAAGCAGCCAAATCATGAGTGAACTCCCATTCACAATCGCTTCAAAGAGTATAAAACACCTAGGAATCCAACTTACAAGAGATGTGAAGGACCTCTTCGAGGAGAACTACAAACCACTGCTCGACGAAATAAGAGGACACAACAAATGGAAGAACATTCCGTGCTCATGGATAGGAAGAATCAATATCGTGAAAATGGCCATACTACCCAAGGTAATTTATAGATTCAATGCAATCCCCATCAAGCTACCAATGACTTTCTTCACAGAATTGGAAAAAACTACTTTAAAGTTTATATGGAACCAAGAAAGAGCCCACATTGCCAAGACAATTCTAAGCAAAAAGAACAAAGCTGGAGGCATCAGCTACCTGACTTCAAACGATACTACAATGCTACAGTAACCAAAGCAGCATGGTACTGGTACAAAAACAGAGATATAGACAGATGGAGCAGAACAGAGGCCTCAGAAATAACACCACACATCTACAACCATCTGATCTTTGACAAAACCTGACAGAAGCAAGAAATGGGGAAAGGATTCCCTATTTAATAAATGGTGCTGGGAAAACTGGCTAGCTATATGTAGAAAGCTGAAACTGTATCCCTTCCTTACATCTTATATGAAAATTAATTCAAGATGGATTAAAGACTCAAATGTTAGACCTAAAACCACAAAAACCCTCGAAGAAAACCTAGGCAACACCATTCAGGACACAGGCATGGTCAAGGACTTCATGTCTGAAACACCAAAAGCAATGGCAACAAAAGCCAAAATAGACAAATGGGATCTAACTAAACTAACGAGCTCCTGCACAGCAAAAGAAACTACCATCAGAGTGAACAGGCAACCTACAGCATGGGAGAAAATTTTTGCAATCTACCCATCTGACAAAGAGCTAATATCCAGAATCAACAAAGAAACAAATTTACAAGAAAAAATCAAACAACCCCATCAAAAAGTGGGCAAAGGATATGAACAGACACTTCTCAAAAGAAGACATTTATGCAGCCAATAGACACATGAAAAAAATGCTCGTCATCACTGGTCGTCAGAGAAATGCAAATCAAAACCACAGTGAGATACTGTCTCACACCAGTTAGAATGGTGATCATTAAAAAGTCAGGAAACAACAGGTGCTGGAGAGGATGTGGAGAAATATAAATGCTTTTACACTATTGATGGGAGTGTAAACTAGTTCAACCACTGTGGAAGACAGTGTGGCAATTCCTCAAGGATCTAGAACTAGAAATACCATTTGACCCAGCCATCCTATTACTAGGTATATACCCAAAGGATTATAAATCATGCTACTATAAAGACACATGCACACGTATGTTTATTGTGGCACTATTCACAATAGCAAAGACTTGGAACCAACCCAAATGTCCATCAATGATAGACTGGATGAAGAAAATGTGGCACATATACACCATGGAATACTATGCAGCCATAAAAAAGGATGAGTTCATGTCCTTTGTAGGGACATGGGTGAAGCTGGAAACCATCATTCTGAGCAAACTATTGCAAGGATAAAAAATCAAACACCGCATGTTCTCACTCATAGGTGGGAATTGAACAATGAGAACACTTGGACACAGGGCGGGGAACATCACACACCAGAGCCTGTCGTGAGGTGGGTAGGAGGGGGAAGATAGCATTAGGAGAAATCCCTAATGTAGATGACGAGTTAATGGGTGCAGCACACCAACATGGCACATGTGTACATATGTAACAAACCTGCATGTTGTGCATATGTACTGTAGAACTTAAAGTATAATAATAAAAAAAGTGAAAATAAAGATGAAATAAAAAAGAAGGTGAATTGATTGCATTCTGAAGATGACAGATAAATGATTCATTATTGTGGAAATGGTGTAAATAAAAACAAACAACCAATGATTTACCTTGCCTTTTTTCTTTCTTTTTTTTTTATACTTTAAGTTCTAGGGTATATGTGCACAATGTGCAGGTTTGTTACATATGTATACATGTGCCATGTTGGTGGGCTGCACCCATTAACTAGTCATTTACATTAGGGATTTCTCCTAATGCTATCCCTCCTCCCTACCCCCAGCCCAGGACAGGCCCTGGTGTGTGATGTTCCCCACCCTGTGTCCAAGTGTTCTCATTGTTCAATTCCCAACTATGAGTGAGAACATGTGGTGTTTGATTTTCTGTCCTTGCGAAGTTTGCTCAGAATGATGGTTTCCAGCTTCACACACGTCCCTACAAAGGATATGAACTCATCCTTTTTTATGGCTGCATAGTATTCCATGGTGTATATATACCACATTTTCTTCATCCAGTCTATCATTGATGGGCATTTGGGTTGGTTCCAAGTCTTTGCTATTGTGAATAGTGCCACAATAAACATACGTGTGCATGTGTCTTTATAGTAGCATGATTTATAATCCTTTGGGTATATACCCAGTAATGGGATGGCTGGGTCAAATGGTATTTCTAGTTCTAAATCCTTGAGGAATCGCTAGACTATCTTCCACAATGGTTGAACTAATTTACACTCCCAGCAACAGTGTAAAAGTGTTCCTATTTCTCCACATCGTCTCCAGCACCTGTTGTTTCCTGACTTTTTAATGATCACCATTCTAACTGGTGTGAGATGGTATCTCATTGTGGTTTTGATTTGCATTTCTCTGATGGCCAGTGATGATGAGCATTTTTTCATGTGTCTGTTGGCTGCATAAATGTCTTCTTTTGAGAAGTGTCTGTTCATATCCTTTGCCCACTTTTTGATGGGGTTGTTTGATTTTTCTTGTAAATTTGTTTAAGTTCTTTGTAGATTCTGGATATTAGCTCTTTGTCAGATGGGTAGATTGCAAAAATTTTCTCCCATTCTGTAGGTTGCCTGTTCACTCTGATGGTAGTTTCTTTTGCCATGCAGAAGCTCTTTAGTTTAATTAGATCCCAAACCATAAAAACCCTAGAAGAAAACCTAGGCAATACCATTCAGGACATAGGCATGGGCAAGGACTTCATGACTAAAACACCAAAAGCAATGGTAACAAAAGCCAAAATACTTTGCCTTTTCTTTATGAACTGTACAACTGGGTAATCAAATAGTAGGTGAGGGGAAGCATCTCTTTGTAAAATTATTCCAGATAAAAAATAAAAACTGTAGGATAGAATTAGAATGACACCACCCTAACTATCCCAAATGGATCAGTGAACCTAGGCATTGAGCTGACATAAAAAAAAAAGTAAGTGAAAAGCTGGTATGATGTACCTCCTGATGAAAGAACACACTACCACTTAATTTTGCCAAAGGAATTGAATCTAAAACTCATCAATCCTTTGGATTTAGCTGCCAATTTTCAGGAAATACAGAGGATAGAGGAACATGCTGAACTGTGCTATGCGTATGCAGTCACTGAAGACCAGATTGCAGGAAACTCTGTATATAATACAGCCTCCATCCTTCAATACATACATTGTAAGGGAAAGAAAGAGACTGACGGGGATATACCGAGTTAAAAAAAGGGAGCAAATGAAATGCACACTTGGGTGATAAAACAATAAAGTAGCATAAGAAAAGTGATTAATGTGCTGTTGGAGGGCTGGGAAAGGCTGTGGTTAGTACGGGGTACATGGCAGAGTTTCTTGGGTTGCTGGCTAAACTCTATTTCTTGACCTGGGTAATGATTGTAGAAATGTTTACCAAGACTTTTATCATTAATATATTAATATATTTGCTTTTCTCCATATCCCATATGTAGCCATCTATCCATCCCTCCATCCATCTATTAATCCATCTTATTTTTGGATGCATTTAAAAGTAAATGACAGACATTTGTATACCTCTCCCTCAGTACTTCTGTACTCTAATACCATTAACTGGAGTTCAATATTGAGTTTTTCTTTTCTTTTCTTTTCTTTCTTTTGACAGGGTTTTGCTTTTGCCCAGGCTGAAGTGCAGTGGAGCTATCATGGCTCACTGCAGCATCTACCTCCTGGGCTCAAGTGATCCACCCACCTCAGTCTACCAAGTAGCTGGGACCACAGGTGTGCACCACCACAGCTGGGCAATTTTTGTATATTTTGTAGAGATGTGGTTTTGCTATGTTGCCCAGGCTAGTCTCAAACTCCTGAGCTCAAGCGATCCTCCTGCCTTGGCCTCCCAAAGTGCTAGGATTACAGGTGTGAACCACCTTGTCTGGCCTGTTGTTTTCTTTTGATGTAAAACTTACATAAAATGAAATAAACATATTTGAAATGTATACTGACTGAGTTTTGACAATGCATACACCCATGTAACTCAAACTCCTATCAAGATATACATTACCATCGATCGCCCCCAAAATTTCCTCTTTTTTTTTTTGAGACAGAGTCTTGCTCTGTCGCCAGGCTGGAGTATAGTGGTGTGATCTCAGTTCACTGCAACCTCTGCCTCCTGGGTTCAAACTATTCTCCTGCCTCAGCCTTCTGAGTAAGCTGGGGCTACAGGTGTGCGCCACCACACCTAGCTAATTTTTGTATTTTTAATAGAGATGGGGTTTCACCATGTTGGCCAGGATGGTCTTGATCTCTTGACCTCATGATCTACCTGCCTCGGCCTCCCAAAGTGCTGGGATTACAGGTGTGAGCCACCGTGCCTGGCCTCCCCTCATTTTTTTAAGTCTCTAAAATCTGAATGTATTTTTCCTCAAATTCAAACATGAAATCAATTGTCTTTCAAGTAAAATTTAAAAAATGGCATGTTTTACTTCTCTTGCTTCTCTTTCTTTCTCTCTCTCTCTCTCTCTCTTTCTCTCTCTCCCTCTCTCTCTTACTCTCTTTCTTTCTTGACAGGGTCTAGCTCTGTTGCCCAGGGTGGAGTGCAATATGGCCTTATCACAGCTCACTGCAACCTCGAACTCTTGGGCTCAAGCAATCCTTCCACTTCAGCCTCCCAAGCAGCTAGGACTACAGGCATGTGCCACAACACCAGCTAATTTTGTATATTTTTTGTAGAGTTGAGGTCTCGCTATGTTGCCCAGGCTGGTCTCACACTCCTGGCCTCAAGTGATCCTCCTGCTTTGGCCTCCCAAAGTGCTGGGATTACAGGTGTAAGCCACCACACCTAAGCCCTGGTATTCTCAATTTTGTAGATACACTCCAGGAATCTCACTTTGGATTATTATTAGTAGTAGTACTGAGAGGCAGTGTAGAGTGGTGGTTCAGATTCTGGCGGCAGACTGCCCAGGTTTGAATCTTGGCTCCTTCCCTTATCAACAGGGTGACCTTGGTAATTAACTTCTCTGCCTCAGTTTTGTCCTTTGAAGGATGGAGTTAATAATAATACCTTCATCAAAGGGTGTTTGTGAGGATTAAGTGAGGAAATATATGTAAAGCACTTAGAGTAGTGCCTGGCATTTAGTGAACAATATAGAAGTGCTCAATTTTTTATCGTTATTCAATTACCATTTTACATTGCATATTATTTCTTTCAAAACTATTTTGACATTTGCCTTCAGATATAAAATTGTATTAGCAAAAATTAAATTAACAGTAGTTATTTAGACTTCATTAGATTTGCATGTCGATTAGAAACATCCAGTGACTTAACTATGGATCATCCATGTAATCTGGAACCATAGTTCTAGCATTCTCCAGAACCCATCTCTTTGGTATAGGTCCCATGTGGTCGCCAGGAAGCCATGTCCCTTCTCTCTTCAGTTTCCTCTTCTATGAAATGTAAGGGATACCACAGATTCATACAGGAGATTCCTCAGACTCATCATAGGAACTGCTTGGTTATAAATGAGATTATTCATATGAGAACCTGCAGAAGTCTCAAGGAAATCAATTCTCTGCAAATGCCTGTGATTGTTGCTATTTATTATTCTCCTGGTGAGTCAGTCCTTTTCATCACCCAGGCATACTAACTTTAGCAGATGGGGTCAGCCTGCAGAAGATCAATTACTGGTCTCCTTATTTCTTCTTCCTTGCCATCTTCCCCAAGGATCACCCCCCGAATCTCCACCACCACCTCCCAGTCATATCTTTTGTATAACATGGTCAGCAGTCATTATGACAGCTCCAGGCCATCCAGGACTTCTTAGGGGTTGGATATACACTTTCTCTGTGAGAGAGCAGGAAGACTTCTGCCATTTCTTTGAAATAGCCTTGCAGCTTTGGAATTTAGGGCAGTCATTTGGAATTCTGTTTGATTTTTACCTTGTGTATCTTTACTTCTATGTGGTCAGACCTCTGGGGTTTACTGACAGAAGGTACAGCAGATACTTTATTTCATCAAGATGAATTTTTTAATATGTTAAACTAACTTGTTTCTGTTTTCTGTCTTTCGAGGCTTTCCATAATGTCTCCTTTCTTTCAGACAAGAGAACCTACCTTTAAAGTTAAAAAACACATAAAATCTGTCAATATCTATTGTCTTATTAATGAGTAAGGTTGAATTTTAAGTTTTATTTTACATTTTATATGTTCTCTACATATATGATAAAACCCTGTCAAAGTCATATGAAAATTTCAAAGATTTACTCGACTCTTCTATATATGGTTACATTAAAATTTTAAGCTGGGCGTGTTGCCCAGGCTGGTCTTGTACTCCTGGGCTCAAGTGATCTTCCTGTTTGGGCCTCCCAAAGTGCTGGGATTACAGGTGTCAGCCACCACACTTGGCTCTATAAGTTCTTTACATAATTGAGAGGTGATATCTTGATTTGATAATACTAATTTATTAACATTGATTTGTGCTGCTGGTTCTGAAACAAGATGGAATAGACTTACTTTTCACTACTTTTCCCCTCTAAATACAACAAAACCCCTTGGAAATATTGGAACAGACAATGATAAAAGGTCTCTGAAAGCTAGAAAGATGACAGAGTAGTAGGAAACCCCAGGATATGAGGAATGACAACATGCTGAGTTTTCTGAGTTTTCTTTTTGTCTCGCATATGCCCCTGGCCTGGATGCCAGAGAGGCCTGTAGTCTGAAACTACCCACAGGCATAGACATAAGAACCTAAGGAAAGCCTGCTCTCTCTGGCCAAATAACCAGGAAAGGGGAAGCCCAACAGAGACCTAGTGAGGAACTAAAACCCCTGTTTCACACCACAGGCCAGTAGACAGTACAATCTGTTGGCAGCGGTGGTGGCAGCAAAATCCCAAGCTATCCAAGACACTGCTTCACAACCAGGGCATTGGCAGGCAGTCCGATATGTCCACAGTGGCAGAGAGGGTGAATCCTTGTGTTCCCCTGCTCTCTACCCACTGGCATAAGGAGACCCAAGCCTAGTGGCTTTTGCTACAACCCCTACTCCCAGAAAATCACCAAGCACTAGCAGGTGGCTAAAAGAAGCACCTTCCGCCTCTGCAGATGGCATTAGCAGGAATGAGCAGGAATCCTATCAGCACCAGAAGAACAAAACAGACCAGAATAACATTGCAAGCGCTTTCAAAACTGGACTGTCATTGGAACAAAAAAGCCCACAAAGTAGGCCAGAACTTATAGGCTAAGTCTAAGCAGAGTGACAGTCTGCTAAAATAGAATATTTAAATATAATCAAGAGTCTTCTAGCATAATAATCAAAATGTCCAGTGATAAAAACAAATCATTAATTCTACCAGGAACCAGGAAAACCACAGTTTGAATGAGGAAAGACAATTAACTGATGCCGATGACAAGATGAATCAGATGTTGGAATTATTTGTCAAGGATTTTAAAGTAGCCATCATAAAAATGCTTCAACAATCAATTTCAAATTCTCTTGAAACAAGTGCAAAATAGAAAATATCAGTAAAGAAATAAAAGTTATAAAAAGAGACAAATGGAAATTATGAAACTGAAAATCCAATAATTGAAATAAAAAACTTGCTCAGTAGTGAAGTGGAGATAACTGAGGACAGAATCAGTAAATCTGAAGATAGATCAATAGAATTTACTCTATCTGAGCAACGGAAAGAAAATAGACTGAAAAAAAATGGGCCGGGTGCAGTGGCTCACACCTGTAATCCCAGCACTTTGGGAGGCTGAAGTGGGAAGATCACCTGAAGTCAGGAGTTCGAGACCAGCCTGGCCAACATGGTGAAACCCCATCTCTACTAAAGTACAGAAATTAGCCGAGTGTGGTGGTGGGCGCTTGTAATCCTAGCTACTTGGGAGGCTGAGGCAGAATTGCTTGAACCCGGGAGGCGGAGGTTGTAGTGAGTTGAGATGGCGCCACTGCACTCCAGACTGGGCGACAGAGCAAGACTCCATCTCCAAAAACAAATAAACAAACAAACAAAAAGCAGAGCCTTAGAGATCTGTGGGACAGTAACAAAAGAATAAACATGTGTATCACCAGAGTTCCATAAGGAGAGGAGAAAGAGAATAGTGCTGAAAGAGTATTTGGGAGGAATAATGGCTGCAAACGTCCCAAATTTGATGAGTAAACCCCAAATAAGATAAGCACAAAGAAACCTACACCAAGACACATAATTAAACTTCTAAAAACTAAAAAATAAAAAACACATTAAAAACAGCCAAAAAGAAATGACATATTTCCAATGGAGAACACGGGTTTGTTTATTTAATTTTTTTGTTTTACTTTAAGTTCCAGGATACATGTGCAGAATGTGCAGGTTTGTTAATAGGTATACATGTGCCATGGTGGTTTGCTGCGGCTATCAACCCGTCATCTAGGTTTTAAGCCCCGCATGCATTGGGTATTTGTCCTAATGCTCTCCCTCTCCTTGCTCCCTAGCCCCCGACAGGCCCTGGTGTGTGTGAGAACACTGATTTAAATGACGGCAGTTTTCTCACCTGAAACCATGGGGATTACGAGGAAGTGGCACAACAGTTTTCAAGTGCTGAAAGAAAAGAATCATTAACCCCAAATTCCATATTTGAAGAGATTATCCTTCAGGAATAAAGACATTCTCAAACAAGGGAAAACTAAGAGAATTTGTTGCTAGCGGACCTACCCTTAAAGAGTGGCTAAAGGAAGCTCTACAATAAAAGTAACAAACCTGCACGTTGTGCACATGTACCCTAGAACTTAAAGTATAATAAAAAAAATAAATTGAGAGCATTTAAGTTTCAAAAAAAATAATAACAGAAGGCTGGGACATCAGAAAGGATAGAAGAACAACAAAATGAGTAGAAATAGATGTAAACATAATAGAGCAAGTTTAACACCATATGATATGGCACTCAGTGTATGTAGAGGAAATAATTTATATTTTAAAACACTGAGGGGAAGGAGACCTAAATGGAAGTAAGTTTTCTATATTTCACTTGACTCGAAAATGTCAACACCAGAAAGAAGACTCTGATAAATGACACACTCACCAATAAGAAGGTTTACAAAGCAATGTACTAAAAACATTATAAATAAATAAAAATGAAACTCTAAAAATTGTTCTTGTGATCCACAAGAAGCAAGAGTAAAGAAACAGAGTAACAGGAAACAGAGGAAGCCAGGCACAGTGGCTCATGCCTGTATTTTGGGAGGCCGAGGCAGGAGGACCACTTGAGCCCAGAAGTTTGAGACCAGCCTGGGCAACATAGTGAGACCCTGTCTCTACAAATAATTTGAAAGTTAGCTGGGCACAGTGGCACACGCCTGTAATCCCAGCTACTCAGGAGGCTGAGGTGGGAGGAGGGAGGATTGCTTGAGCCCAGGAGGTCAAGACTGCAGTGAACTATGATTACACCATTGAGCTCCAACCTGGATGACAGAATGAAACCCTGTCTCAAGAAAAAGAAAGAAAGAAAGGAAGAAAGAAAGAAAGAGAGATAGAGAGAAAGAAAGAAAGAAAGAAAACAAAGAGAAGGAAGAAACAGAAAACAAATAATAAAATGACAGACTTAAGCCTCAAAATATCAATAATTATTTTAAATGTAAGTGGTCCAAGTACAACAATTAAAAGGCAGAGATTGACAGAGTGTAGTTTATAAATGATCTAACTGTATTCTGTGTACAAGAAGCTAACTTCAAACGTAACATAGGTTGAAAGCAGGTTGAAAGTAAAAGGATTAAAAAAGATGTATCATGCAAGGATTAACAACAACTACAACAAAAAGCAAGAATGGCTATATCAGTATTTGATAACATAACCTTCAGAGCAAAGAAAGTTACTAGGGACAAAGAGGGACATCGCATAATGATAAAAGCCTCTATCCCCAACTATACATAGCAATTCTAAATGTGCATGAAACAAACAACATAGCTTCAAAACACATAAAGTAAAACTTGATAGATCTGGTGCTGGGCCAAATGGGCCAAATGCAAGAAAGTGAAGTTGAACCCTTACTTAACACCATATACTAAAAATAACTCGAAATGGATCAAAGACCTAAATTTCAGAAATGAACTATAAAACTCTTAGAAGAAAACGTAGAGATAAATCTTCATGACCTTAGATTTGGCAACAGTTTCTTAAATATGACATCAAAAGCACATGTGACAGAAGAAAAAAGATAACTTGGACTTTATTAAATTTAAAAACGTTTATCCTTCAAAGGACAAAGGACAAGCTGGGCATGGTGGTATGCACTTGTAATCCCAACTAGTCAGGAGGCTGAGGCAGGAGGATTGCTTGAACCCAGGACTTAAAGTCCAACCTGAGAAATATAGTGCCCATATCTAAAACAAACAAACAAACAAAAAAGCTAAAAAATGACAAAGGATGAAGGGTACCATCAAGAGAGTGAAAACATGACCCACAAAATGGAATAAAATGTTTGCAAATCATATCTCTGATTGATAAGGGGTTAATATCCAGAATATATATAAGGAACTCCTACAACACATTAAAAAGCTCAGTTAAAAATAGGCAAAGTACTTGAATAGACATTTCTCCAAAGAAGTTATACAAATGCCCAATAAACTCATGAAAACATGCTCAACATCATAGTCATTTGGGAAATGCAAATCAAAACCTAATGAGGGAAAATAGTATGGCAATTTCTCAATAAATTAAACATAGAATTACCAAATGATCTAGCAATTCCACTTCTGGGTATATATCCAAAATAATTAAGACTAGAGACTTGAATAGATATTTTTACACTAATGTTCACAGCATTATTCATAATAGCCAAAAGGTAGAAAACCTGTTACTAGTAATGGATGAATGGATAAATAAAATCTGTTACATACATACCATAGAATATCATTGAGCCCTTAAAAAGGAGGGAAATGCTGACATATGCTACAACGTGGATGAACCTTGAAGATATGCTAAGTGAAATAAGCCATTCACAAAAGCATAAATATGTGATTCCACTTTTTT
This sequence comes from Homo sapiens, assembly GCF_000001405.40. Classification (NCBI taxonomy): domain Eukaryota; kingdom Metazoa; phylum Chordata; class Mammalia; order Primates; family Hominidae; genus Homo; species Homo sapiens. The sequence continues at coordinate 53,406,734 of NC_000003.12, forward strand.
TTTTTTTGAGGCAGGGTCTCACTCTGTCATCCAGGCTGGAGTGCGGTGGCACAATCATGGCTCACTGCAGTTTTGACCTCCCGGGCTCAAGTGATTTTCCCACCTCAGCCTCCTGAGTAGCTGGGACTACAGGTGTGCACCACCATACACACCTCTAAAAGTAGAGATGGTTTCTCACCATGTTGCCCAGGCTGATCTTGAACTCCTGAGCTCAAGTGATCTGCCCACCTTGGCCTCCCAAAGTGCTGGGATTACAGGCATGAGCCACTGTGCCCGGCCTTAATTCCACTTATATGAGTCCCTAAAGTAGTCAAATTCATAGAGACAGACAGTGGAGCAGTGGTTAGAACACAGAGAAGGGAGTATGGGCTGTTATTGCTTAATGGTTACAGAGTTTCAGTTTCAGATGATGAAAGATTTTGGAAATACATAGTGGTGATGATTATACCACATTGTGACTGCAATTGATGCCACTAAGTGATGTACTTAACATGATAAAATGGTAAATTTTATGTTATATGTATTTTACCACAGTGAAAACAATGTATTTGAAATGTGCAGCCCATATAGCCCACTGGCAGGGACTGGTAAGGGGGAAGAAACAGATAATTGACTGGAGTCCTCTACCGGTCTGTAGTAGAGGAAGTGTGCACCAGGCAGGTCTCTTGAGAAGCCTGTGTTTGTGGTACCTTAGCAATTAAGACAAGGCATGTAAAGGAGAGCTACTTTCTCAACTGTCAGATTCGAGGGTCTTTAAGTAGAACTTCAATTCTCAGCCCTGAAATCTGAACTTTATGTAACAGGTGAATGAGGAGAAATTTGCATTACTTATTTTCCCTCTCGTGTTTTTCAACTACAAATGATATTGTCAGCTGTGGAGTGACAAAGTAGATGTGCTGATCTAGAGAAGAGAGAAAGAGCTCAGTGTTTCCCCAGGGCTACTGGAAATCCTCATGCGACGTTATATCAGAATCCCTTGTGCTCTTGCATTTGTTAAGTCTAAGTCTTTTAGCCATTTGCCATCTCAGGAAAGTGAAATGCTCAGGCTTGACTTCACCATGGGGTCAGAGTGTCACATCCTAAGCAACTGGTAACATCAGAGAAGTGGCCCAGTGCATGAGGTGCATTCCTTCACTAAGACCCAGGTTTCCAAGGTCCCTTAAGTCTCACAAAGAAGGCTGTTTTGATGAAATTTTCGCTGAGTTATCCCTGAAATTTGGCTGTTGAAAGATTAATTTGACCTTCACCTAATTAAAAAAAAACACAGAAAGAGAACGTTAATATTACTCATGAGACATTAAATACATTGTTTTTAAGAACAAGGTACTTTTTTTTTTCTTTTTTTGAGACCGAGTCTCACTCTGACACCCAGGCTGGAGTGCAGTGGCGCAATCTTGGCTCACTGCAACCTCTGCTTCCCGGGGTCAAGCGATTTTCCTGCCTCAGCCTCCCAAGTAGCTGGGATTACAGGTGGGTGCCGCCATGCTCGGCTAATTTTTGTATTTTTAATAGAGACGGGGTTTCACCATATTGGCCACGCTGGTCTCGAACTCTTGACCTCAAGTGATCCACTCACCTCGGCCTCCCAAAGTGTTGGGATTACAGGCATGAGCCACCATGCCCGGCCCAAGATACTTTATATAAACATTTGCTGTACATTTTGCATATGTTTATGTTGAGCTATTAAATATCTCAATTAAGTTCTTAGATATTACTTATGGTTTTAATATATCTGGGTGTGTTGCACTCCCATGCAATTTGTATTAAAGGATGCACCGAACACTATATTGCTGGCTGGAGATCATTCATTCATTCATTCGTTAAGCATTTAATCAGTCAGTATGTGAAAGGTACTCTGTTATACCTTGAATCCCGATCTAAAAGCACTCTCCCTGTCATCCCTACTGCCATCAACATGCCAGGGACAGGGACTAACCTGGGAGCCTTGCACAAAAGCTGCACAAAATCTGCACAAAAGCTGCTTAGCAAAGCCTAGGGTTGCTTTGCTGATTCCCAGGAATTTAGAGAACAAGGTGACAAGATGTTGGTGTTTGGTGTATCTCCTTTAAAAAATCATATCAATAAAGGGTTTTATTAATTTTCCATGTCACCAATCATTTTTCTCCCAAACATACCTTGAAAGCAGATGGACTTTATCTCTCTCTACAGAGTGGAACCTCAAGTATAGATATGCATTGGTCTGCTCAGGATCATCCAGCGAGTTACTGACAGATTTGGGGATGCCAAGCACCAGTAAAGAAAGGAATGTCCTCTCCTTTTATGACACCTTCCTTCACCTTCCCAGTCAGTCCTGATCTCTCTCACCACCTCTCTCTTACAGAACTCACTCTCCAGGCTCTCATGGCACGTAGTTTTGTACCTTGTCATTTCCACTGCTAGATTGCAGGCTCTTTTAGTCTCTCTAGCAGAGGATAGTACACGGTGGCCGTCCATGGCAATACTTTTGTCTCTTTCCATCTTTTGTCTCTTTCTGTCTTCTCTTCTGCTTCCACAGTGTATCTGTGCCTTTCTATGTATCATCTCCTGAGGGAGAGTGATTTTCTCAAAACGGATTTTGCCTGTGTTATATTTATGACTGGGACCAGCCTGAGGTTGTTGTGGTAATGAGGGTCTTCTTGGGATAAAGTTTTCTGTTTGTGTTTTCCAATTTAAAGGAGCAATTCTCCTTTTCAGGGACTTGAAATACCTAAGGGAAAGACAGAAATAAGCTCTAGCTAGGAAACATGGTTTTCTCTTCTTTTAAAATAATTATTGGCCGGATAGGGTGGCTCATACCTGTAATCCTAACACTTTGGGAGGCCAAGGCAGGAGGATGGCTTGAGCCCAGGAGTTTGGGACCAGCCTGGGCAACATAGTGAGAACCCATCTCTACCAAAAATAAAAAATAAAAAATTAGCTGGGCATTGTGGCATGTGCCTATAGTCCCAGCTACTCAGGAGCTGAGGTGAGAGGATTGCTTGAGCCCAGGATTTCGAGGCTACGGTGAGCCGTGTTCAAGCTATTGCACTCCAGTCTGAGTGGCAGAGCAAGACCCTATCTCAAATTTAAAAACAGAGAAACATAAATAAAACAATTATTATAAAACATTTGATACATACATATATTACTAACCCGTATAACACATATATTTATGTGTAAATATATAAACATATGTAAGTTATAAAAGTTAATAATAAAACAAATACCAGAGAAGCAAAATCCAACTTAAAAATAAAACATCACCAATACTGTTGAAGCTACCTTTACATTTCTCCTTAATTTCATCTCTCTGCTTTCTCTCTACCCACTCCACTGAGACACTATTGTGAATTTTGTATTTGTCATTTTCTTACTTTTTAAATAGATTTTTTTTCTTTTTTCTTTTTTCTCAGACCTCTCAGGGATAAATTTTCTTTATAGATTTAATACATAGGTATTGATCACAAAACAATGTATTATTTAGTTTTGCATTTTTGAACTTCAGATAAATATAATACAATACATTTTTGGTATTTTGCTTTTTTAAACAGCATTATATTAGAGTCAAATGTTATTTTATGTATAGTTATAGTCCATTTATTCTCACTGCTATGTAGTACTCTATTATGTGAATATCCCACAGTATTTTTTTTTTTTGAGATGGAGTTTTGCTATTGTTGCCCAGGCTGGAGTGCAATGGCGTAATCTTGGCTCACTGCAACCTCCGCGTTCCGGGTTCAGGTGATTCTCCTGCCTCAGCCTCCCAAGTAGCTGGGATTACAGGCATGTGCCACCATGTCAGGCTAATTTTGTATTTTTAGTAGAGACAGAGTTTCTCCATGTTGGTCAGGCTGGTCTTGAACTTCGCCGCCTGCCTCAGCCTCCCAAAGTGCTGGGATTACAGGCGTGAGCCATGCCTGGCCATTCCACAGTATTTTTAATCATTCTCCTGTTGCTGGAAACTTCGGTTGTTTCTGCTTTTTTTTTTTTTGAGACAGGGTCTCATTGTGTCACTCAGGCTGGAGTGCAGTAGCGTGATCTTGGTTCACTGCAGCCTCGACCTCCTGGGCTCAGGTGATCCTCTCATCTTAGCCTCCCCGGTAGCTGGGACTACAGGGACATGCCACCATGCCTGGCTACTTTTTAAAATTTTTTATAGAGACAGGGTCTCACTATGTTGCCCAGGCTGGTCTCGAACTCCTGGACTCAGGCAATCCTCCTGCCTTGGCCTCCCACAGTGCTGGGATTATAGGCATGAGCCACCACACCTAGCTGGTTGTTTCTGTTTTTTGTTTGTTTGTTTGTTTTCTGTTACTAACAATGCTGCTAGAAGATTCTTTCTATGTCTCCTAGTCCAGACATGTGAGGGTTTCTGTAAGGTATTTGGCAGTTCTTGGTTTGGTTTACTCTCAGATCCAGTTCTCGCCTTTCTGCTGCTCTGCTTTGTATACAGAAGGCGGACACCCAAAGCTGTGTGTTTCAGGGTTTTGTGTCAGCTGGGTTGGTGTGTGGGAGGCACCGGAGAGGGAGATTGGAGGGCACAAAGAAGAAAGAAGCCAGGTATTTGTCCCCCTCTCTCTGTCTTGAATGGTCTTTCTGTGAGTAGCAGTGGCTGAGTGTCTTCCTGGCTCTCGGTTCGGGACGGGTCCACTGTGGTTCTAGCTTCTGCCAGGTGATTATTGTCCATGCATTTCTTTAACATTGTTTCCTTTGTCTTGCTAGCCTAGGGGTCATCAAACTTTTCTTGTAAAGGAGCAGAGAGTAAAATATTTTAGTCTTTATAGGTCATACAGTCTCTGTTGCACTCAACTCTGTGAGTGGGTGTGTCTGTGTTCCAATAAAACTTTATTTCCAAAAACTAGCAGTGAGCTGGATTTGGGTTGCAGGCTATTGTTGGCTGCCTCCTGCCTAGCCTAAGGGTTGTAGTAGCTGCCTGCTGTTGCTAATGTTTCCATTGCTTCATTAACCTGTTTGGTTTCTCAGGTGTTTCATCACATCACAGTTTCCTTCATTCATTAACCTATGTCACAAATACTTAGGTGTTTGCAGATTTTCTGGTAGGACTCTGGCTGATTCAAGGTTATACTAAGGATTAGAATTGCTGGGTTGTAAGTTATGTACATTTTCAGCCCTAACAAGATGTCAGATTATTTTCTAAAATTCATTGTACCAATTTCCAGTTCTTCCAGGTATATGAAAGAGCTCTCTTTGATTCCTGTCTTTGCTAACACTTGGTGTTATCAGACCTCTTAATTTTGGCTAACCTGGTGGGTTTAAAATGGCATATTAAACCATTGGCATATTATCATGGTATTAAATTTCATTTACTGGCCCTGTGTGTTGGCTCATGCCTGTAATCTCAGCACTTTGGGAGGCCGAGGCAAGAGGATTTCTTGAGACCAGCCTAGGCAACATCATAAGTGAGACCCCATCTCTACAGAAAATTAAAAAATTAGCTGGGCATAGTGGCATGTGCCTGTGGTCTCAGCTACTCCTAGGAGGCTGAGGGGGGTGCTCACTTGAGCCGGGGAGATCAAGGCTGCGCTGAACCATGTTCTTATCACTGCTCTACAGCCTGAGCAACACAGTCAGACCCTGTCTCAAAAAAAAAAAAAAAAACATTCACCCACTTGCTATATTTATTCGCTGTTCATGTTTCTTTTTCTGTGAAATCTCTGTTCCCAGGGATAAAACTCAAAATATTTTTAAAACATGTTAAACAATATGGCAGGTTTTTCACACTCAGTATTTCAAAGTTGTGCTGCTGGATGAGTATCAACCCCATCTATTCCATTCTTTGTTCATTTGGTTGTCTTATTTCTCCCCTTTCAGTGATAATTCTTTCTATTATTTATTTTCATGGTTGTTCCAGGACTAACACTATAAATTCTCAGCCTATCAAAATATTAATAGTGAATATTGTACCACTTCACACTTCAGGTGTCCCACCTGATACTTTCCACATCCAATAACCTTAAAATGGCACAATTCCATTAACCTGCCACCCCATTCTTTGTGCTATTATTGTCATATCTTTTATTTCTATATACATGATAAATGCCACCTTACAATATTATTTTTTTCTTTAAGCAGTCAGTTGTCATTGAAAGGAATTAGAAGATAAAAAAGTTTTTAAAATTTACCCTCTTATTTACCAATTCTGGCACTCTTCATTTTTTTTTCTGTAGTTCCAGATTTCCATCTGGTATTATTTTTCTTTATCCTGAAGAATATCCTTTAGCATTTCTTGTAAAGCAGGTCTGCTGGTGCCAGATTCTCCTGGCTTTTGTTTATCTGCAAATGTCTTCATTCATCCCTGTTTTGGAAGGATACTTTTGTTAGATACAGAATTATGGGATGTCAGCTTGTTTTTTTCTTTCAGCACTCTAAATATATCATTCCAATGTCTTATAGCCCTCATTGTTTGTAATGAGAAGTCAGCTGTTATTCATATCATTGTTTCCTGTATGTAATGTGTCTCTTTCTCTCTTTTTTTTCACTGTGGGCTTTCAATATTTTTCTCTTTATCTTTAGTTAAAGATATACCAATGGTGTGCCCAAGTGTGTGTGGGTTTTTTTTTTAATTTAGCCTATCTTCATTTATCTGTAAGTCAAGTTTTACATTTAAATTTGGAAAACTTTTGGCCATTCCTTCCTTGTATAACTATCTATTCCACTTTCACCCTCCCTCTGGGACTCATTTTAATGTATGTGAGACTGGTAATTTTTATAAATTCCTGAGGCCCAGTTCACTTTCTTTTTCCTTCCTTCCTTCCTTCCTTCTTCTCTCTCTCTCTTTCTTTTTTTTGAGATGCAGTCTCATTCTGTTGCTCAGGAGGTCTCAAACTTTTCTTGAATTTTGTTCTTTCTCTTTTTAAGATTGGATACTTTTTATTGCCCTGTCTTCAAGTTTGCTAACCCTTTCTTCTGTCAAGCTCATACAATAAATTTTTCATTTCAGTTATTGTTCTTTTCAATTCTACAATTTCCACTTGGATGTTTAAAAAATTTTTGGGGGGATGCTGAGCATGGTGGCTTATGCTTGTAATTCCAGCACTTTGGGAGGCTGAGGCAGGACGATCACTTGAGGCTAGGAGTTTGGGACCAGCCTGGGAAACACAGCAAGACAAATGTCTACCAAAAAAATAAAATAATTAGCCAGGCATGATGACATGAGCATGTAGTCCCAGCTATTAGGGAGGCTGAGGTGGGACGATTGCTTGAGCCTAGGAGTTTGAGGTTGCAGTGGGCTGTGATCATACCACTACCTCCAGCCCGGGTGACAGAGTGAGACCCTGTCTCAAAAAATAAAAAATAAAATAAAACAAATTTTCTTTTCACTGCTGATCATCCCTATCTTTTTGCTTATTAATACCATATGATTCTTTAAGTCTTGACCATATTTATAGCTGCTTAAAGTTGTTTGCTAAATCATATATACCTGTGCCATCTCAAGGTCACATTTTTCTGTTTTTTTTTTCATGTATAATAGTCTTAAATTGCATGCTGGAAATTGGTGCTGATATTTAATACATTGTAGAGACCTTGAGTTTTATTTTCTTCCTCCAAAGGGTGATGATTTTTGTTCTAGCAGGCAGTTCAATTACTGGCTGATCACTTTGAATTTGCGTAGAATTACTTTTAGGCTTTGCTAGGCTAGATCTGGGGAAGGCCCGTATTTGTGGCAAGCCCCTCCCGACAACCCCTGTAAATTGGCAGGACTCAAAACTCCAAAACTGTCTCTCCCCTGCAGATCTTGTCAAGGCTGTTGAGCCGTCTTTTTCTTATTATTGTTTATATATCCTGGATACAAATTCTTTGTTACTTAGATGCGTTGAAAATACTTTCAGTTTATGGCTTGCCTTTTCACTTTCTTTATGATATCTTGATGAACAGAGGTTATTTATTTTAACATAGTAAAATTTTTCAGGCTTTTTAATTTTTTTTGAGACAGGATCTTTGTAACCCAGGCTGGAGTGCAGTGGTGCAATCATGGCTCACTGCAGCCTTGACATTCTGGGCTCAAGCAATCCTCTCACCTCAGCCTCCCAAGTAACTGGGTCTACAGGTATGCCCCACTGGGCCTAGCTAATTTAAAAATTTTTTTATAGAGCTGGGGGCCTCACTATGTTGCCCAGGCTGATCTTGAGCTTCTAGGATCAAAGAATTCTCCTGCCTTGGCATCCCAAAGCTTTGAGACTACTGGCATGTGCCACTGCGTTCAGCCTTTTTTCTTTCTTTTTTTAATGTTAGTGTTTTTTCCATCTTTTTCAGGAAACTTTTTGTACTCTCAAGTCATAAAGATAATCTCTTCTAAATATTTAAGTGTGCCTTTCCCAGTTAAATTTTTAGTCCATCTGAAATTGATTTTTATACATGGTTTGGGGTAGAAATCCAGTTTAATTTTTTCCATATAGGTAACCAGTTGTCTCAGTGCCGTTTCTAGTCCATCTTTCCCCTGTGTGGTATATAATGTTATTTTTGAGATATCTTACATTTCTTTTTCTTTTTCTCTTCTCTCCTCTTCTTCTCTCTTCTCTTTTTTCTTTTCTTTTCTTTCCTCTCTTTCTTTTCTTTTCTTTTCTGGCAGGGTCTGGCTCTGTTACCCAGGCTGAAGTGTGGTGGTGTGATCATCGCTCACTTCAGTCTCAACTTCCTGGGCTCAAGCAATCCTCCCACCTCAGCCTCCCGAGTATCTGGGATTACAGGCACCCACCACCACACCTGGCTAATTTTTGTATTTTTTCTAGGGACAGGGTTTCATCATGTTGCCCAGGCTGGTCTCAAACTCCTGGACTCAAGTGATCTGCCCGTCTTGGCCTCCCAAAGTGCTGGGATTACAGGCATGAGCCACCACGCCAGGCAGAGATACCTTATATTTCTACATATGCATGCTACTTCTTCAGATTGTCTTTATTCTCTTCCACTGGTCACTTTGTCTATCTGTGTGTCAGTAAACATTACCTTAATTACTACAACTTTCTAAGTCTTGGTATCTGGTGAGCAAGTCTACTCAACTTATTATTCTCTTTCAGGAGTATCTTGGCTATCCTTTGGCCTTTGCTCTTCCATATATATTTTATTTTATTTTATTTTATTAATTTATTTTTCGCGACAGAATCTTGCTCAGTCGCCCAGGCTGGAGTGCAGTGGTGCCATCTTGGCTCACTTCAACCTCCACCTCCCGAGTTCCAGTGATTCTTCTGCCTCAGCCTCCCGAGTAGCTGGGATTACAGGCGCATGCCACCACACCTGGCTAATTTTTGTATTTTTAGTAGAGATGGGGTTTCACATGTTGCCCAGGCTGGCCTCGAACTCCTGACCTCAAGTGATCTGCCCGCCTCGGCCCCCTAAAGCGCTGGGATTACAGATGTGAGCCACTGTGCCTGGCCCCTTCCATGTATATTTTAGAATCAGCTTGTCAAGTTCCTATTTATTGGGAACCTATCATGTATCCAGCGAAAGAAGAGAAGTTTTAGAATATAACATGGTCTTTGTTTATAATGCGCCTGTATTCAAATTGCAGAGAAGACTAATATATATGAAACAGTGAATAGAATAAGATATTTTGTAAAGTGCAGAAATGTGTGGAATATATTAGACAGGTAGGAGAAACCCACAGGGAAGCTGGAGAAAGAGGACTTTAAGGGATAAAGGGATTAGAGAAATCTCAAAGAGGGTGGTAAGCCTTGAAAGGTGAGATGAAGAGGGGAAGGAGAGGTACACTCAGAGGTGATTAAAATAAAACTTACCTGAGTATGAATGCATCCCAGTTTACAAAGTACTTTCACATATATTATCTCACTTGGTCCTCAAAGAATATGACTGGGTAAGACAGGTAGTAGTCCCACTTTAGGGGAAGTATAGGTAAAGTGGTTTGCCTGAGAATCCATTTTGTAAATGTTAGGCTGAGACTTCAAAGCAGATCTACTTCTGGTTCAGAATTCTTTACATTGCATCACTTTTTCTCTCCATATATGGGAATAGGTGCTGAAGGAAGCTAGGAGTCCTGGAACTGAGGTGTGTGTGATGCATGTGCCTTCTTCCTTAGGCAGAGCACGCCAGGAATTAGGAGAGGCCCCCTGACCAGAGACACTGAGTAATGCTTTTAGCATCCAGGCCCATTCAGCTAGGGGCCCTGAAGAGGAGATCACTGGGAGCAAATAAAATAAGAGCGGCAGATAACAATCACATGGCCTCAAAAAGATCTTGCACACTTCTTAGGAAATTAAATTTAATATAGAATCAGTTATGTTAATATGGTGGCTCTGTTGTAACGGGCTTGTTGTTTTTCCTTAAAAATAATACCACAAATTGTGTATTTCTATCAGGCAAAATTTGGGGTTGCTATCATTTGCTGGGAACTTTTATTTGGCACAACATTGTTTTGGGCACAGAGCTGGTCTTCCAATGCAAAATAGTGGAAGCTGGTAACATTTAAATGCATTTCCAGCAAGTTCCCTTTTCTTCATCTATCCCCAATCCATTAAGTGCTGAGTTCCATCTGGTATCCAGTGCCCCATTGATGATTCTCCCTCATTTCTAAGTAACACCACCGTCCAAGATTGAATGTCAACCAATCATGCCACAGGAAACTGATGTATGGTAAGTTATTCTGAAATCTTTCAGGAGTATCTTCATTCAAAAGCCCTGGCTTGGTGGTTCATGCCTGTAATCCCAGCACTTTGGGAGGCAGAGGCTGGCAGATCACCTGAGGTCAGGAGTTCGAGACCAGCCTGGCCAACATGGTGAAACCCAGTCTCTATTAAAAATGAAAAAAGATTATCTGGGCGTGGTGGTGCGTGCCTGTAGTCCCAGCTACTCAGGAGGCTGAGGTAGGAGAATCGCTTGAACCCGGGAGGCAGAGGTTGCAGTGAGCCGAGATTGCGTCACTGCACTCCAGCCTGGGTGACAGAGTGAGACTCCGTCTCAAAAAAAAAAAAAAAAAAAAGAGAAGATTAGTGGGATGAACCACAGCCTTTGTTGCTGCGGCTGCAGCTGGTTCTGGGGTTTTAAGTGACACTCATCGTCTTCCCCTACTCTTCCCCATCCAGACTCCCCTTACCTTCAGCCAACATCTTTGCCAGGGGGATGACCTAGCCACGCCCACAATCTTTGAGGAGTCTGAGCTTCGGTCAACCACGCCCTTCTCAGGCTATGGCTGCGGCACCTCTGCATTCACCACCGAAATAGAACAAGACAACACCAAGAGGTGCCTAAGTGAATCTCCTGGGTGTCCAAAGTTCCCCACCCCAACACTCCCTCTGCCAGCAACTGTAGCTTACAGTTCAGTGGGACTCTCACTGCATCCCCTAGAGTGAGCGTTCCCCTTTGGGAATCAGGACCTCTAACTGACAGAGCACAGAATTGCGGAGATGGGAAGTACAAATTCTCCTAGTGGGTCAGTGGAAGTGATGGTAAGTGGGGTCATTTTTGTCTAAATGAATTGTTACCTATGTTAGGTGGAAGGTAGCCAATGTGACTTGCCACCAAGTACTGCCATCACACTTGCCACCAAGTGGCCAGTGGGTCTACTTAAGGGATAAAACTATATTCTGCACTCAAAGTTGGTCTTTGTCACTGGCAGTGGCAGTAGCTAGATCAGCCTCAGTAAATGGGACCCTATGTTGTTCCCAGGTGTAACCAACATTGTTGTCATTATGGTACTCTGTTCATATGTACCCATGTGCCAGCACTGGAGTGACTGATGTCAACTGGCTGTCAACTGAACTATACCCTGAGACTTAGTTCCTCTTCCTGGTGGATGCTCTGTGGTGGGCATGAACATGCAACACAACTGTCTATATACTTTGTGTCCACTCCCATAAGTTATAGACTCAGATTTCTTGTCCCTGATATACCATTATTTCTCCTTCTTGTTCCCTGACAACCTGGCCAAGCCATTTTACACTGCCATGAATTGGTGTATATTCTAACCTCAGGTCATTTCTCTTTCCATATCACTATTTCAAATACCTCTGAGTCAGGTGGAAATAGAGTCCCTTTCTGATTTGCATTCATATCTTAAATTGACCCATCCAAAAACCAAGCTTGGCCCATTCATCAGTTCACCATAACATACTTCCCCTGTCCCCCATATGAAACCATAGAGCACAGGGACAGGTACTGGTGCAATGGTGTCGTATGACATGGGGGTCTGTTATACCTGCTCATGCAGCTTGCTTGTAACCTCTGGTCCTGCTTGTGCTCGTTCTTGGATGTACCACTTCTATCTTTCAGCAGATTGCTGCTGGGCCTGCCAACCTTATGATTTGGTGGGCCTTATAGGACCCAGTTCATGATGGGTTGTTCTAGATGCATGGTGTCCCATTATTGGGCACTCCATTTCCACCACACCAGGTGTGGATTTTTGAAAGGTGTATGCTTCTCTGCTGCAGATCATATGGGCTTGTTTCAGAACTCTAGGGTTTTTGTTGTTGTTGGTTTGTTGTTGTTGTTGGTTTTTGGGATAAGGTCTTGCTCCCTCACCCAGGTTGGAGTGCTGTGGCTCAATTATGGCTCACGGCAGCCTTGACCTCCCACTTCAGCCTCCCAAATAGCTGGGACTACAGGAGTGCACCACGTTGTCTGGCTAATTTTTGTATTTTTTGTAGAGACAGAGTTTTGCTATGTTGCCCAAGCTGGTCTGGAACTTCTGGGCTTCAGTGATCTGCCCGCCTCAACCTCTCAAAGTGTTAGGATTACAGGTGTGAACCACCATGCCTGGCGAACTTTAGGGTTTTCTAGTGTAATTTTCCCACTGGGGCTTTCAAGAAAATCCTCATGTCTTTTCTCAACATTGATACCGCTAATACCCTGGGGGCTGCTGTGATGTATGGACTAAGCGGAAGGGTCACTTCCATTGTGACCTGGACTCACTGCAGGGTCCTTTCCTGCTCTGAATCCCACTCAAAGCAGGCAGCTTTTCATGTAACTCAGTACATGGGTTAGAGCAGTGTTTCCTGGTGTGAAATATGCTGCCTTTAGAATCTGAAGAGGCCTATCAGGCACTGTGTTTCCTTCTTTTTAGTGGGATGCAATAATTTGTCCTTAACTTTGGAGGGGATTTCCTGGCATGCACCAGATCACTGATTTTATTGATGTGGAAGACCCCAACTGTTTGCAGGGTTTATTTCCCACTCTCTGGAAAGTATACTTGCCTCAACAAGTCCCTTAATGTGCTAGCTACTTGCTGTCCATCTAGATGGCATAGTCATCATCTATATAGAAAATCAGTATGATATTCTGTGGGATTTTCAGCCAGACCAGATCTCTCCAAAGAGTAGGAGAGTTACTATAGCTCTGGGACAAGACTATAAATGTATACTGTTGTTTCTTCTAAGTGAATGTAAACTGTACCTAATAATCTTTTCCAAAAGAGATAGAATACAATTATCAGATCATACCACATACCTGAGGCCATCCAGGTCTGTTCTACCAAAGATAGCATATCTGACACAGCAGCTGCAACTGTGGTTACTACTTGGTTAAATTTGCAGTAGCCTACTTTCATTGCCCAGAATTTGTCTCATTTTCTCCAGGCGCCAGACTGATGAATTAAATGAAGACATGTTGGAAACCACTATCTCTGCATCCTTTCAATCAGGATGCACTAATTTTTCCATTTCCCCTGAATGCAATATTGCTTTGCATTTCCTATCTTGGCTTGCTTGTAAGCCAAGGAGTTGGGGGCAGTTTCACAGGTTTTCACTTGGCCTTTCCACTATGAAACCTTTTACCCTATAGGCCAAGGTACCAGTGTGGTGGTTCCAAATACTAAGTATGTCCTTCCAGTTACACATTAGAGAATCAGAGAGATGACTACTTTATGGGTTGCAGACCTACTTGACATTTCTGTGACTAGGACTTGGGCCAGGACTCCAGTTTTTACCTAAACTCCATATGATCCACTGGGAGGACTTGGTGCTTATTTAGTACTCTGGGAATTAACGTCGACTTGGACCCTGTGTCCACTAGGGTCCTTTTATGCAGTCTCCTTTCCTTAGTGTATGGTTATGCAAATAAATAATAGTAGGCCCATTTGTGGAGGAAACATAGGGAAACACTACCATGTACACTTGCCATGGCGTTACAGGATCCTTCCATCTGGGAGTCTGGCATCTCCTTTAGGCAATTATTTGGGTCTAAAACCTGGCCCAGGTTCAGAAGTTGCTGCATTATCTTCAAGCAAGAGGGCAATACTAGCCCCCAGTTGGCAGGAGTGGGCCACTCCTGTGCAATCACAAGGTTCAGGGAAATATAGTCAACATTTTCAAGTGGGTCAACTCAAATGTCTCACAGCTAAGCTAACAAGAGGGCTTAGGCTTTAAACCCTGTGTCAATGAGTCATTGGATAAAGGCTGCCCTGGAAAGAGGCCATGACCTTGACATTTTCTTAGGGACAATGGCCCTCAACCTCCTCAGTATCCATCCTTGATTTATTTTGGTTTTACAATTTGAGTAATATCCTTGTTGGCATCCCACTTATTTTGTTTCTAGAGATCCTGTATTCTTTTTTTTCCTTCTTCTTCTTCTTTTTTTTTTTTTTTTTCCTGAGACAGGGTCTCACTCTGTTGCCCAGGCAAGAGTGCAGTGGTACAATCTTAGCTCACTGTAATCTTGAATTCCTGGGCTCAAATGATCCTCCCAAAGTGCTGGACTGTGTTCTATTAATCGTCTCCATAACTCTGTGTCTCAGCCCCCCTGGCTGCCCCTCCAACCTTGCCTCTCACTGTGATAATGACATCCATCTGCCATCTGACAGTTAAGCATTACCATAGGGTGCAGGAGGGAGGGTCCTGTCATCCTCATCGTAGTTGCTATCAATGAGTCCATTGGTATAATGGCATCTCTACCATCAGCCCTGGCCCGTAGAAGACAGCCACCATTAAACCTCTTCATAAAGCTGGTGTATGTTATTACTTTGGTAAGTGGTGTATCCTCTGATGTGTTTTCCGACCTTTTATAGTATCCACCTAGCACCCTACCTCCCATCTTTTTAATCCTTTCCTCCATCATTTGCCAGGAACACTTCTTGTATTTCTACTTCACGTAGCATGGCCCACTGTCTTTTCTGTTTCTAGGAGCCATCCTAGTAACGTGTTCACACCGCCTCCTGGGATTCTTGCCAGATTATATTATGGATCCCAGGAGAGCATTCCCAAAGCTATAAACTCTTCGTTATTCAACCTTACGTTTGCCCTCCTTGCTCCAGCACCCTGAGAATCCAGTCCGATGTGTCCTCTCCTCACTCCTGCTGCTACATGCTGGCCAGGCCCTGGGGTGTAGTCTCCTTCCTCCCTGGCAGGCTGCAAGTCAGGTCCTACTTTTCTCACTTCCCTACCAGGTTGCCTGGACTTAAGGAGCATTTAGTCTTTATTATTTGCTATTGCATCGCTTGATTATGTTGTGCCTCAAACCTCATTGTTGGCCTAGTGACCAGGAGGAAGATGAGGGCGAGCCATGGGGGCACATGTTATTTTCCTGGGAAGAAGCTTTTGCATCATCTTTGAGCAAGAGGGGAGTGCCAGCCCCTAATCAGCAGGAGTGGCCTGCTTCTTCATGATTAGAAGGTTCAGGGAAGTATAGAGATTCAACATTTTCAAGTGGATCAACCCAGATGTCTTCATCCCATGGGTAATGGTCCAGTTCTTTCCCAAGCAGGGCCCTGTCCTTGGCATAGCAAACCTACCTTGGTTGACAAACTCAACTGCTCTTAGGTCCTCAGCCTAACCCTTGGCTTTTTCTGTCCTATCATCACAGGTGATCAGAGCCTCTTCAAATGTTATGAAAGGGGCCATCTGGCTTTCACACTTAGCTTTTAATTGATGATTAATCACTATCAGCTTTCCATTATCTTTTTCCACAGTGTTGATTGTGTATTAGCAATAGCTACCCATTTTCATTGTTTTTATTGTTACTATTTTGCCTGTATTTCTCCAATGCATGATATGTCACGCCAGCCAATGCCTTCCTTTCCATCAGCATACCATCCCAATGGTAACCTTCCTAATGGTTCCATCCCAATGTGTCCCACCGTAGGTAAAAGTTTAAACTATTGCCCTGCTACCTTGGGCCACCTACCACCAGTGGTGGGATCCTCATTGCCAGCTGGGTGATCCCCTTTCAAAATTCTAACCTAGTGTCTGCTTTTCAGACTACTAGAATTGTCTAAGAGTCAGTTGAAGATCAGCATGCAGGAGATTTATTAGGAATTGCTCTTGGGATCAAAAACTGTGGAGGAGAAGGGAAGAAGTTGAGCTGTAATGCAGTCTCAGCGGAGGCCTCAGCTGACCCTATGGGGAGTTCAGAATCTGGGATAAGGTGGCCCTTGGTGCTTGTCCCTAGTTGGGGTAAGAGGACTTAGCCTTTAAACCCCCATGGCAATGAGTCATCGGATGCAGGCTGCCCTGGTAAAGGATCATGACCTTGGCAATGTGGTTGTCTTTCCAGGATGATTCCTGTAAAGGCTGACAGCTAAGGGCCTTCTGTTGGCAGCACTGACAGTAGCTGGGAGTGACTCTTCCATTCCTGAAGGGAGGTCAGGGTGGGGCATCACAGCATCCAATAAAATCACTAGTCATGATTTTTAAACCAATACAATCACTAGTCATGATCTTTAAAAATCTTGAATGTGACATCTCCTGACCTCATCCACCTTGGTTGATGAAATAGATATGATTGTCTTGGTAGTCAAGAGTACTAGTTAACCAAAAGACTATATGCTCTTTAAGTTTAGGCAAGCTAGTAAGGAAGTGAGAAAAGCAAGACCTGAACTTTGATCTGGAGCAAATCACTTTACCTTTGAACCTTTTTCCCTCTCTGTACAATGAAATGGCAATCCCTGCCCTGCTTGCCTTCTGTTGTTTTGGATGACCTCATTAGCCATTAGACAACATATTTGAAAGTAATCTCTGATTTTATTTTTTATTTATTTTTATTATTTTTTTTCAACTAGGGGCATACCCAGATATCTCTGATTTTAAATCTTCCGCCAACCTAATACTGTTTCAGGTGGACAGTAGGTGCCTGTTAACAAGTCATAGGTGGTGGGAGGATCCCTGCACTTAAAAATTTCATTTCACTGGAAATCTTCTCAGAGTGCTAAACACTTGAGGGATTCACCATATTAAGTTGCTATCACTGATTCACATATATGGAGACACCTCTAGATGTGAACAGAGCAGTCCCAGGAAGGAGATATGTGAGAGTGTTAAAAATATGCTGCCCAGCCATGGCTCTCCCATCAACGCTTGCTTCACTGGCTAGTTTAGCAAGAATGAGAGGGTGTTGCTCACTGGTTTGCTCTGATGGGAAGCTTGGCATTCTCCTGCAGCAATAAGAGGTCCTGTCTATTTTTCTAGTTAGGTCCCAAATCACCAATGTGTCATTCAAGTCTACTGAATCCCACAAAACCAGGAGTCCCTCAGTGGTCTCCAAATCCCAGCACTCCTGACAGCATGTGTAAGGAACTGTGCAGGTTTTGGCACTTCTCATGTCTATTCATTAGAAATTGAGTAGATAAAGAGAATTGATAAAATGCAGTTTCAAAATTTACCTCATTCATCATTTTTAGTGTTTTAGATGATAGCGAGTACATTCCACTCAATCACTCCTCAACTCCTGGCAGGAGGTAATAAAGACACCTATTTGGGGCAGAGCGGGTAATGATAAAAATTCTATGCACCCAAAAGCACCTTGTTCATAGAACTATCACAGAGCCCAACTAAAATGCAGCCTCTGCTATATCAAGTTCACCAAGAAACAGACTTCTAGATAGGATAAAACATGAAGGGATTTCTTGAGGGAGGGAGCCGGAGAAGGCAAAGACCATGATGCAGGTCCGACATCTGTGCAGGGAGGAAGGGAAGGAAGCAGGATTGGGTAAGAAGAGTCTTGGACTGAAGCATGGCTCCAAAAGAGGTTCAGCCAGGTCAGTGGGAAGTCCTCAAGCCAGTTTCACATTGGAGGAGTCCTGTGTCTTGCTGGAATGAGCCTACCTTAATACCCCACTGTGCCTAATCATTGGCTGGACTATCAGTCAATTGCATGCCCCCCAGGAGGAGATCTGAGCTGTCCATTTTCATGGCCACCACTGTCCACTGTTCATCCCTTGCACTTCTCTACACAGGTTCAGGGAACAGCTTGTCCATAATTCCCATAAGCCTCTCTTTCTGAGGGGAAACTTAGAAGAGTTTAGTGGGATGAACTACAGGACTCATTGTTGCAGTTAGGTCAGTGTCACAACTGGTATTCATCGTCTCCCTCCTCCACTATCCATTCTAAATTTCCTTCATCTTCAGCCACCACCTTGGCAGGTTGTGCTAACTTACTGGTATTTTGACCCAAAGCTTCATCTCCAGGGATCTGAACCCTTGGCAATCATCCCCTCCCCCAGGTGTTGTTGCTATACACATCTGTTTATAGTTACAATGAAGCAAGGAAGTCCCAGGAGGCACTACCACATATCTCCCTCCAGGCCCCTGAGTAGATGGCCAGGCCTTTGGCTGCAGCTCAGGAATCTTTTTTTTTTTTTTTTGAGACGGAGTCTTGCTCTGTCGCCCAGGCTGGAGTGCAGTGGCGCAATCTCAGCTCACTGCAAACTCCGCCTCCCGGGTTCACGCCATTCTCCTGCCTCAGCCTCCCGAGTAGCTGGGACCACAGGCTCCTGCCACCACGCCCGGCTAATTTTTTTTGTATTTTTAGTAGAGACGGGGTTTCACCATGTTAGCCAGGATGGCCTCGATCTCCTGACCTCGTGATCCGCCCGTCTTGGCCTCCCAAAGTGCTGGGATTACAGGCGTGAGCCACCCCGCCTGGCCAGGAATCTTTAAATAGTCTCACTTCATGCCACATCTCCATCTGTGCAAAGTGGATGACCAAGTGTGATCCCCATAACTCTACCCATTGGGTAAATATTCCCTCTCCACTGTCTTTCAAGGCCAATTCTGAACGTGGCTGTAATGCAGCCACTGTCCGCTTGTGTAATTCAGCTGGTATCCACATACAGCTTGTGCCCAAGATTTAAAAAACTGATATATAATTCACATACCACACAGGTTTGTAGGCCAAACTTGGCCCTTTTCCTGCTCCTATAGTTGGTTGTGTAGCACCCCCCATATGGCCATAGGTGTAAGCTGGTAGAGAGGTACTGGTGCGCTGTGGTCAGTGATGTGGAGGCTGGGCTACCTGCTCATGCTAGCTCAATTGCAGATGTACCATTTCCATCTTATAATGATCTACTGCTGGGCCTGTCCCACTTTATAACTTGGCAGAGTCAACAGAATCCATCTCTGGATGAATAGTTGCAGATGTATGGTCACTTGATTACTCGAGGGTCAAGCATTCTGTCTATCAGGACCCAGTTAACATACCAGGAACTGTTTTTCTAAAGGCATAAAATTCTCCATTGCAGATGGCATGGCCTTGCTCCAGAATCCCAGGGGCCTGCATTGAGATTCTCACACTGGGGCTTGCCATAGTCTCCACAGTACATCTTTTTTTCCACCACTAACATCCCTAAGCCATAGGATCTGCTGGATTTCATGGCCCAAGTGGCACGACAGGTCCACTGGACCTGCTGGGTAGCCTTTTCCTGCTCTGGGTTCCATTCAAAGTTGCTGGCCTTCCATGTCACCTGGTATGGGCAGGAGGAGTATCCCTAGGTGTGGAATGTGTTGCCTCTAGAACCCAAGGAGGTCTATCAGGAACTGTGTTTCCTTCTTTGTGGTAGGGAATGCAAGATACAGCAATTTGTCTTTTACTTTGGAAAGGATATTCTGGCATGTCCCTGACCATTGGACCTTTAAAAGCTTCACTGAAGTGGCAGGTCTCTGAAGTTTCATAAGGATTATCTTCCACCCCTGCAGCACATGTATTTTACCATGACTCCAGCTTATTACCCAACTTTTGTGTAAATGACTATTGTTGTTGCTGTCATGTGAATGCAGAATGGAAAAGAATGCACTAGCCAAATCATTGGCCGCATATCCTATACATGAGGCCTTATTAGTCTGCTGCAGTATTCATTCTGTGTCCAGCATAGCAGCTATAGTTGGGGCTGCTACTTGATTGAGCTTGTGGTTCCATCCAGTTTCTGCAAGGGACAGATTGGTGAAATGAGTGGAAATATGATAAGTCTTGGCATCCTTTAGATCTTTAATGATGGCACTAATCTCCACCCCCCACCTCCAAGTGATATCAGGTTGTTGTTGTTGGGTTTTTTTGGTGTTTTTTTTTTTCACCATTGATCAGAAGGCAGTAATTTCATTTTTGATTTACTATCTCAGCTTGTAGGGGCTCAGTTTCAGAGTTCCTACTTGGCTATCACCACTATGATAGCTCTTACTCCACAAGCCAAGGACCCAGTGTGGGGCTTACGTCATTTACCAAGGACATCCATTCCAATTATACATGCAGTGGGGAAATGACCACTAGGTGGGCCCATGGACCGAGGCTCCCTGTGAACTGGACCATAACCAGGACTCAATTTATGGCCTCCACATAAGGTAATAATGGGAGACCTGTGATGAGGCTTTGGGTTTCTAGGTGTCCGTGTTAGCTCAGATTCTGTGTCTAATCGTTCTCAAAAAGTCTGGAAATTTCTCTATTTTTTTCTATATAATCACATGAGTAAATGGTTCTAGATCCTTGGAAGAAGAACTGGGGGAATCATTATAGTATAACTTGCTGTGTTGTTAAGGGACTTGGCCACCTCACCTCCTTTGGGCAGTGGGTTCCAGATCTAAAAGTTGCCTTGGGCTGGGAACAGAGTGAGGGAAAGGGAAAGCAAGTTTTTGGTTTGTTTGTTTGTTTGTTTGTTTGTGATCACCCTCAAGCTCCATTCTTCCTTTTAGTGTGTGCGTGTGTGTGTGTGTATGTGTTGCTTGTAGATGTTAAGTAGCACCCTTGATGGCTGTCCATCTGTTTTGCCCCAGGAACATTATAGGCTCTATTCACCATCTCTAAACTCTGTGTGTTAAGTCCCTTTCCCTGCCACAAGCCTCTATGTCTTTGGGCCCCATAGTATACATGAATATTAAGGAGCCCAGCTCTGATTGCCTTTCCAATCATGAACGCTGGCCTGCAGAGAAGAACCATCACTAAACTTGTTGGTGGTGCCAGATAGATGGGGAGTCCTCAAGCTAAAGTTGCCTGTTGGAGGACTCTCTGTCTTGCTAGAATAAGCCTGCATTAGTACCCCTGCTGTGGCCAGCCGTTGGTTGAGAGCAGCCCGTGGAAGCCTGGCACAAATGTGGTGGCAAATCCAGAGGAGTAGCAGCTGGAGCCATCAGTCAGTGATTCCCCTGCAGCAGGGGGCCTAAGCAGTGTGTTTTCACGGCTGCTACACATCCTCTCTCAGGTAAGAGTCCAGGAGTGGAGAAGGCCTCTAGCTCACAATGTGGTAACGGGAAGGAATGACTGTACCAAAGACAGGTAGGCATAGTTTCTGGGGTTTCTTTCCCTAAATTATCTTTGGAAACTTCACTTTCACTTATTTTTTGATGTGCCCAACATTAAAAAAATTGAGATATAATTCACAAACCATAAAATTTTCATATTTTAAGTGTATGACCCAGTGGTTTTTTAGTATAGTCACAAAGTTGTACAAACATCACCACTATCTAATTTCAGAACATTTTTATATCCGCAAAAGAAATCCTGTACCCATTAGCGGTGACCCTCTGTTCCTCCACCTGCATTTCTGGTGACCAGTAATCGACTTTCAGTCTCTATGGATTTGCCCATTATGGACATTTTATGTAAATGGAATCATACGATATATGGCTTTTTATGTCTGGCTTCTTTCTTTTTTCTTTTTTTTGAGACACAGTCTTTCTCTGTCACCTAGGCTGGAGTACAGTGGTAAGATCTTAGCACACTGCAACCTCTGCCTCTTGGGTTCAAGCAATTTTCCTGCCTCTGCCTCCCAAGTAGCTGGGATTACAGGCGCCCACCATCACACCTGGCTAATTTTTTGTATTTTTAGTAGAGATGGGGTTTCACCATGTTGGCCAGGCTGGTCTTGAACTTCTGACCTCAAGTGATCCATCCACCTCAGCCTCCCAAAGTGCTGGGATTACAGACGTGAGCCTCTGCGCATGACTGGCTTCTCTCATTGAGCATAATGTTTTCAAGGTTCATCCATGGTAGCATGTATCAGTACTTCATTCCTTTCGGGGTTGAATAATATTCCATTGTGTGAATATACCATATTTGGTTTATCTGTTCATCAGCTGATGGATATTTGGGCTGTTTTCACTTCTTGGCTATTATAAATAATGCTTTTCTGAACATCTGTGTATAAGTTTTTCATATGTTTATGTATATTTTCACTTCTCTAGGGTATAAGATTAGACCACTGGGTCATATGGTCACTCTATGTTTAATTGTTTGTGGAACTGCTAAACTGTTTGCCAAAGCATGTACCCAGCATTCTTTTTTACTTATTACTTTTTTAGAGATGAGGTCTTACTATATTGTCCAGGCTGATCTCAAACTTCTGGGCTCAAGTAATCCTCCTGTGTTGGCCCAACATTTTTTATAGGCATTTTGGGAGACACAAAAGTGAAGCTAATCCCTCACCCCAAAGAGCATACAAGTTAGAGTAGACGGGAGATGAAATTAACATGTATACATTTGAAATATAAGCATAGTACAGCTAATAATGAAGGGCTAATCTGTGTATCTCCAAATTAAAAGTACATCTACACTCATATGCTCTGAGAGCTAGAAGGGAAGAGAAGAGGAGGGAATGACAAATATGCAGTAGTTAGGGGTGTGCCCTCAAAACCTCCATTTCCACGATCTTCTTCAACAAGACCAGGATGGGACCACTCAGGACAAGGGAAGAGCAACTGCTTGAGATTCTGGAAAGCCTGCCCAGTGGCAGGGAGGGGATGTTCTCTGACTGCTTTGTTTTACATGATATTTTTAGATAAAAATCTGATATGGTAGGCTAACCATCTGTAGAACCTATGTTTTAGATGTTTCTTCCAAAAGTGAACTTAAACATGAGTTAGAGCTACTTCTATTCTCTGAACTGGTGTCCTTGTGATAGATGGTACAAATTTGCTGACTAATTTGTTGAAGTTACAGTTAAAATATGTGACCAGGAGCAGACAGAAAGCAATGACTCTATAGAGGAAATGGACAATGAACTGTGCGTTCTAAGCTATAGGAAGAATATCTTGGAGTATCTTCTATTTTATGCCAAAATGACATTGTTGCATTAGTATTCTGCCTCTCTTCTTCCTTCAGTGGGCTTCTTAATGGATGGAGTCAAATAGTTTTCATTTTCTACCCATTTATCTTTCAGAGACCATATAAATGATAGGATAGACATTATTCCCACTGACTTATTCTGAAATACTTCTTAAATAAAACTAGCATCACCTTTTGTCCATGTCATTTTGATATTTGCAGGTGACTTGTTACTCTGGAAATTCCATAACTTCTCCTCTCAGTATCCAGACCTCATTGCCCTTCAGTCATCACTGATAACTGTGGAAGACTGCTCACCATACACTCTCACCTGACAATGCTCACCCAATCTGTCCTTCGCAAGGAGATTTGTTCTGGGCTCTACACACCCTCTTTTCTGAGCTTCCTCACCTTCTTGCAAGGCTGACATTAATTCTGAATTTTAAGCAAGAAAATACGGGGAGTGAGGGAGAAGAAGCCTTTTCTGTTTGTGCACTAAAAAGCATGTTCTGTTTCCCTCTTTGAAGGAGGAGGGACTTGATAATGGACTGGTTCCCTCCACTTGTTAAAATTCTCATCTTTTAGTATAGAAAAAAACCAAATTGCATGGTAAAGCTGTCTTTATTTTCTCCATGACTAAACACTGCATTTCTCAGCACTTAACAAGTCATTGTTCTGAAAAATTGGTTTCAGATCAGACCCTGCTTCCTAATGAGGCAGTGACTTAGTTCGTAATACTTTTTTTTTTTTTCTGGACTCTAAACAGTAGCAGGCAGGAAAAAGGGAACAAAAGATGGATGGGAAATAAAATTGCACCATTGCCCCTTTCCAGTGGGGTCTGTCTGTGAGTAATAAAGCGTTGATCGAAGAGCCGGGTCTTTGATTGGAATTCTATGAATCAGCAAGTACTAATTAAACAGCTACTGCATGACCAGCTTTGGGCATTGTTGGTTGAGGGCCCAAGGAAAAGGAGGGTTGCTGCAATCTAATTTGGGAGGCAAGATTTTAATCTTGCTATTTCTGGGCTTCCTGTCTCTATCACATCAAGTCTGAATCTTTCCTTTTTCTTGGAGGATCTTCCAAAAGCTGTGATTCACCTGCTCTTACAACTTTACTTGCCATTTTATTCCCCAAAAGGAACTCTTCTTAAATCTGTCTGGTCTCATGCGCCATTTTCATTGGCTTCATTCACTGCTTTCCCATCTCCCTTATTCCAAACCCAAAACTTCCACCTTTCAGAGTCTAATTCAAGTTCCATTTTTTTTGAAGTTTCTCAATTGCTGTAGAATTTACTGATCATTTTACTTGATTTCTTCAACTTTAGAGCACAAATCTATGTTAAATAATTTGATTCTTGCTTATAAATTATTCTGTATTTTTCACTAACTTCAAGTGTTCCATGAAATTTTCCTTCAGAGTTGAGAAATATATTGTTTCTCTCAGAGTACTTTTTAAGCATCCTTCCATCAAATCAACAATATGTATTAAGTGCTTATTTTGCACCAGCACAGTTCCAAGGCACTGGAGAGATACAACAAGATGAGACAAAGCTCCTGCCCACATGGAATTATACTCTAGAGAGAGAGGCAGACAATAAACAGACCAAACAAATAGATGATCTAATACCAGAGACTGGTAAGTGATGAGCACAGTCTTGAATACATGTACATTCTTATCTTAAGAAATCACTGTTTGGAGAACAAGTGCAGACTAATTAGAGAATAATATAATTAACAACCTCGTGCAAATTATTTGTGCACTTTACAGTTGATCTATGGTATCATCTCGGGTGCTTAACTTTGCGATGCTTCAGTTTCTTCATTTCTAAATTGTCTATCATGTTACTGGTTCCCCAAACCATCAACCCAGCTACTGGGAAGCTGCACCACATCATGGCTATAGGCAGTGCTGCTTCTTGAAGAGAATCTTCATGCTCATGTTCCCTGATGCATAAGTACAGAATCACATCAAAAACAATATTACCCCCTCCCACACTCCAACGATCACACTTAGTTACTTGCATAATTTTCTGGTCTTTCAATTGTTCGAAACCAAGCCTCTAATAATTATTCTCAGTTTTGATTCATATTGAATTAAAGGGACTTTAGAATCACCTAATCCATGACCTCACATTACAGGTGGAGAAATCAAGGCCAAAAATATAGAGGCCAATAAGTTACTGTAATCGTATTTGGGCATGACATATCTGATCGTAGCTCACTGCAGCCTAGACCTCCCAGGCTGCAAGTCGAGGCTGCAGTGAGCTACAGTTGGGAATGTCATGCCCGAATACAATATAGTAACTTGTTCGCAAAATCAGGACTAAAGCCTAGACTGCTGATACTCCCCTCCACCCCCAGCTATAATTTCATTATTTCGTTCCATCTAATCTGGAATGGCTTTCTTTGACCCTTACAGGCTGCCAAGGCGGATATTAGAGCTTATTGTATTCTCTGCTGTGGGACTATTTCCCCAGCAAATACTAAGCTCTGAAAGCCCACCTGCTTATGGCCCTGTCCCTGCTGTATACTGTACTGCCTGGCACATTGGTGCACCCAGTAAATTTTGGTTGAATGATGGCATTATTAGTGAATAATTTAAGTGCATCTTACTTTTGCAAGAAATCCATTTCTAAAGAGTGATGTGTGAAATGAATGTTAGTAAATAGAATATGACTTTCTTCTTTTTTTTTTCCCATTCAGAAAAGATGACTATATTTATTTTGGATTTGCCTTTGATTGGCAGTAGTTCCTTGCATTTTATGCTTTATGTTTCTTCCCCCGTTCAGGGACTTTGTAAAGCAGTTCATAGTGTGTAAACCGACACTCGAGTATACTAAAGGAACAACTATTTAAGCTCACTGTGATTAACTTTTCGTATATTGAAGAATAGTTTATTCTGTCTGTTTCCTCAACCTATTATAGATCTACTTACCACTCCTGGATTTCACATGTTGATTTTTCTCATTCCATGTTGGAATGTTAAGAACCGAAACCAAGTTTGGAGTGGTCCTAGAGTGAGGACAAAGCATAAGCAACATCATAGAACAGTCAGTGTTGTAAAAGACTAGCAAGTGAGGCTGGGCACGGTGGCTCATGCCTGTAATCCCAGCACTTTGGGAGGCCAAGATGGGTGGGTGGCTTGAGCCCAGGATTTTGAGATCAGTCTGAGCAACCTGATGAAACCCCGTCTCTACAAAAAATGGAAAATAAATCAGTCAGGCATGGTGGTGTGCGCCTGTAGTTCCAGCTACTCAGGAGGCTGAGGCTGGAGGATAGCTTGAGCCTGGGAGGTCGAGGCTGCAGTGAACCATGATCACACGAATGCACTCAGCCTGGGCAACAGAGTGAGACCCTGACTCAAAAGAGAGAGAGAGAGAGAGAGAGAGAGAGAGAAAAAAGACTAGCAAGTGAGAAAAGACTAGGGGGTAGACTGAGAGACTGAGATGTGTTGTACAGTCTTGAGTGTCAGGATGGGGAAACTGCATTTAACTTGGTACATCTTTGAAGATTTGATTCATTCAAACCTCTTAGCTATAATCTAGCCAAATTCCTTACCCAATACGTTGAAAATTCCCCCTTTGAAGGGTTTTTAGCAGAGCTTTTCACGTTCTTCTTGATCTGCCCTTGACTTGTCATTCTGGCCTCATTCCTTATATATCCACCAACTGAAATGATGAGCTTCTTCTAGTTTACTGAGCACTCCTTGTTCTATTGCCTCTGGATCTTCACCTCCCCTCATAGCTCTGTATTGATGGTGAACTCTAACTCATTTGTATTTGTAAACATTGTCATCCTGCATTTATTCATTCATTTAGCAAATCATTTGAGTGCTGACTATGTGCAGTGTGTGGTGTACATGACTTAAGGAAATTTAGTAATAAACAAAATCTTCCCAAATAAAAATTTGACTTTGGCTTAAATAAATGTGTACATAAGTATTACTTCTTCTTCTTCTTTTCTTTTTTTGAGTTGGAGTTTTGCTCTGTTGCCCAGGCTGGAGTGCAATGGCGTGATTTCAGCTCACTGCAACCTCTGCCTCCTGGGTTTAAGAAATTCTCCTGCCTCAACCTCCCTAGTAGCTGGGACCACAGGCACCTCCTACCACACCCAGCTAATTTTTGCATTTTTAGTAGAGATGGGTTTCACCATATTGGTCAGGCTGGTCTCAAACTCCTGATCTCAAGTGATCCACTTGTCTCAGCCTCCCAAAGAAGTGGGATTATAGGTGTGAGCCACTGCACCCAGCCTCTTTTTAAAATTTTATTTCAATGGCTTTTGGGGAACAGGTGGTTTTTGGTTACATAGATAAGTTCTTTAGCAGTTATTTCTGAGATTTCGATGCACCCAGCAGTATTACTTCTTATTAAAATAAGAAATGAATGTACACTTGGAATGAAGAGGGAGTTTTTGGTGTAGTGGGTAAGGGATTTGGCTAGATGACATCTAAGGGGTCTGAATAATCTGAGTCACAATTCTATAACACATTTCATAAATGAAACATTGAACTCTAACTTACTCTTAAGGTTTCACATATCATTTCTACCAGGAGCCTTTCCTGTCCCCCACCAACTGAGTTGGACACTGGTCCTGCTCACTCCTTCCCCTTGGTGACCCTGTCATACCACCTATCACTCTGAGTTCTGATTGCTTGCTGAAATGTCTGTATCCATCTCCAGATAGTAAGCTCCTTGGGAAGGGACTCTGACATGTTCACCACTGTATTCCCATTGCCTGGCACACAATGGCATGAGTATTTGATGCATGAATAAAGGAAATAATGAGCAAATAAATGCATGGGTGGAATGAAGTAATTGGTGCTGCTCTTTAGGAATATAACTGGAAAGAGAGAGAGAGAGAGTAGGTGGTGGTTCTGATAGTAATCCAGGTAAAATAGGAAGGGGCTTAAACCAGGTAACAGAAAGAGTACAAACAGGGCTCAGACAAAATATGAGGAAATTTAGTGACTGATTGAATATACAGAGTGAGGAATGAGGAATGGTCTAAACATGGAGGTTTTGAGTTTATAAGAATGGTGGCAAGGTGCATGGAAACAGGGAAGTCAGAACGAGAAGGTTTGGGGTGGTTAGTGGTAGGGGGAAATGAGTTTGGCTTTAGACATGTTTTTTTAGGATGCTACAGGATACCAGAGTCATGCATGTTTAATATCATCTACTAAAGATAATTTTATGGTTCATTTTCCTGATTCATGAAAATGTATCAGAATTGAGTTACTCATGTTTGAATGGCAGATCTGGCCTCTTTTTCATCCTCACTGTTAATCCTTGGATTGTTTGAAAGATCCTACCTTCTTTCCTTAATGTGGATATCTGGCTTGCTTGGGAAAGTCAGCTGTTTTTTTGCACTTCAATTCAGGCAAGATCTTGTATGCCCAGGAAATTAATGTTTTGAGCCCATTTCCGTGAGATTCCTCTCAAATGCCACGGCAAGGGAAAGTAATCTAGGACAGTCCCTATAACTCATGATACTACCTTCTCTGCTTGCATCGTGGGTCACACATGCACTGACTCTGCAAAGGTGGAATGCTTTGGTCATGGCAAAGCCACTGCCAGGTCAGATGGCAAAAGAAATGTCCTCTCATAAGGTTACTCTCAGGGTTAACATAAGAAAAGAGTGACGCAGAGGAAGTTTGTCTTTGGCATTTTTGTTTGTTGCTGCTCTTCTCATCCTTTTTTACTAGACCCTCCCCACTTTACACTCTTCCCAGTGTCTGATCTAGGCAGGAATCTTCCCTTGACATCCTGGGCCATTTGAAAAGAATAAGATAATGCCATTCAAACTTAGGTGTTAGGCTGGGCACAGTGGCTCACGCCTATAATCCTAGCACTTTGGGAGGCCAAGGTGGGCAGATTGCTTGAGTTCAGGAGTTTGAGACCAGCCTGGCCAACATGGTGAAACCCCGCCTCTACTAAAAATACAAAAATTAGCCGGGTGTGGTGGTGCATGTCTGTAATCCCAGCTACTCAGGGGACTAAGGCAGGAGAATCACTTGAACCTAGGAGGTGGAGGTTGCAGTGAGCTGAGATTGCGCCACTGAGCTCCAGCCTGGGTGACAGAGCAAGACTGTCTCAAGAAAAAAAAACACAAAAAACTTAGGTATTAATGTTAAACCTAATTTATTTTACTTAGTTATCTGTGGTAGACCTATTTTTTTTTTTTTCTTAGAGACAGGTTCTCACCCTGTCACCCAGGCTGGGGTGTAGTGGCATGATCATAGCTCACTGGAGGCTTGAACTCCTGGGATCAAACGATCCTCCTGTCTCAGCTTCCCAAGTAGTTGGGATTACAGGCACAAGCCACTGTGGGCAGTGGTATTCCTATTTTAATAAGGATAAGTTTCTTTGTAATATCTGAGGATGCTGGAAAATTTGTTGGCCCCATGGTATGGCTTCTGAAGGCAAAGGGAGAAGCCCGGGGGTCTGCTCCTTGTACTATTATGGACAGACATTGTACTTGGACAAACTGAATGAACACAGCCTCAGTTTCTTTGTCTATGAAACAGGCGGTTAAACTTAATCAGTGGTTTTCAGCTATATCTGACTCAGGGTCATCTCTTTTATTTGAAACTCCCTTGTTACTATCCTGAAATGAAATTCAGAGATGATATGTTACTTATATAAATAATTAAAAAATCAATATAGTATCTTAACTGTAACATAAAAAGAAATAAGTGGATTTTCTATAAAACAGTATGTATTCCAGTATGCAAATGCTAAGGCCCACCTACACCAAAGATATACTAAAATAGTTGGATGCTTGCAGCTGTATGTGGAATCACCATGACTGTGATAGCTACAAATGCTACCCCCATGAGTGTGTAATATTAGCCTTCGTTTATTATTTTTATTGACCATCAAATACAACTATAGTAGCATTGCTGTCAGTGATGTGATTTTCCAAAATGATGAACAATTCTCGGTAAGGTTCCAAACAAAATAAAGTATAATCTTCCCTTCTTTGTTGCTCTCCTAAAAAAAAAAAAAACTGTGCAAAAAAACCCCCCAAAAACCAAACAAACAAAAACAAATCACATGCTTATATGTTCTAGGCTCAGGTAATTGCAAATATGTTTATCACCCATGTGATTGACAGACTGGCATTTGGAAAGTCAAAGTGGAAGTGAGATTGTTCAATGTGGGCGGGACTCTTCTCCACATTGCAGTGTCCAGCATCCCTCGTCACCTCCACTAAATGCTAGGAGATTCTCTCCAAATTATTGGGAGTGCAACAAAAACTCCCACCACAATTTATAAAATGTTCCATGGGAGGGAGGCACTACTATTTCCCTCGAGAATTACGGAATTAAATGATATTTTAAGTCTGTAGAGGCACTGCCAAGGGCAGATCCAGTTATTGTGGGCTCCAAAGCTTATTCCGTTTGGGAGCCCTCTCTTTAAACAAAGAATCAAAATTATAAATACAGTATTAGGTATGAACATGAGCATTTATCTATAATGGGAACAGAAATTGCAACAAAATACACAATCTTAAAAAACTGATGAATACCATAAACATCACAAACACCTACTACAGGGGTGTCCAATCTTTTGGCTTCCCTGGGCCACATTGGAAGAACAAGAATTATCTTGGGCCACACATAAAATACACTAACACTACTGATAGCTGATGAGATAAAAAAAAAATCACAAAAAAATCTCATAACGTTTTAAGAAAGTCTGTCAATTTGTATTGGGCTGTATTCAAACCTGTCCTGGGCCACATGCAGCCCGTGGGCCACAATTGGACAAACTTGACCTAGTATTTTAAAAAATCAGTTGACTTGGGAGGCCGAGGCGGGTGGATCACGAGGTCAGGAGATCGAGACCATCCTGGCTAACACGGTGAAACCCCATCTCTACTAAAAATACAAAAAATTAGCCGGGCATGGTGGTGGGCACCTGTAGTCCCAGCTACTCTGGAGGCTGGGGCAGGAGAATGGCGTGAACCCGGGAGGCGGAGTTTGCAGTGAGCCGAGATCGTGCCTCTGCACTCCAGCCTGGGTGACAGAGTGAGACTCTGTCTCAAAAAAAATAAAAAATAAAATAAAAAAATCAGTTGACTTGGGCCAGGCATGGTGGCTCACATCTATAGTCTCAGCACTTTGGGAGGCTGAGGCAGGAGAATTGCTTGAGCCCAGGAGTTAGAGACCAGCCTAGGCAACATAGTGAGACCCTGTCTCTACAAAAAATAAAAAAATTAACCAGGCATGGTGGTATGCGTCTGTTGTCCCAGCTACTTGAGAGGCTAAGGCGGGAGGATTGCTTGAGCCTGGGAGGTTGAGGCTGCAGTGAGCTGTAATTGCACCACTGCATTCCAGCCTGGGTGACAGAGTGAGACCCTATCTCAGAAAAAATAAATAAATAGAATAAAAACAAAAATTAAAAAAAAAATAAAGAAGTGAAAACAAAAACTTAACTCTATACAAAAGTGACTGTGAGCTATATAAATATTTCCCACTGAAGCAAAACTAAATGTATCTACAATTCGACTTCCTCTTATCCAGATTCCAAAAATGACTTCTATTCTAATGGTACTCAACCCTAGATGTGTGATGGAAGGGAAGTCAGAGTGGAAAGACAAAATTCTTAACAATGTTGGTTGAAAACACTTTATGTTTGCAAATTACCTGTTTTAATGTGTGTGTGTGAGTGTGTGTGTGTGTGTCTGTGTGTTGGAATTGTGAGTATAAGTGTATTTCTATATGAATACATTGTGGAGAGGAGAGACCCTTCCAGGGCTTTGAAAGGGGCCTGTGCAAGCTTAAGTTCCAATAGCTTCATGGTGAATTGGACACTGTCTAATACTCTATAATTCTATGAATTAATCCCTAATGTTGAGGATGAGAGGAGTTGGGGTGGGAGCCTTCCCAAATCCTCTAACATTATATAACACATAGCACTTCCTCTATTTCTAATAAGGCAGGATTTTCTCCTCTAATTATATGTCCTGTTGCATTTTTTTTTCTTGTGATGCCAAATTCTGGGTGATAAGCCACTTAAAAATTGTAAACAAATTTTTACTACTGGAAAAATAATAAATTCACATATTTTAGAGATTCAAGTAAGGCTGATAAAAATCAGCAGTCCCATGGCCTCTCCCAATCCAACAGTCAACCACTTTCATCCAACTTTTTAAGATTATTTCAGGTTTTAAAAATATTTTAAAAATTATTTATATACTATGGTCTCTCAGGTCATTATTTTAGACATTATTGCCTCTATCATAACCTATGCAAAATTTAGCTTTCAGCTTTATTGTTTTCTTTCCTGGAGCCATCCCTTCTGGAGCCTCCTACTGCTCCCTTCGGATCTGGACCCATCATTCTCCAGGACTCTCGTATGGTTGTTTTCCTAGGGCTTCCCTTTGCCAGCACCCTGAGGTATTGAGAAAGTCCTTTCATCTCTGTCCTGTGTAGTATTTCTGATTCCTGGCTCTCATATTCTTCTTTTTTTCTTGGTTTACTCTTCTATTTTGATGAAATATATCTTACAGTAGCTTTCTGAAAAAGAATATATAGGAGGCAAGTCTTTAGAAACTGCAAATTTAAAAAAAACCTATATATTTTTCACTCTTAGGTCAAAAGTAATTTCCCATCACATCAGAATTCCGAAGGCATTGTTCCAATGTTTTCCATCTTCAGTCTTGCTGATAAGTCAAATACAATTTGACTTCCACTTCTTTGTAGGTAACCTGTTTCTTCTCTTTGGGTGTTTTCAGCATTTTTTTTTTTTTTGAGACAGAGTCTCACTCTGTCACCCAAGCTGGAGTGCAGTGGCGTGACCTCCGCTCACTGCAACCTCTACCTCTCCGTTGAAATAATTCTCATGCCTCAGCCTCTGAGCAGCTGAGATTACAGGTGTGTACCACCATGCCCACCTAATTTTTAAATTTTTTTAGTAGAGACAGGGTTTTGCCATATTGCCCAGTCTGGTCTTGAACTCCTGGCCTCAAGCGATCTGCCAGTCTTGGCCTCCCAAAGTGCTGGGAATACAGGCATGAGCCACTGCACCTGGCCTGGATGTTTTTAGGATCTTTCATTTAACCCTGGTATTCTGAAAATTTATAATAATTTGCCCAGTGTGTGTTGTTTTTTAGTCACTGGGTTGGACACTTGGTGGGTGGACTTTTTTAGTCTGGAGGATCATGTCCCTTGGATTTGGGAAATTTTCGTCCATTTTTTTAAGTTTAAAAAATAATATTCTCCCTACTGTTTGCTTTGTTTTTGTGTTCTGGAACTATTATTTAGAAATTGGATTTCCTGGAATGTTTCTAATTTCTGTTTCTTTTTATTATTATTGTCAATTTTTTGGTCTTTTTTTGTTCTACTTCTACCTTTTAGGAAATTTTCATGGATTTAAAATTTTTATGTATTTTTAATTTTGAAGAACTTTTTTTCTTCTTAGATTATTACTCTAAAACTTTTATATAGTATCCTGCTATTATTTCAAGGATGAAATATCTTTATTATTTCTCTGAGTTCTTTTTTTTTTGAGACAGAGTCTTACTCTGTGGCCCAGGCTGGAGTGCAGTGGTGGGATCTCGGCTCACTGCAACCTCCTGGGTTCAAGCAATTCTCCTGCCTCAGCCCCCCGAGTAGCTGGGACCACAGGTGTGCACCACCATGCCCGGCTAATTTTTGTATTTTTAGTAGAGACGGGGTTTCACCATGTTGGCCAAACTGGTCTCGAACTTCCGGTCTCAGGTGATCTGCCCACCTCAGCCTCCCAGAGTGCTGGGATTACAGGCATGAGCCACTGTGCCTGGCCATTTCTCTGAGTTCTTTATTATTATTATTATTATTATTATTATTATTATTATTATTATACTTTAGGTTCTAGGGTACATGTGCACAACGTGCAGGTTTGTTACATATGTATACATGTGCCATGTTGGTGTGCTGCACCCATTAACTCATCATTTACATTAGGTATATCTCCTAATGCTATCCCTCCCCACTCTCCCCACCCTACAACAGGACCCGGTGGGTGATGTTCCCTGCCCTGTGTCCAAGTGTTCTCATTGTTCATTCCCATCTATGAGTGAGAACATGTGGTGTTTGGTTTTCTGTCCTTGCAATAGTTTGCTCAGAAT
This sequence comes from Homo sapiens, assembly GCF_000001405.40. NCBI lineage: Eukaryota > Metazoa > Chordata > Mammalia > Primates > Hominidae > Homo > Homo sapiens. Next base: position 53,441,026 of record NC_000003.12, read on the forward strand.
GATGGTTTCCAGCTTCACCCATGTCCCTGCAAAGGACATGAACTCATCCATTTTTATGGCTGCATAGTATTCCACAGTGTATATATGCCACATTTTCTTAATCCAGTCTATCACTGTTGGACATTTGGGATGGTTCCAAGTCTGCTATTGTGAATAGTGCTGCAATAAACATACAAGTGCATGTGTCTTTATAGTAGCATGATTTATAATCCTTTGGGTATATACCCAGTAATGGGATGGCTGGATCAAATGGTATTTCTAGTTCTAGATCCTTGAGGAATTGCCACACTGTCTTCCACAATGGTTGAACTAATTTACACTCCCACCAACCGTGTAAAAGTGTTCCTATTTCTCCACATCGTCTCCAGCACCTGTTGTTTCCTGACTTTTTAATGATCGCCATTCTAACTGGTGTGAGATGGTATCTCACTGTGGTTTTGATTTGCATTTCTCTGATGGCCAGTGATGATGAGCATTTTTTCATGTGTCTGTTGGTTGCATGGATGTCTTCTTTTGAGAAGTGTCTGTTCATATCCTTCGCTCACTTTTTGATGGGGTTGTTTGATTTTTTCTTGTAAATTTGTTTAAGTTCTTTTTAGATTCTGGATGTTAGCCCTTTGTCAGATGGGTAGATTGTAAAAATTTTCTCCCATTCTGTAGGTTGCCTGTTCACTCTGATGGTAGTTTCTTTTGCTGTGCAGAAGCTCTTTAGTTTAATTAGATCCCATTTGTCAATTTTGGCTTTTGTTGCCATTGCTTTGGTGTTTTAGTCATGAAGTCCTTGCCCACGCCTATGTCCTGAATGGTATTGCCTAGGTTTTTCTTGTAGGGTTTTTATGGTTTTTAGGTCTAACATTTAAGTCTTTAATCCATTTGAATTAATTTTTGTATAAGGTATAAGGAAGGGATCCAGTTTCAGCTTTCTATATGTTGCTAGCCAGTTTTCCCAACACCATTTATTAAATAGGTAATCCTTTCCCCATTTCTTGTTTCTGTCAGGTTTGTCAAAGATCAAATGGTTGTAGATGTGTGGTATTATTTCTGAGGGCTCTGTTCTATTCTCTTGGTCTATATCTCTGTTTTGGTACCAGTACCATGCTGTCTTGGTTACTGTAGCATTGTAGTATAGTCTGAAGTCAGGTAGCGTGATGCCTCCAGCTTTGTTCTTTTGGCTTAGGATTGTCTTGGCAATGTGGTCTCTTTTTTGGTTCCATATGAACTTTAAAGTAGTTTTTTCCAATTCTCTGAAGAAAGTCATTGGTAGCTTGATGGGGATGGCATTGAATCTATAAATTACCTTGGGGAGTATGGCCATTTTCACGAATTGATTCTTCCTATCCAAGAGCATGGAATGTTCATCCATTTGTTTGTGTCCTCTTTTATTGTGTTGAGCAGTGGTTTGTAGTTCTCCTTGAAGAGGTCCTTCACATCCCTTGTAAGTTGGATTCCTAGGTATTTTATTCTCTTTGAAGCAATTGTGAGTGGGAGTTCACTCATGATTTGGCTCTCTGTTTGTCTGTTATTGGCGTATAGGAATGCTTGTGATTTTTGCACATTGATTTTGTATCCTGAGACTTTGCTGAAGTTGCTTATCAGCTTAAGGAGATTTTGGGCTGAGACGATGGGGTTTTCTAAATATACAATCACGTCACCTGCAAACAGGGACAATTTCACTTCCTCTTTTCCTAATTGAATACCCTTTATTTCTTTCTCCTGCCTGATTGCCCCGACCAGAACTTCCAACACTATGTTGAATAGGAGTGGTGAGAGAGGGCATCCCTGTCTTGTGCCAGTTTTCTAAGGGAATGCTTCCAGTTTTTGTCCATTCAATATGATATTGGCTGTGGGTTTGTCATAAATAGCTCTTATTATTTTGAGATACATCCCATCAATACCTAGTTTATTGAGAGTTTTTAGCATGAAGTGTGTTGAATTTTGTTGAAAGCCTTTTCTGCATCTATTGAGATAATCATGTGGTTTTTTATCTTTGGTTCTGTTTATATCATGGATTACATTTAATGATTTGCATATGTTGAACCAGCCTTGCATCCTGGGGAAGAAGCCAATTTGATCGTGGTGGATAAGCTTTTTGATGTGCGCTGGATTCAGTTTGCCAGTATTTTATTGAGGATTTTTGCATCGATGTTCATCAGGGATATTGGTCTAAAATTCTCTTTTTTTTGTTGTGTCTTTGCCAGGCTTTGGTATCAGGATGATGCTGGCCTCATAAAATGAGTTAGGGAGGATTCACTCTTTTTCTATTGATTGGAATAGTTTCAGAAGGAATGGTACCAGCTGCTTTTTGTACCTCTGGTAGAATTCGGCTGTGAATCTGTCTGATCCTGGACTTTTTTTGGTTGGTAGGCCATTAATTATTGCCTCAATTTCAGAGTCTGTTATTGGTCTATTCAGGGATTCAACTTCTTCCCGGTTTAGTCTTGGGAGGGTGTATGTGTCCAGGAATTTATCCATTTCTTCTAGATATGCTAGTTTATTTGCATAGAGGTGTTTATAGTATTCTCTGATGGTAGTTTGTATTTCTGTGGAATCGGTGGTAATATCCCCTTTATCATTTTTTATTGCGTCTATTTGATTCTGCTCTCTTTTCTTCTTTATTAGTCTTGCTAACAGTCTATCAATTTTGTTGATCTTTTCAAAAAACCAACTCCTGGATTAACTGATTTTTTGAAGGGTTTTTTGTGTCTCTATCTCCTTCAGTTCTGCTCTGATCTTAGTTATTTCTTGCCTTCTGCTAGCTTTTGAATGTGTTTGCTCTCGCTTCTCTAGTACTTTTAATTGTGATGTTAGGGTGTCAATTTTAGATCTTTCCTGCTCTCTCTTGTGAGCATTTAGTGCTCTAAATTTCTCTCTATACACTGCTTTAAATGTGTCCCAGAGATTCTGTTATGTTGTGTCTTTGTTCTCCTGGTTTCAAAGAACATCTTTATATCTGCCTTCATTTTGGTATGTACCCAGGAGTCATTCAGGAGCAGGTTGTTCGGTTTCCATGTAGTTGAGTGGTTTTGAGTGAGTTTCTTAATCCTGAGTTGTAGTTTGATTGCACTGTGGTCTGAGAGACAGTTTGTTATAATTTCTGTTCTTTTACATTTGCTGAGGAGTGCTTTACTTCCAACTATGTGGTCAATTTTGGAATAAGTGTGATGTGGTGCTGAGAAGAATGTATATTCTGTTGATTTGGGGTGGAGAGTTCTGTTGATGTCTATTAGGTCTGCTTGTTGCAGAGCTGAGTTCAGGTCTTGGATACCCTTGTTAACCTTCTGTCTCATTGATCTGTCTAATATGGACAGTGGGGTGTTAAGGTCTCCTGTAATTATTGTGTGGGAGTCTAAATCTCTTTGTAGGTCTCTAAGGACTTGCTTTATGAATCTGGGTGCTCCTGTATTGGGTGCATATGTATTTAGGATAGTTAGCTCTTCTTGTTGAATTGATCCCTTTACCGTTATGTAATGGCCATCTTTGTCTCTTTTCATTTTTGTTGGTTTAAAGTCTGTTTTATCAGAGACTAGGATTGCAACCCCTGCTTTTTTTTGCTTTCCATTTGCTTGGTAGTTCTTCCTCCATCCCTTTATTTTGAGCCTATGTGCATCTTTGCATGTGAGATGGGTCTCCTGAATACAGCACACTGATGGGTCTTGACTCTTTATCCAATTTGCCAGTCTGTGTCTTTTAATTGGGGCATTTAGCCCATTTATATTTAAGGTTAATATTGTGATGTCTGAATTTGATCCTGTCATTATGATATTAGTTGGTTATTTTGCTTGTTAGTTGATGCAGTTTCTTCCTAGAATTGATGGTCTTTACAATTTGGCATGTTTTTGCAGTGGCTTGTACAGGTTGTTCCTTTCCATGTTTAGTGCTTCCTTCAGGAGCTCTTGTAAGGCAGGCCTGGTGGTGACAAAATCTCTCAGCATTTGCTTGTCTGTTAAGGATTTTATTTCTCCTTCACTTATGAAGCTTAGTTTGGCTGGATATGAAATTCTGGGTTGAAAATTCTTTTCTTTAAGAATGCTGAATATTGGCCCCCACTCTCTTCTGGCTTGTAGAGTTTCTGCCGAGAGATCCACTGTTAGTCTGATGGGCTTCCCTTTGTGGGTAACCCGACCCTCCTCTCTGGCTGCCCTTAATATTTTTTCCTTCATTTCAACTTTGGTGAATCTGATAATTATGTGTCTTGGGGTTGCTCTTCTCAAGGAGTATCTTTGTGGCGTTCTCTGTATTTCCTGAATTTGAATGTTTACCTGCCTTGCTAGGTTGGGGAAGTTCTCCTGGATAATATCCTGAAGAGTGTTTTCCAACTTGGGTCCCTTCTCCCTGTCACTTTCAGGTACACTAATTAGACTTAGATTTGGTCTTTTCACATAGTCCCATATTTCTTGAAGGCTTTGTTCATTTCTTTTTACTCTTTTTTCTCTAAACTTCTCTTCTCGCTTCATTTCATTCATTTGATATTCAGTCACTGATACCCTTTCTTCCACTTGATCGAATCGGCTACTGAAGCTTGTGCATGTGTCACGTAGTTCTCGTGCCGTGGTTTTCAGCTCCATGAGGTCATTTAAGGTCTTCTCTATGCTGTTTATTCTAGTCAGCCATTCGTCTAATCTTTTTTCAAGGTTTTTAGCTTCTTTGCAATGGGTTTGAACATCCTCCTTTAGCTTGGAGAAGTTTGTTATTGCTGATTGTCTGAAGCCTTCTTCTCTCAACTCGTCAAAGTCATTCTCCGTCCAGCTTTTTTCTGTTGCTGGAGAGGAGCTGCGTTCCTTTGGAGGAGAAGAGGCACTCTGATTTTTAGAATTTTCAGCTTTTCTGCTCTGGTTTCTCCCCATCTTTGTGGTTTTATCTACCTTTGGTCTTTGATGTTGGTGACGTACAGATGGGGTTTTGGTGTGGATGTCCTTTCTGTTTGTTAGTTTTCCTTCTAACAGTCAGGACCCTCAGCTGCAGGTCTGCTGGAGTTTGCTGGAGGTCCATTCCAGACCCTGTTTGCCTGGGTATCACCAGCAGAGGCTGCAGAACAGCAACTATTGCAGAACAGCAAATGTTGCTGCCTGATCCTTCCTCTGGAAGCTTCGTCTCAGAGGGGCACCTGGCTGTATGAGGTGTCTGTCAGCCCTTACTGGGAGGTGTCTCTCAGTTAGGCTACCTTGGGGTCAGGGACCCACTTGACGAGGCAGTCTGTCTGTTCTCAGATCTCAAAATCTGTGCTGGGAGAACCACTACTCTCTTCAAAGCTGTCAGACGGGGACGTTTAAGTCTGCAGAAGTTTCTGCTGCCTTTTGTTCAGCTATGCCCTGCCCCCAGAGGTGGAGTCTACAGAGGCAGGCAGGCCTCCTTGAGCTGCAGTGGGCTCCACCCAGTTCGAGCTTCCTGGCCACTTTGTTTACCTACTCAAGCCTCAGCAATAGTGGACGCCCTTCCCCCAGCCTCACTGCTGCCTTGCAGTTCGATCTCAGACTGCTGTGCTAGCAGTGAGCGAGGCTCCGTGGGGGTGGGACCCTCTGAGCCATGTGCGGGATATAATCTCCTGGTGTGCTGTTTGCTAAGACCATTGGAAAAGCGCAGTATTAGGGGGTGGGAGTGTCCCGATTTTCCAGAAACCGTCTGTCACGGCTTCCCTTGGCTAGAAAATGTAGAAAAGGGAATTCCCCGACCCCTTGCACTTCCCGGGTGAGGTGATGCCTCACCCTGCTTCAGCTCACACTCTGTGGACTGCACCCACTGTCCGACAAGCCCCAATGCTGTCGGACAAGCCCCAGTGAGATTAACCTGGTACCTCAGCTGGAAATGCAGAAATCACCCATCTTCTGCATCACTCACGCTGGGAGCTGTAGACTGGAGGTGTTCCTATTTGGCCATGTTTCTCCAAAGCTCCATTTCTCTGAGTTCTGAGTGACTTTTCTTCTGCTCCTTGGGTTGTATCTGTTTTCTCTGAGTGTTTGTTTTGTTTTGTTTTGTTTCATTTATTTTATCCCACTATATTAGAAATATTTCTAATATTTCTCAAATGTCTCACATTTCTAATATTTGTCAAATGTCTGATGGTCTTAGGTTGTCTATTCATATTTAAGGATAAAGTCTAAAGAGCTGTTTGTGTATCTAAAATACATCTAGAATTCTTCCACTTCTCACCACCTTCATCTGTACTATCTTGGTCACAACCACCATCAACTCTTGCCTATATATTGCAATAATCTCCTAATTGATCTCCCTACTTCCATACCTATGCGTTACAGACTATTCTCAATAGAAGCTAAAATGTAAGTCATATTACATCACTTTTTTTTTTTTTTGAGACAAAGTCTCGTTCTGTGGCCCAGGCTGGAGTGCAGTGGGGTGATCTCAGCTCACTGCAACCTCTGCCTCCCAGGTTCAAGCGATTCTTCTGCCTCAGCCTCCCAAGTAGCTGGGATTCCAGGCACAGGCCAGCACACCCAGCTAATTTTTGTATTTTAGTGGAGACGGGGTTTTGCCACGTTGGCTAAGCTGGTCTTGTACTCCTGACTTCACGTGATCTGCCTGCCTTGGCCTGCCAAAGTGCTGGGATTACAGGTGTGAGCCACCATGCCCGGTCCATAAATATATTTTAAATGAATGAATGTGTATGTGCAGGACTTGTTCTCTGATAGGCTTAACAACAGGACAACTGGATTGGTGGATGGTTGGCTTTTTTTGTTTGAGATCCCCAAATATCAGCATCTTTAGGTCTTTGCCCATCTGCCATTCAGTTTCTCCAAGAAAGAAACTTACAGAATATTCTCCAGTCTATTCATCCACATTACATCCATATTACAGCCCATTCATGCAATCTCCCACTTGAGGTGTCTAAGAAGCCAACTGCCATCATCTTATAGCTATGCAGTGGAAAGGACTGAGGTTCTCATATTCAGTCTGCAGATTTTCCCTTATCTCCCAGTTTTCAGTTCTTTTCCTCAACAACTCTCTAGTCCCTAGGCTTATTGTCCTCTGATTTGGTCTTTTCTGATTCAATTTCTGTCTCCTGTGAGAAGGGGAGTCAGTTGAATATGCCAGGGGTTCGGATCCTGGGGGACTTACCTGCTGCCACTGGCATCCGTCTGGTACTTACATTTCTTGGTTTGATTCTTCCAGATTTTTTTTTGTTGTTTTTTGGAGAGACAGGGTTTTGCTCTGTTGTCCAGGCTGGAGTGCAGTGGTGTGATCATAGCTCACCACAGCCTCATATTCCTGGGCTGAATCTATCCTCCTGCCTCAGCCTCTCAAGTATCTGGGATTACAGGCATGTCCCACCATGCCTGGCTGATTCTTCTAGAATTCTTGAGGATGAATTAGCTTTTCTTTCACTGATATCTTCTTTTGTGTGTGCTCAGGTTTAACCTTTCTCTGTTCTGTTAAGTCATTTATCCTTTCTCTATCCATTTTCTGACTTTATATGGAGTTTCTCTTTGTTTTCTTCCTCATCTTGGAGAGAGTTTTGAGAGGAAAAGAATGCCATGTTGATACTGAAAATCCAAAAAAAAAAAAAAAAAAAATTCATCCAGATGTGTAACCTCTCTTTGGGGATAAGCTTAAAGTGTAACAATATTGATGACAAATGGAAAGTCTTATCAGAGGAAGCTTAATTCTGTACTAATGGGGAACATTAGGAAAAGGCTTCTAGACAACTCAAGTGTTAAATAGGATTGGAGGAGGACGAGGTGAGAGGTACCATCTACAGTCAATGATTCTGATAGTTCATACCTTTTGGCCCTGTAATTGCCGCTCTATGACTATGTCTTAAGGAATAACCAGAAACTTGGGCTAATAAATGTGCAATTGTGTTCATTGTTACTAGACATATGGTCTAAATTAGTGAAGCCATGGCAAAATAAAATATGATATACTCATTGATATATTAATATAGACTTTTTTTTTTTTTTTTTGCGACGGAGTCTCGCTCTGTCCCCCAGGCTGGAGTGCAGTGGCATAATCTCGGCTCACTGCAAGCTCCACTTCCCGGGTTCACACCATTCTCCTGCCTCAGCCTCCCGAGTAGCTGAGACTACAGGTGCCCACCACCACGCCCGGCTAATTTTTTGTATTATTAGTAGAGACGGGGTTTCACCCTGTTAGCCAGGATGGTCTTGATCTCCTGACCTCGTGATCCGCCTGCCTCGGCCTCCCAAAGTGCTGGGATTACAGGCGTGAGCCACTGCGCCCGGCCTAATATAGACATTAAAAGATATTTTTAAAGGTATTTTTTAAAAGTTAAAAAAGGTACTTTTTGACTGTTTAATGACATGAGAAAGTGTTCACAATCTATTAAATATATTAAATGATAAAACAAGATAAGTACATATTACTTTTATTGTAAGAAAGCTTTTTAAAGGCACAACTAAATTAGGGTGCCATTTAATTTATTTTCAACCATTTAAAAAGATTCCTAAAAGGTACACAAAGTGAGTGTTGTATAAACCAGAAGTACCAAATCATACCAAATTATGGTTTATAAATTAGTTTAAAAGAAAGCATTGGTTTCCTTTCTGAGGTACCCTTTTCTCCTATGGATAGGCATGAAAGGGAATAAAGCAGTCATACTCCTTTTCAAGGAAACCAATTACCTTTCCTTCAGACTGTTTGGTAAACTTATAAGCCTTCGCTTTCCAGCTTTCCAAAATAATCTTTGAATGTACTTTAAAAGAACAGCTTTTCCCAATAGTCTGCCAAGCTTTTAAAAAAAGAACTACTCTTGACCAAGTTTGGAAAAGTGCGTAAGTGTTCACTCCACATAAAACCAGTGTGTTCATTTCATAGAAAATTCCTCAGTATGTAAGACATTTTAGAGCATGCACATGGCCTGTGCTCTAATATTAGTTATTGATACTGAAAGCATTTTATTTAGGGAAAAATGATTTCCTTAGTGAAGATGTCAGTTTTTGTACCTAACCCCTTCACTACATAAAATGGATGTTGGGAAATGTCATGGCTCAGGAGATAAGCATCACCGTGAACCTTTGTGCTTAGCCTGCATTCATTTACTCGATTCACAGGGACAGAAACTGTATAGCTTCTAGGAGGGTACATCTAGCCTTTGGGCAAAGCAAGAGTTAGGATGATGAGCAAAAGTTAAATGAGGGTATGTGTCCTTATCTGTTTTCCTTGCTCTTATTCTTTGTGTTCTTTCTCTCCTCCCTGCCCCACCCCCAATTTCCATTGGAAATGGAGAGGATAAGTATTTATATTTGCTGTTCCACACTCACAAACACTCACAAACTGATACTGACTACACAATTATGCATTTCTACCCTTCATTTCTCATATGCATTTACTGAGCATTTTATTCTGTAAGGCATTATGTGAGACATGTGGCCTTAAGGAATTTATGATTGAGCTAATGATTCAAGGTAGTTCAGTCTATACCATGTATGGTATGGGTAGACAGGAAGGAAATCATTGTGGGCAGGTGTCATAGGGAATAGCTTTTGTTCTAGGCATTTAGCTTTCTGGAATGGGGGCTTTTTCTCTTGCGATAGTTTGAATTTCATTGTTACAGCTAGGCATTTTTATATATACCCTGAAGCTGTGTATATTGGACACAGGCTTAGGAAATAGCCTTCTCTGCCCAAGAAAGTTTGGAGTTGACGGTTGCAAATTTAAAGAGGTGAACTTTCCCTGGATTTCTACAGAATGAGAGGATTTGTTTGGTAGAAATGTTAGACACAGATACCTGAACTAAAAATAAAGAAGCTGGACTAGTTAAAAATAGGCTAATATTCTCAGTTTTTACATATTTCAAAAACTTTAGGTGTTTTTGTTGAGAAAATTTTACTGAGCAGAGTCAAATTTCTGAATCAGTAACTTTATTTTATTTTATATTTATTTATTTTTTGAAACAGGGTCTTGCTCTGTCACCCAAACTAGAGTTCAGTGGTTCAATTATGGCTCACTGCAGCCTTGACCTCCTAGGTTCAGGTGATCCTCCCACTTCAGCCTCATGAATAGCTGAGAATACAGGCGTGCACCACCAAGCCTGGCTAATTTTCTGTAGAGACGGGGTTTTGTCATGTTGCCAGGCTGGTCTCAAACTCCTGGACTCAAGCGATCCACAAGTGTTGGCCTCTCAAAGTGTTGGGATTATAGGCATGAGCCACTGTGCCCAGCCTGATTCAGTCACTTTAGAGCAAGCTTGTCCAAACCATGGCCTGTGGGCTGCATGCAGCCTAGGACAGCTTTGAATGTGGCCCAACACAAATTTATAAACTTTCTTACAACATTATGAGGTTTTTTGTGATTTTTTTTTGGCTCATCACCTGTCATTCATGTTAATGTATTTTATGTGTGGCTCAAGACAATTCTTCTTCTTCCAAAGTGGCCCCGAGAAGCCAAAAGATTGGACAGCCCTGCTTTAGAGCTTCCATATTTTAGACCTTTTAATTCTATGACTTGCTTTGGTGGATCTGATATCTCCTTAATAGTCTTAGATCCATGTGGCAGAAGTTGTAGTGTTTTCTGTTTATTGAAGAGAGAGGTCTGGGATGACAGTAGCATTTCTGTAGTTCCATTATTAAATCTTATTCACTAGTCTTTAAATATGAAACAAATCATCCTAGCACCCTACTGCAACACTCAGAGTTGTGGTGATGAATTCAGTATTGATGAATTAGTCTGTCTGGGACCTTCACAAGGGGATTTAATCATTGAAAGACACTTTACTCAACACTAAGCCGATAAAGAGTTTAATATTAATACATAGTGATTCCTCAACTCACAAATCTTTTGGGAGCAATGCTGTTATATATTTTATTCTATTAACTTATTTTTACAGATACAGGATCTCACTCTGTCACCCAGGCTGGAGTGCAGTGGCACAATCATAGCTCACTGCAACCTTGAACTTGTGGCCTCAAGTGATCCTCTCACCTCAGCCTCCCCAAGTGCTGGGATTACAGGTGTGAGCCACCACACCCATCCCTGTTATATATTTTAACATTTTTCATGTATATCATGTAAAGCAGTGATCTTTTTTAACAATTTGTTTGTGCAGCTACACAGGACCAATAAGCTACAGCTAAAAGCAAAGAGGGCCTATGTACCCCACTCTACAAGGGAAAAGAAAGGATATCTAGACATATTTCAGAATCCAGCTTAATCCCATGAAGCTTTGTCTGTCTACTGGACTACTCATTGCCTTCCCTTGGCTTTCAGATCTTACAGCCTCTGCACACAACTGTTCACTCCATTCATACCAACAACTGCTACAGCTATGTTTTGGTAACTGCTTCATGCCAGGCTCTGTACTAGGTACTAGGTGAGCGAAGCAGGCAGTGGTTTCTGCCCTCCTGGATGTTACAAAGCCATAGGAGAGGAGATAAACAAGTAACAATAAACAGTGCATTGAGTATTCTCCAGTGCATTGCATATAAACTTGCAACAGCTTTTATTTTTTCCCAGTGACTGCTTTCAACCCTGTTCACCCAATTTCTCATCTCTTAGTGAATGTTTGGCAGATCTATTAATATAACTTTCCAGTCAATTTGAGTGATTAAAATACAGTACAGACAAGCTTAAAATTCACCCTGACGTCTGATTCAAAGTGAACCCCTTCCTCACTACGTGCTGAACTTCTGTTCACCTAATCTGCAGAGATATCCTCAAGGATTCTGGTCATTCTCTTTTTCCCGGGAAAACATATAAGATAAAAGTTTGTGGGAAGAGATGCATCTCAGCTGCAGTTAGTCTCAAGGCTACAAGTGGTACTCAGCATTTTTTCTTTATACTCCCTCTAAATTCCTGTCACTCTTGGCTAGTATATCTACTGGCTTAGGTGTTAACCTTATGTGGTGAGGACTAAACCCCTGGTCATTCCTGAGATATCCAAGATCCAAGTCTACTGTACGTGTCCTTGTATCATCAAATCAGGCAGGGGAATACCAAGAGAAGTGCCAGTAGGTCACCCGGGTGCCACACACATTCTTCCCTGTCTCTTGTGTAGTGCAGCCCTACCTTCTGCTGATGAACAAGACCAGTGACCTCTGCCAGTATGGTAGTGCCTTTCTTTGCTTGCTTGGCTTTTGGAACAAGGAGCTCAAAGTAACTTACTTAAAGTATAATGGGACTCATGCATCCTCTGATAGAACTGCTACTCCTGTGAGAAATAGGATCTCAAGACATGCAGAGTCTGAAGTTTCAGGGAAAAGAAGCACAGATTCCCCTGGTGGGTCACTGGGGGTGATAGTAAAGTGAAGGCACTCCTGTTTTTTCACCCTTTGTTTCCCAGGCCTATGCATTCTACCTACTAGGGGCACAATACAACATAATGGTTATTGATTTAGGTGTAAACCGTGTGTATATCCTGTGAGTATCATCTCTAAGGTGACATCTAAGCTGCACCTGCAACAGGCTGTTCTATCACTCTATCAATGTAGCATCTTCTGGAGAGATGCAGAATATGAAATGACCAATGGATCTCATGGCCGTGTGCCACCCTGCTTCTCCTCCTTTGCTGTAAATGGGTCCCTTTCTCTAGTACAGTGTTGTGCAGGATCCTGTGCTGGTGGACTGAACGCTCCGTGGATAACATCTTGGATAATGGTACTGGCAAAGGCCTTGTAGGCATGAAAGACAAAGGTAAACTGTCAAATCCCAACAGGTGAATTGCTGCTCCTTTCAGGCGGAAGGGGTCCAATGTAATCAACTTAGTGTTTGGTCTCCCCAAGAAAAATGCTGTGTTGGGCCCTCGGATATGGTCTCTGTTGCTGGCAGGTTAGCTCTTTGCCAGTGGCAGCAGAAAGATCAGCCTCAGTGAATGAGAGCCCATGCCATTGGACCCATGCGTATCCTCCAGCCCTGCACCGTGGCTACTCCGTTCATGAGCCTATTGTGCTAGCACTAGGGTAGCCAGTGGCAGAGGCTGGCTGATGTCGACTGGCCACATCATGGTGTCTGCTTGGTTTTTAAATACCTTTTCTGTGGTGGATGCTATCTGGTGAACATTAATATATGATAGAAAAATCTTCACATCTTGTTTTTTTTTTTTTTTTTTTTTTTTTTTTTTAATGGAGTCTTGCTCTGTTGCCCAAGCTGGAGTGCAGTGGTATGATCTCAGCTCACTGCAACCTCCACCCCCCAGGTTCAAGCAATTCTCCTGCCTCAACCTCCTGAGTAGCAGGGATTGCAGGTGCCGGCCACCACACCTGGCTAGTTTTTGTATTTTTAGTAGAGATGGGGTTTCACCATGTTGCCCAGGCTGGTCTTGAACTCCTGACCTCAGGTGATCTGCCCGCCTCGGCCTCCCAAAGTGCTGGGATTACAGGCGTGAGCCATTGTGCCTGGCCCACATCTTGTGTTTCTTCCCATAGATCTATCCGTAGGCCTCTTCCCGAAACCTCCTTGTCCTTGATCATCCAAACTTTTTCCTTCCATGCCCCTGGTCAACCAGTCAAGCCATTCACTTGTGCCCATGAGTCTATGTATAGTCTTACTTCAGGCCACTTCTTCCACATAAAGTGGAGGACCAAGTGCAAAACACATAGCTGCTGTTGTTCAGTGTCACCCCAGAGTGCAGCAGCGGTGTATTATTGGCTTGTACCTGCATATGAAGTCACTCTATCCATGAACCACGTTCTGCCTTTTTTCCTCTTCTGTCAGCTGTTCACAGAGTTCTACCCAGCTGGCCAGATGCGTGAATTGAGGGAAAAGTGTCTGTGACACCATGGAGGACGTGGAGGTCTGCTTCATGCAGCTTCTTTGTGCCCTCTGTCCCTACTCATGCTCTGTCCTAGATGTACTATTTCAGTCTCATGATGGAGCTGTTGGGCCCATCCTATTTTATGACTTGCTGGGTCTGAGAGAACCCAGTTCATGATGCACAACTTTGGCCACGTGGTCACTTGATGCCTTGTGATCAGACATTCCATCTCTCTCACAACCCAGTAGCACACTAGAAGATGTGTTTTTAAAATGAAATAACTATCTGCTGCAGATGTCATGGTCTTTTTCTGGAACCCGTGGAATTTATGTTGTCATTCTCTTGCAGGAGTTTAACATAAACTCCCCATAGCATTTTCCCCCCAACAAATATACCTTGAGAATCATACATTCTGCTAGGTCAGATAATACAAGTTACAGAGTTGAATACATCATTGCTCGGACTTGGTATAGAGCCCTTTCCTACTCTGGACCCACTTAAAACTTGCATCCTTTAATGCCACTTAATAAATGAGTTTGAACAGTATTCTCAGATATAGAATATTCTGCATCCAGAGCTCAAAGATCTCCACTAGCTCTTATGCTTCCTTCTCTAAATGGAACTATCAAGTGGGCAGTTGACATACATTGTTAGAGTCAGAAGGGAGGTCTGGACTATAGATGTAAATTTGTGAGTTGCCAGTAGATTAATGATATTTAAAGCAATAGAGAAGTATATTAGTTTGGATTATAACTGATTGCATGTTTCAGAAAACCAAAAATAGCAGTGGTTTAAACAAGATATAATTTTTTCCCTCTCTACTGTAAGAGTCTGGGTGGATAGTCCAGTGCTAATATGGTAGCTTCTCAATCATCAGGAAATCAGGCTTCTTCCACCTTGTTGTCTGGGCACATAACCATCCTCATTATGCAGCTCCACTTCATGGTTCTGGAGGGCCACTCCAACTCCAGCTCTGGCTCCTCCATTGTATCTTCAACATACCTGCTTCTCCATGCAGCAGAATGGAGAAAAGAAAAGAAAAGAAGACCACGTCCCCACCTTCATTTAAAGGCGATTCCCAGGAGTTTCAGACACCACTTCCATTTATTTCTTGCTGTCAGAGCTTAATCACCTGGCCACATCTAACTGAAAACAAGGCTGGGAGATGCACAATTTTTTTTTCAGATAACAATGCAACTAGCTGCAAATGCGAAGTTCTCTTATTGTAGAAGGAGACAGAATAGATATTGGGAGTCACCTAGCAGTTTTCAGCTATAGATAGATTGAGAACACCTAGAAAGTAGAACTGAGGAAGAAAAAAGATCCAGGACTGAGTCTTGAGACAAACCAAGATTCAGAGATCAGGTAGAAGAGGAGGAAAATAAATGAGGGTTAAATGGAACAGGCAAAAAGAGAGATGGTAAACAAGCTGAGAATGTTATCTTGAAGTCAAGAAAGAAGAGCATTTTGATCACCTGCATCAACTGCTGCTTGGATGTTGACTAAGATGAGGACAGGAAAGTATCACGGGGCTTACCTCTGTGCAAGCCTTTGAGCAGGCTCGGTGTTGGGAAAAGAATTACTTTGGAGTGGGATGATGGGTAAATGGGAGAAAGTGAAAACAGGATGTGTAGACCAGTTTTTGTAGGTTCGTCTGTGAAAGAGGGCAGAGAAATAGGATGGTATTAAATTAGAATGTGGTTTCAAGGAAAAATTTTTTTTTTGCTTGAAGGTGTTTGTTTGTTTGTTTGGTTTTAGAATGTCAGTACTACAGTTTTTTTTAAAATGCTGCTGGAATAATCCACTAACAAAGGAGAGCCCAGTGATGGAGAATGGGAGGTAACCAATGGAACTTATGTGATGGGTCAATTAGAAAAGATACTTCCTCCACTCTAACTATAAAAATTAGGAAAATATGGGTTCAGCTGTGGAGAAGCTAGTGGATTTGGTCGTGGAGTGATGAAAGAACTCTCATCAGATGGCCTTTGGTTTCTCAACTTAGAAGGCAGGAGGGGTGAGAGTGAGGAAGAGGGACAAGAGATGGTGTGAGGGCAGGAGATGGTATGAAATATTCCTCTTACAGAACGTAAGGTCAGTATTAATGCAAAAATGTAATAGGATTTCCACAGTATTGAGAGCCCATTTAAGGACTGAGATCGTTAATTTAAATTGAAACCAGCCTGCATGTTTGTGGAGTTTCTTTAGTAACCTTCAGTTACTCGGGAAGACCTGATGAAGGAAGATGCCTAAATATATCTTAACAGGGTTGATGTTTTATAAGGGGAATACAAGAATGGAAGGAAGGAGGGGCAAGAATTGTGAGGCTTTGTAAAGAGGTAGTTATAAAAACGGAACATGGACTCCAAAGAGAATAAGGGAGGAAGGAGATAGAGATGTTGATAGATGTGAGGAAGTGCATTGTAGTTCCAAAGTGATATTGAAGAATTGCTGTAGTTGGGATTCTTGAGCCACAGAGCAAACAAATAGGAGGCTGGAGCTGGAGTTTGAAACTGAAAAAAAAAAAAAGAGAAGTGGTGTCTGTGTCTCTATGTGTGTGTGTGAGATAAGGTCCACAGTGTCATCATGAGGGTTGGTAGGTTGCTGCAATAGAGTGGGGGAAAGAGATATCTGAAATTAGAAGGAGGAGAGTTCAGTCCAGTCTTCTGTATTGTTTGTGGTTTGTTTCATGAAAGTGTATGTCTTCCCAACAAGACTCAAATCTCTTATAGTATTTGGCATCTGATACAGTGCTAAGCTGGTAGTGGAGATTCAATATATACATGAGAGGAAGAGCCTTATGATGTAACATATGGAAAGAAAAATGTGAAGTTCCAGACTGAAGAGCTAGAGCCATGTATACCTTTATACCTGTGAGCTGATATAATGTTATGAGGAAGCCAGAGAATCAGTAATGGAGAATAGATTTGCATTTTTTTTTTTTGAGATGGAGTCTTACTCTGTTGCCCAGGGTGGAGTGCAGCAGTGTGATCTCAGCTCACTGCAAACCCCTCCTCCTGGGTTCAAGTAATTCTCGTGCCTCTGCCTTCCAAGTAGCTGGGATTATAGGTGCATGGCACCGTGCCTGGCTAATTTTTGTATTTTTAGTAGAGATGGGGTTTCACCTGGCCTCAAACTCCTGACCTCAAGTGATTTACTCACCTTGGCCTATATTTGCCTATTTTTGATGTTTGCATTTAGCAGGGTGACTGGGGAACAGTGGGAATGACCAGAACACAGAATCATTTCTGAGATTTTGTTGTGTATTATTTCCAAACTTATTTCTTTTCTTGTATATCATTGTCTGGTTCATTATTTTTAATGATGAGGGGGGCCTGTATAGATACCTCTTTTTCCCTTATGTTATGAAGTTGTGTTACTTTTTCTCTCTTCTTCCGAAGAAAATGAGATGGCTTTGATTTTAGGGACATTTAGAAGCTTTTTTAGCTGGGATATGTTTCTTTTGAGGGAATCAAACTTTCCTTAGAGTGACTGGCTAATGCTGAAAATTTCTTTCACTAATTTAGTGTATTTCTTCCATTAAAGAAAAACCTTAAAATGCAAACTCCTGGCGGGAAGATAACATAAAGCCTTACATACGTGCAAGGTTGCAAATCACTAAGACTGGAGTCTTTTTGGAGAGAAAAGTATACTGAGGAACGGGGCCAGAAGACAGTGATGGGTGGAGTGGAGAGAAATTGCTCTACAGTGATGGAAAAAGGAAGCTTTTTGCCCAGTGCTGGCTCTGCCACCAGGGAGCCTCTGGGTTGCAGGGTTTCATGGCGAATATCACTTGTGAGAGCCAAAGTCATGGCAGTGCTTCAGACTTCAAGAGGAAATACAGGACTGTGCTCACTTTCTTGGTCCTTTAGGAACTCATCTGGCTTATCAAATTTACATTTCCTCAAATGCATGAGAATCCTACCTAGTTTTCCTCTCTATGTGTTCCAATTCATTCTTCCAACTGTTTCATATGGCCCATGTATGTAGAAATGAGGTTTTTTTTAAATTATACTTTAAGTTCTAGGGTACATGTCCACAACGTGCAGTTTTGTTACATATGTATACATGTGCCATGTTGGTGTGCTGCACCCATTAACTCATCATTTACATTAGGTATATCTCCTAATGCTATCCCTCCCCCCCCCCACCCCACAACAGGCCCCAGTGTGTGATGTTCCCCTTCCTGTGTCCAAGTGTTCTCATTGTTCAATTCCCATCTATGAGTGAGAACATGCGGTGTTTGTTTTTTTGTCCTTGCGATAGTTTGCTCAGAATGGTGGTTTCCAGCTTCATCCATGTCCCTACAAAGGACATGAACTCATCATTTTTTATAGCTGCATAGTATTCCATGGTGTATATGTGCCACATTTTCTTAATCTGGTCTATCATTGTTGGACATTTGGCTTGGTTCCAAGTCTTTGCTATTGTGAATAGTGCCACAATAAACATATGTGTACTTGTGTCTTTATAGCAGCATGATTTATGATCCTTTGGGTATACACCCAGTAATGGGATGGCTGGGTCAAATGGTATTTCTAGTTCTAGATCCCTGAGGAATCGCCACACTGACTTCCACAATGGTTCAACTAGTTTACAGTCCCAGCAACAGTGTAAAAGTGTTCCTATTTCTCCACATTGTCTCCAGCACCTGTTGTTTACTGACCTTTTTAATGATCGTCATTCTAACTGGTGTGAGATGGTATCTCGTTGTGGTTTTGATTTGCATTTCTCTGATAGCCAGTGATGATGAGCATTTTTTCATGTGTCTGTTGGCTGCATAAATGTCTTCTTTTGAGAAGTGTCTGTTCATATCCTTTGCCCACTTTTTGATGAGGTTGTTTGTTTTTTCTTGTAAATTTGTTTGAGTTCTTTGTAGATTCTGGATATCAGCCCTTTGTCAGATGAGTAGGTTGCAAAATTTTTCTCCCATTCTATAGGTTGCCTGTTCACTCTGATGGTAGCTTCTTTTGCTGTGCAGAAGCTCTTTAGTTTAATTAGATGCCATTTGTCAATTTTGGCTTTTGTTGCCATTGCTTTTGGTGTTTTAGACATGAAGTCCTTGCCCATGCCTATGTCCTGAATGGTATTGCCTAGGTTTTCTTCTAGGGTTTTTATGGTTTTAGGTCTAACATTTAAGTCTTTAATCCATCTTGAATTAAGTTTTGTATAAGGTGTAAGGAAGGGATCCAGTTTCAGCTTTCTACAAATGGCTAGCCAGTTTTCCCAGCACCATTTGTTAAATAGGGAATTCTTTCCCCATAGAAATGAGGTTTCACAGTCATCAAATTAAAATAGGACCTGTCTCAATGCTTTAAAAAGCTGAATTCTGAGTTTAAAACAAGTAAAATATTTTTAGAAAAAAACTTTTTTCAAACAAAAGTCGGTCAAGATTCCAAAGACCACAATTTTATTTCTAGTTCTATCACCCAGTAGCTGTATGACCTTGCATGAGGTGTTCTACTTTTGCGGGGCTTCGGTTTCCTCATCAAACAGGAGGAAGACTACATGCAATTAAATGCAATGCAATTAATGCATGAGAAAATGCTGGGTAAACTCTGAATAGCCATATGACTCTTTGATGCTATTACTAATGTGGTTTGAATCTTGGTAAATATAATACTGCAACTGCTTTGGGAATTTGGTTAAGCTTTTTCAGCTTTTGTTTGTTTGGATTTTGCATCTTTTTTGGGCTGTTGAGGGTAATATTAGAATCATTTCTGGTGATCCTATCCTCTTGAAAGCTAATCCCCAGGCTTCAAAGTTATTGCGGAGTCAACTCTGCTTGCCTTTTCTCTCCTAGAAGTAGTGTTGATGTTTCTGGCTTTTTATTTCTTCTCTCCCTTGAGGCCTGTTAAGTTAAAGAACTTATTTAATTCCCTGTCTCCAGCTGGGAGTGAACTTGAGTTCTGTTTTTTCTACAGGATCTGTGAGGAACCTCTTGCTCATTCCTAGATATTCTATCCCTTATGTTATCAGAGTTGAGCCTACTACTTGGCTTCCACTTTCTGCAGTTTTTTTTTTCCCCCTCTGTTAGTGTATTGATTGATTGACTGATTTTTGAGACAGGGTCTCACTCTGTCACCCAGACTGGAGTGCAGTGGCATGACCATGGCTCACCTTTCTGGGTTGGAGCTATCCTCCCACCTCAGCCTCCTAAGTAGCTGGGACTAGAGTTGTGAGCTCCCACACCCAGCTAATTTTTGTATTTTTTGTAGAGATGGAGTTTCACTAGGTTGCCAGGCTGATTTCAAACTCCTGGCCTCAAGAAATCCTCCCGCCTTGGTCTCCCAAAGTGCTGGGATTACAGGCATGTGTCACTGTGCCTGGCCTGTTAGTCTATTTTCTAACCATTGCTGCCTGCATCAAGAACCCTGTTTGCTTTTCACTGGAGCCAATGAATAGTGGACACTGTGGTTCTTCCAAAGTGTGCTAGTTATATCCTAACTCCTCTACTTCAGTTCACACACTGTTGATGAAGTGAAAATTTAGGAGTTACCTTTCCCCCTTTCTTTCCATCTCTAACCCTATGACTCTGGCTTGACCACAGGGTCTGAGAGCACTCATAGGATTATACCAATTTATGTTTTGGATGGGTTGAGTTTTTCTACCAACCCTGGAGGCACAAGGTACATATTTTTATCCCAATTTGCCATTTACCTGCCATGGGCTCTTAGGGGATTCACTTAACATCTGAGACTCCTGATTCCTTATCTGTACAATGAGTAAATGATTTATTGCCTACTACACAGTTATGAGGATGAAATGTGATCTGTAAAGGGCTGTATACATGTAAATGATCTTTCTTGTTATTGTGGCTGGTCTTCCAGGAATGTATCATTAATATTGCCAGTGATGGGGCTGTGGGACTGACTGGCCCCCTGGAACACAGGAAAGGGTATGTGAGAATATTGGAGAGTGGGCAGAGTCACAGAGTGGAGCTGAGATACCTGAGGTTCCAAAGAATGTGACTGTGTTAATAAGTAAGATGTGGACACTAAGTCCTATCTTTAGTCCCAAGATAAGGGCCTCTGTCCTCCTCTGCAGTGCCTTCTCTGGTCTCTCTTGTCTTTAGAGCTCACTATCAGTTTTTCAATGCCTATTGCACTGGCTATCCATACCACTTACCTGAATAAAGCAGGGTAATCTTTGCCATTTTTCTTTTGAATTTCTGTATTCTTTTTCCCCTACAAGATTACAAGTGTCTCAAGGTCTAGGACCATGTATATGAATGTTTCTTATCTCATGGTGATAGCACATCACAGTGATTTATACCAGGTAGGCACAAGAAATGTGTGGTGTTTATGAAAAGCTTTGTAGGCCATGTTTTTCTCTGTTGAAGGTTGGGAAAAAAAGTTTTCTGTATGTGTTCTGTTATTCTTAAAAAAATTTTTTAACAAAATCATAAATGAACATCCATTAAAAAGTTAAGTAATGGTCACAGGCTTATAAAAACAGTAGTCTCTGCCAACCACACATTCTAGTCTGTTCCCTAGAAGTAACCACTTTTTTTTTTTTTTAGAGATTGGGGGGTTGGTCTTGAACTCATGGGCACAAGTGATTCTCCAGCCTCGGCCTCCCAAAGTGCTGAGATTACAGGTGTGAGCCACTGTGCCTGGCCAAGTAACCACTCTTAACTGTTACCTGTTCTTCCTCTTCTTTGCACTGTCTTATATGTATGTATATATAATTATCTCCTGGTTCACTGATTTTACACATTATCTACTAACTTTAAAGACTGGCAAATGAAAAATTTTAACTATCTTTCACTCCCCTCTCCTCTTCCTACAGTCCCAATATAATTATATCCCAATATAGTGATATAGTCCCAATATAGTTACATGGTTATTATATGTATATTTACATATATAACTATATATAGTTATATAGTTATATTTGGTTAACTCTCTTGTCAGTGTTCCTGTTATTTATTGTGGCTGAACAAATCATTACAAAACTTGTGTCTTAAAACACCTACCATCTTTTTATTCTTTCTCACATTACCTATGGGCAGGCACTGAGAAAGGCTCAATTGGGTGGTGGTGTCATGTACTTGCAGTCAGGCAATGGATGGAGCTGGCCAGGCCATCTCTCCATGTCTGTTCATGTAATCTCAGGGCTTTTCCATGTGGTCTCTCCCTGTGGGCTAGATTGGGCTTCCTCATAACATGGAGGCCTCATAACACGGAGGCCTCATAACACGTGAGGGTTCCAGTGAGCAAGGCAGAAGCAGAATTGCCTCTGAAGATATTGCCTCAGAAGTCATATAGCATCTCCTCTCCCATACTCCACTATTTACCAAAGCCTTTCTCAGATTCAAGGAGAGGGGACATAGAACTTGCCATTTGATGAGAGGGGTGTCAAAGAACTTGGGGCCATTTCTTTAAACTGCAACAATTGATGTTTTCATTATGACCAAAGAAATATGGTCTATTCCTGAGCCACGTAGTGTACTGCAGATGCATTACCTTTCTTGTATAACTTTCTGTTTTTCCTGGAGACATGTGTCTTAGTTTGCCATTTGCTTTGTTGTCTTAAAATCTCTGGCTGTGTTTTTTTTTCACATCCACCAAATAGCTCTGTAGTTTTCCACATGGTCAAACCTGCCAGATAATCTGTCAGTAACACTTATTTCTTTCCCTACAGATGTTCCTGCTGGATTCTGCTGCTCTCCTCTGATCTAGAATAGCTGCTTTCTAGGTCGGCTGCATAGCCATTGTCCTAGGAGTTCTCTTCACTATCATCATGAGAATCTCCTTCATCTCTTCTTGGGTTAAATCCTTGATTCCTGGATCTTATGTCTTCTTTTTTGGCTTACTCATGTTTTGGTGAAACACGCCTCCATTAACATCTTTCTTGAGAAAGGATGCATGGGAGGTAAGCTTTTAGAGACTGTGCATACCCGAAGACATCTTTTTTCTACCCTTTTACTTTTGTCTGTGTGCAGAATTCTAGGTTGCAAGCATTCTCTCTGAATTTCGAAGGTGCTGCTCCTTTGCATTCTGCCTTCTGATATGCTGATGACAAGTCAAATGTCATTTGATTCTTGATCCTTTCTATGTAAACTGCTTCTTTTCCCCTGGAAGTTTTTAATATTTTCTCCTTACCCTTGGTGTTCATGCCTTGGATCTGAATCTTTTTTTCTTTTGAAATTTTATTATCACTATTTAAAAAAATTTATTTCCATAGGTTAGTGGGGAACAAGTGGTGTTTCATTACATGAGTATGTTCTTTAGTGGTGATTTGTGAGATTTTGGTGCACCCATCACCCAAGCAGTATACACTGCACCCAATTTGTAGTCTTTTATCCCTCACCACTTTCCCACGCTTTCCTGTTGAGTCCCCAGAGTCCATTGTGTCATTCTTATGCCTTTGCATCCTCATAAGCTTAGCTCTCACTTACGAGTGAGAACATATGATGTTTGGTTTTCCATTCCTGAGTTACTTCTAATAGTCTCCAGTCTCATCCAGGTTGCTGCAAATGCCATTAATTCATTCCTTTTTTATGTCTGAGTAGTATTCTATCATATATATATATATATATATATATATATATACCACAATTTCTTTACCCACTCATTGACTGATGGGCATTTGGGTTGGTTCCACATTTTTCCAATGGCAAATTGTGCTGCTATAAACATTTTTTTTCATTCATTGTTCTGGAAATTAATAGTTCACATAAAAGACATCTTTACATGAATTAGAAAAAGTTATTCTCTTCTAGGGCCAAGTTACAAAAGGAATTTTCTTGGGGAGATCAATTAGAGAAGGGTGTTCCCTCTGGGTAGACCAGTTAGAAATATGTTCCCCTTCCTCTTGGCTAGTGCCGCAAGGTACGGGGCATGGTAAGCAGAGCCTGGGCGCATTTCAGCCCCCACTTCCCCTCTGTTGGCTAGGGATCTTTGTGTCAGGCACACTTTGCATGACTGCACTGCACATTGACCTTGCAGTTAGGCACTTGGCCAGTGGGCATTCCAATCTGGAGACTCACTCTATTCCATACCTGGGAATTTTCCTGTATTATTTCTTCAGTAAATCTCTTCTTACTGTTTCCTGTCATCTGTTTTTAGAATCCTATTTCTCAGATGTTGGATCTACTGACTGAGTTTCTTGTCTTTCCTCTCTTGTTGTTCATCTCCTGGTTCTTTTATTCTAGTTTCTGGGAAATTTCTCAAGTTCAATTCTCATACCAAAATTTTTTCAACCAAAATTTTAATTTCACCTATACTATTTTTTATTTTGATGAGTGATCATTCTATGATGACTCTTTTTTATTTTTACTATATCCTTCCACTCATGTTTCATTAGTACAATATCTCATTATCGTTCTCTGATTCTTAACGAGATTTCCTTTTCCAGCAGGGTGTCTGTTTCATTTCTTCTCTCTTGCTTTTCTAGAGTGCTTTCTTCAAATATCTGTTTATACTTAAGGATGAAGCACTGGGAAACTAATGGGAAACTCAGTTGTTGTGTGTGGCTTGTTAATGATGGGCTTCTCAGTAGAAAAACAGGATGACCCTTTTCACTGGAGAACCTGAAATATCAGTATCTGTGGGTCTTTACTCGGGTAACTCAGCTTCTTCAAAAAGTAATGCTTCAGACTCCAGCCTTAAGGGTACAAATACGTCTGGTTGCTGTTACTCTGAAACTGCTTAGGGAGTCTCACTTTCAGCACACAGACTTTCCCTTAATTTCTCAGTTTTTACTTTCATACCTTGTCAATTCCATTCTTGAACTAAGTCCTCTAATTGTGGTATTGTTGCCATTTCTTCAGAGACTACACCTTTTGACTCCTCCATGGGTAGCAGTGGCAGCCGTTGATTATGCTGGGTGGGATGGGGATGGGAAGCTGGGAGGTGCCACTGGTCTTTATATAGACTTTCAAACAAGTCTCAATCTCAGTCCTGTACCCTCACCACAGCTTCCTTTCTTTTTTCCTCTTCTTGGTCCTTCTCCTGCTCTTGTTCTTCTTTCCTTTTTTAAATATAAAATGTATACATATAAAGATGTATAAATATGAAGGATAAAATCCAGTGAGTTTTGGGAAGTGAGTTATACCCAGGTAATTCACACTCGTAGCAAGATATAGAACATTTCCATCACCCCAGAAAGTTTCTTCACATTCCTTCTCATCCCCTCCAGAGGCATCCTCTATTATGTGTTTTTTTCACCATAACTTAGTCGTTTGTCAACATATTCATATAAATGAAATCATACAAATGTACTGTTTTGTGTCTTATGGCTCAACACAGTGTCTGTGAGGCTCATCTATGTCATTGTGTGCATCAGTTTAGCTCCTTTTTAACTGCTTCCCCTGCCACCCATGAAAGAGTCAAAGGGTGTAGTCTCTGAAGAAGTGGGAACCATCCCCCAATCAGAGGACTGTAATTCAAGAATGGAAACGATGAGGCATGAAGGTAAAAACTGAGAAATGAAGGAGAAGTCTGTGTACTGAAAGTGAGAATTTTTATTGATGAGTAATATTTATTTCATTGTGTGAGTATACCCCAGTTTTTTTCTTTTTTTGAGACAGGGTCTTACTCTGATGCCCAGGCTGGAGTACAGTGCCACAATCATGGCTCATTGCAGCCTCGACCTCCCGGGCTCAAGTGATCCTCCTGACTCAGCCTCTTGAGTAGCTGGGACTATGGGTGGGTGTGCATCACCATGCCTGGCTAATTTATTTTATTTTTTTAGTAGAGAAGGTGTTCCACCATGTTGTCCAGGCTGGTCTCCAACTCCTGAGTTCAAGCAGTCCACCCACCTTGGCCTCCCAAAGTGCTGGGATTACAGGCGTGAGCCACTGCACGCAGCCACAATTTGTTTATTCATTCTCCTATTGATGGACATTGGGTTATTTCTTGTTTCAGGCTATCATGAATAAAGCCACTATCAATATTCATCTACAAGGCTTTTTTTGGAAATACATTTTCATTTCTCTTGAGTAAATATGTAGAAGTAGAATTGCTGGGTTAAAGAGTAGGTACATGGATATCTTCATAAGAAACTGCCAAAGCTTTTCCAAAGTGATCGTACCATTTTACATCCCTGCCAGTATTTTATGGAAGTTCTGGTAATCTAAATCCTTGCCAACATTTGATGTTGATAGTCTTAAATTTAACCATTCTAGTGGGTGTGGTGTGTCTTTATGCTTTTAATCTGCATTTCCATAATAACTTCTCTTCCATTGCTGGTTTTCTGAGAGTTGTGATTATGAATGTGTATTGAATTTTGTCAAATTCTTTTTCTACATCATGTTTTTCTCATTTAGTCTGTTAAAAAATACTGAATTACATTGACTTTTTGAGTTACACTCATTTTGCATTCTGGGGTATACATTCTTGGTCATAATATATTATCCATTTATATATTGCTGTATTCCATTTTCTAATTTTGTATTAATAATTTTTTTGTGTGTGGCCAGGTGCAGGGGCTTGGCTCACACCTATAATCCCAGAGTTTTGAGAGGCTGAAATGAGAGGATCACTTGAGCCCAGGAGTTCAAGGCCAGGCTGCGCAACACAGCAAGATCCTATCTCCATAAAAAATTAGCTGGGGCTGGGTACAGTGGCTCACGCCTGTAATCCCAGCACTTTGGGAGGCCGAGGTGGGTGGATCATGAGGTCAGGAGATCGAGACTATCCTGGCTAACATGGTGAAACCCTGTCTTTACTCAAAATACAAAAATTAGCCGGGCATGGTGGTGGGCACCTGTAGTCTCAGCTACTCGGGAGGCTGAGGCAGGAGAATGGCGTGAACCCAGGAGGCGGAGCTTGCAGTGAGCCGAGATCGCACCACTACACTCCAGCCTGGGTGACAGAGTGAGACTCCGTCTCAAAAAAAAAAAAAAAAAAAAAAAAAAAATTAGCTGGGCATGGTGGTGTGTGTCTGTTGTCCCAGCTACTTGGGAGAGTGAAGTAGGAGGATCCCTTGGGCCCAAGAGATCAAGGCTGCAGTGAGCTATGTTTGGACCACTGCACTCCAACCTGGGTGAGAGTGCAAGACCCTCACTCTTAAAAAAAACAGAGTAAGAATTTTTGTGGCTATATTCATGAGGAATACAGGTATACAATTTTCTTTTCTTGTCATGCTTTTGTCAGTTCTTAGTATAAGCATTTTGTTGACCTTATAATTAGTTGCGAAGTATTTCCTCCTGTTTTTTTGAAGGGGTTTGTATAAAACTGGCATCAATTCCTTCTTGGATGTTTGATAGAATTCATCAATGAAGAACAACCTGGTCTTGGGTTTTCTTTTGTGTGTGGAGGTTTTTATAATACATTCTTTTTTTTATTATGCTTTAAGTTCTAGGGTACATGTGCACAGCGTGCAGGTTTGATACATAGGTATACATGTGCCATGTTGGTTTGCTGCACCCACCAACTCATCATTTACATTAGGTATTTCTCCTAATGCTATCCTTCCCCCCTCCTCCCACCCCACGACAGGCCCTGATGTGTGATGTTCCCCTTCCTGTGTCCAAGTGTTCTCATTGTTCAATTCCCACCTATAAGTGAGAACATACAGTGTTTGGTTTCCTATCCTTGTGATAGTTTCCTCAGAATGATGGTTTCCAGCTTCATCCATGTCCCTACAAAGGACATGAACTCATTCTTTTTTATGGCTGCATAGTATTCCATGGTGTATATGTGCCACATTTTCTTAATCCAGTCTATCATTGTTGGATATTTAGGTTGGTTCCAAGTCTTTGCTCTTGTGAATAGTGCCACAATAAACATATGTGTGTATGTGTCTTTATAGAAGCATGATTTATAATCCTTTGGGTATATACCCAGTAATGGGATGGCTGGGTCAAATGGTATTTCTAGTTCTAGATCCTTGAGGAATCACCACACCATCTTCCACAATGGTTGAAATAATTTACACTCCCAGCAACAGTGTAAAAGTGTTCCTATTTCTCCACACCCTCTCCAGCACCTGTTGTTTCCTGACTTTTTAATGATCGCCATTCTAACTGGTGTGAGATGGTATCTCATTGTGGTTTTGATTTGCATTTCTCTGATGGCCAGTGATGATGAACATTTTTTCATGTGTCTGTTGGTTGCATAGATGTCTTCTTTTGAGAAGTGTCTGTTCATATCCTTTGCCCACTTTTTGATGGGGTTGTTTGTTTTTTTCTTGTAAATTTGTTTGAGTTCATTGCAGATTCTGGATATTAGACCTTTGTCAGATGGGTAGATTGCAAAATTTTACTCCCATTCTGTAGGTTACCTGTTCACTCTGATGGTAGTTTCTTTTGCTGTGCAGAAGCTCTTTAGTTTAATTAGATCCCATTTGTCAATTTTGGCTTTTGTTGCCGTTGCTTTTGTTGTTTTAGTCATGAAGTCCTTGCCCATGCCTATGTCCTGAATGGTATTGCCTAGGTTTTCTTCTAGGGTTTTTATGGTTTTAGGTCTAACATTTGAGTCTTTAATCCATTTGAATTAATTTTTGTATAAGGTGTAAGGAAGGGATCCAGTTTCAACTTTCTACATATGGCTAGCCAGTTTTCCCAGCACCATTTATTAAATAGGGAATCCTTTCTCCATTTCTTGTTTCTGTCAGGTTTGTCAAAGATCAGATGGTTGTAGATGTGTGTTGTTATTTCTGAGGCCTCTGTTCTGTTCCATTGATCTATATATCTGTTTTGGTACCAGTACCATGCTGTTTTGACTACTGTAGCCTTGTAGTATAGTTTGAAGTCAGGTAGCGTGATGCCTCCAGCTTTGTTCTTTTGGCTTAAGATTGTCTTGGCAATGTGGGCTCTTTTTTGGTTCCATATGAACTTTAAAGTAGTTTTCTCCAATTCTGTGAAGAAAGTCATTGGTAGCTTGAAGGGGATGGCATTGAATCTATAAATTACCTTGGGCAGTATGGCCATTTTCATGATATTGATTCATTCTTCCTATCCATGAGCATAGAATATTCTTCCATTTGTTTGTGTCATCTTTTATTTCCTTGAGCAGTGGTTGGTAGTTCTCCTTGAAGAGGTCCTTCACATCCCTTGTAAGTTGGATTCCTAGGTATTTTATTCTCTTTGTAGCAATTGTGAATGGGAGTTCACTCATGATTTGGCTCTCTGTTTGTCTGTTAATGGTGTATAGGAATGCTTGTGATTTTTGCATATTGATTTTGTATCCTGAGACTTTGCTGAAGTTGCTTATCAGCTTAAGGAGGTTTTGGGCTGAGACGATGGGGTTTTCTAAATATACAATCATGTCATCTGCAAACAGGGACAATTTCACTTCCTCTTTTCCTATTTGAATACCCTTTATTTCTTTCTCCTGCCTGATTGCCGTGGCCGGAACTTCCAACACTATGTTGAATAGGAGTGGTGAGAGAGGGCGTCCTTGTCTTGTGCCGATTTTCAAAGGGAATGCTTCCTGTTTTTGCCCATTCAGTATGATATCGGCTGTGGGTTTGTCATAAATAGCTCTTATTATTTTGAGATACGTTCCATCAGTACCTAATTTATTGAGAGTTTTTAGCATGAAGTGTTGTTGAATTTTGTCAAAGGCCTTTTCTGCATCTATTCAGATAACCATGTGGATTCTGTCTTTGGTTCTGTTTATGTGATGGATAACGTTTATTGATTTGTGTATGTTGAACCAGCCTTGCATCCCAGGGATGAAGCAGACTTGATCGTGGTGGATAAGCCTTTTGACATGCAGCTGGATTCGGCTTGCCGGTATTTTATTGAGGATTTTTGCATTGATGTTCATCAGGGATATTGGTCTAAAATTCTCTTTTTTTGTTGTGTCTTTGCCAGGCTTTAGTATCAGGATGATGTTGGCCTCATAAAATGAGTTAGGGAGGATTCCCTCTTTTTCTATTGATTGGAATAGTTTCAGCTGGTAGAATTTGGCTGTGAATCTGTCTGGTCCTGGAGTTTTTTTGGTTGGTAGGCTATTAATTATTGCCTCAATTTCAGAGCCTGTTATTGGTCTATTCAGAGATTCCACTTCTTCCTGGTTTAGTCTGGGGAGGGTGTATGTGTCGAGGAATTTATCCATTTCTTCTAGATTTTCTAGTTTATTTGCGTAGAGGTGTTTATATTATTCTCTGATGGTAGTTTGTATTTCTTTGGGATCGGTGGTGATGTCCCCTTTATCATTTTTTATTGCCTCTGTTTGATTCTTCTCTCTTTTCTTCTTTATTAGTCTTGCTAGCGGTCTATCAATTCTGTTGATCTTTGCAAAAAGCCAGCTCCTAGATTCATTGATTTTTTGAATCAATTGATTGTGTCTCTATCTCTTTCAGTTCTGCTCTGATCTTAGTTATTTCTTGTCTTCTGCTAGCTTTTGAATTTGATTGCTCTTGCTTCTCTAGTTCTTTTAATTGTGATGTTAGGGTGTTGATTTTAGATCTTTCCTGCCCTCTCTTGTGAGCATTTAGTGCTATAAATTTCCCTGTACACACTGCTTTAAATGTGTCCCAGAGATTTTGGTATGTTGTGTCTTTGTTCTCATTGGTTTCAAAGAACATCTTTATTTCTGCCTTTATTTCATTATTTACCCAGTAGTCATTCAGGAGCAAGTTGTTCAGTTTCCATGTAGATGTGCATTTTTGAGTGAGTTTCTTAATCCTGAGTTCTAATTTGATTGCACTGTGGTCTGAGAGAGAGTTTGTTGTGATTTCCGTTCTTTTACATTTGCTGAGGAGTGCTTTACTTCCAATTATGTGGTCAATTTTAGAATAAGTGCGATGTGGTGCTGAGAAGAAAGTGTATTCTGTTGATTTGGGGTGAAGAGTTCTGTAGATGTCTATTAGGTCTGTTTGTTGCAGAGCTGAGTTCAGGTCTTGGATATCCCTGTTAACCTTCTGTCTCATTGATCTGTCTAATATTGACAGAGGGGTGTTAAAGTCTCCTGTTATTATTGTGTGGGAGTCTAAGTCTCTTTGTAGGTCTCTAAGGACTTGCTTTATGAATCTGGGTGCTCCTGTATTGGGTGCATATGTATTTAGGATAGTTAGCTCTTCTTGTTGAATTGATCCCTTTACCGTTATGTAATGGCCTTCTTTGTCTCTTTTCATTTTTGTTGGTTTAAAGTCTGTTTTATCAGAGACTAGGATTACAACCCCTGCTTTTTTTTGCTTTCCATTTGCTTGGTAGTTCTTCCTCCATCCCTTTATTTTGAGCCTATGTGCATCTTTGCATGTGAGATGGGTCTCCTGAATACAGCACACTGATGGGTCTTGACTCCTCATCCAATTTGCCGGTCTGTGTCTTTTAATTGGGGCATTTAGCCCATTTACATTTAAGGTTAATATTGTTGTGTGTGAATTTGATCCTGTCATTATGATGTTTGCTGGTTATTTTGCCCATTAATTGATGAGGTTTCTTCGTAGCATCGATGGTGTTTACAATTTGGCATGTTTTTGCAGTGGCTGGTACTGGTTGTTCCTTTCCATGTTTAGTGCTTCCTTCAGGAGCTCTTGTAAGGCAGGCCTGGTGGTGACAAAATCTCTCAGCATTTGCTTGTCTGTAAAGGATTTTATTTCTCCTTCACTTATGAAGCTTAGTTTGGCTGGATATGAAATTCTGGGTTGAAAATTCTTTTCTTTAAGAATGCTGAATATTGGCCCCCACTCTCTCCTGGCTGTAGGGTTTCTGCTGAGAGATCTGCTGTTAGTCTGATGGGCTTCCCTTTGTGGGTAACTCGACCTTTCTCTCTGGCTGCCCTTAACACTTTTTCCTTCATTTCAACCTTGGCGAATCTGACAATTATGTGTCTTGGGGTTGTTCTTCTGGAGGAGTATCTTTGTGGTGTTCTCTGTATTTCCTGAATTTGAATGTTTACCTGCCTTACTATGTTGGGGAAGTTCTCCTGGATAATATCCTGAATGTTTTCCAACTTGGGTCCCTTCTCCCCATCACTTTCAGGTACACCAATCAAACATAGACTTGGTCTTTTCACATAGTCCCATATTTCTTGGAGGCTTTGTTCGTTTCTTTTTACTCTTTTTTCTCTAAACTTCTCTTCTTGCTTCATTTCATTCATTTGATCTTCAATCACTGATACCCTTTCTTCCACTTGATCGAATCGGCTATTGAAGCTTGTGCATGTGTCACAAAGTTCTTGTGCCATGGTTTTCAGCTCCATCAAGTCATTTAAGGTCTTCTCTACACCCTTTTTCTAGTTAGCCATTCATCTAATTGTTTTTCAAGGTTTTTAGCTCCCTTGTGATGGGTTCAAACCTCCTCCTTCAGCTTGGAGAAGTTTGTTACTACTGACTTGCTGAAGCCTACTTCTGTCAACTCGTCAAAGTCATTCTTTATCCAGCTTTGTTCCATTGCTGGTGAGGAGCTGCAGTCCTTTGGAGGAGAACAGGCACTCTGGTTTTTAGAATTTTCAGCTTTTCTGCTCCAGTTTCTCCCCATCTTTGTGGTTTTATCTACCGTTGGTCTTTGATGTTGGTGACCTACAGATGGGGTTTTGGTATAGATGTCCTTTTTGTTGATGTTGATGCTGTTTCTTTCTGTTGGTTAGTTTTCCTTCTAACAGTCAGGTCCCTCAGCTGCAGGTCTGTTGGAGTTTGCTGGAGTTCCACTCCAGACCCTGCATGCCTGGGTATCACCAGTGGAGGCTGCAGAACAGCAAATATTGCTGCCTGATCCTTCCTCTGGAAGCTTCATCCCAGAGGGACAGCCACCTATATGAGGTGTCTGTTGGCCCCTACTGGGAGGTGTCTCCCAGTTAGGCTACACAGGGGTCAGGGACCCACTTGAGGAGGCAGTCTGTCTGTTCTCAGAGCTAAAACACTGTGCTGGTGAGAGAGAACCACTGCTCTCTTCTGAGCTGTCAGACAGGGATATTTAAGTCTGCAGAAGTTGTCTGCTGCCTTTTGTTCAGCTATGCCCTGCCCACAGAGGTGGAGTCTAGAGCCAGTAGGCCTGATTGAGCTGTGGTGGACCCCACTCAGTTCAAGCTTCCTGGCCACTTTGTTTACCTACTGGCCTCAGCAATGGCAGACGCCCCTCCCCCAGCCAGGCTGCTGCCTCACAGTTTGATCTCAGATTGCTGGGCTAGCAGTGAGCAAGGCTCCATGGGTGGCAGCCACCGAGCCAGGCAAGGAAGAGAATCACCTTGTCTGCTGGTTCCTAAGACCTTGGGAAAAGTCCACAGTCTTTGGGTGGGAGTGTCCCATTTTTCCAAGTAGTGTGTCACAGCGTCTCTTGGCTAGGAAAGGGAAATCCCTGACCCCTTGTGCTTCCCAGGTGAGGCGATGCCTGCCCTGCTTCAGCTTGTCCTCCATGGGCTGCACCCACTGTCCAACCAGTCCCAATGAGATGAACCAGGTACCTCAGTTGGAAACGTAGAAATCACCCATCTTCTGTGTCGATCACGCTGGGAGTTGCAGACTGAAGCTGTTCCTATTCGGCCATCTTGGAAAGTCTCATAATACTTTCATTTTTAAAAAACATACAGGGTATTAAAAATTTCAATATGATTTTAGGTCAGTTTTAGTAAGTTTGTTCTTTTAGAAATTTGTTTCCTTTAATCTAAGGTGTTAATTTTTTGCCATAATACACTTCATACTATTTCAGTGTTAGCCTTTTAATATTTGTAGGATCTATCCTTTCTTTCATTTGTAGTAGTAACAGCTTTTGTTTTCCTTTCTTCTTGATCATCCTAACCAGGAGTTTACTGATTCCATTAAATGTTTCAAAAACCAACGTTTGGATTTGTTATTTTTGTATACTCTTTGTTTTCTAGTTTCTTGATTTCTGCTTTATATTTATGATTTCTCTCCGTTCACAGATTTTGGGTTTAATTTGCTCTTCTTTTTTTAACTTCTTAAAATAGAAACTTAAAATAATTGATTTTAAATCTTTCTTCTTTCCTAATATAAGCAATAGACACTAAAAATTTCCCTCTAGGCACTGCAGTGCTGCATCCCATAAAATTTGATATGTTTTAATTTCATTCAGTTCAAAAATATTTTCTAATTTCCCTGTGATTTCTTTTTTTTATTTAATAAAGTTTTGTTTTTCCAAATGTACAGTCAGTTGGACCTGTTCATGCATCTTCACCAGCAGTTGTGGCATCTCCACTTTTGGTATTTCTGGTGTAAATGACTCGAGCTCTGTGTTTTGAAACCAGTTTGATAAGTCCTTTGCCAAGGAGCTCCTGTAGGGCTGCCCTGGCCAGGGAGCCTCGAATCTCCAATCTCTGAGAGACCACAGCTGGGGTTATAAACCTATAGCTGGAAACTTCCTTACAGAGTTTGTCATACAAAGCTTCCTTACAGTAGCATTGTCAAACAAGACTTGGTTATTGAGCTTATCCCAAATTTTGCCTTTGGACCACTCCTTTTTGGCTTTGCCCCTGGATTTGTTCACTGGGTTTTTGTCTTTTTTGGCCAACTTCCCGGGGTCTTTCCTCTTGTTGTCCTCGGATGGCATTGTGAAGCTTGCAGAGCAGCGGCAATCGCTGCAGCCTTGCTGAGATGTCAGACGAAAAGTGATTTCTTTGATGCACAGGTTATTTGAAAATGTGTTGTTTAATTTTCAAATATTTGGGGGGCTGTAATAGATATCTTTTTGTTATTGATTTCTAATTTAATTTCAGCGTGGTTAGAAAACAATGTATATTCTGTGGTTGTTGAGTTTAGTGTTCTATTTTATTTATTTATTTGTTCTAGTTTTTTTAGAGACAGTCTTGCTCTGTCACTCAGGCTGGAGTGCAGTGGTGTGCTCAGCCTCCCAAATAGATGGGACTACAGGTATGTTCCACTATGCCCAGCTAATTTTTTAATAGAGATGGGGTCTTGATATGTTGCCCATGCTGGTCTCCAGCTCCTGGCCTTAAGTGATCCTCCTACCTTGGCCTCTGAAAACTCTGGGATTATAGGCATGAGCCACCACATCTGGCCTAGTGTTCTATAAATGTCAATTAGGTTAAGGTGATTGATAGCATTGTTGAGATATTCTACATCATTTTTGATTTTTAATAATCTAGTTGTTTTGTCAATTACTGAGAGAGGGGTGTTAACATCTCTAACTATGATTGTGGATTTGTTTATTTCTCCCTTTAGCTCTTTCAGTTTTTGCTTTATGCATTTTGAAGCTGTTATTAAACACACATTTATAATTGCTATGCCTTTTGATGAAATGACCCTTTTATCATTACGAAATATTGTTCTTTATTTTTGGTAATCTTTCTTATCCTGAAGTCTATTTTGACTGATATTAATCTAGCCATTCCATATTTCCTATGATTAGTGCTTGCATGATATTTCTTTTAAAATTTTTAAGTTTTAAACCTATATGTGTCTTTGTATTTAATGTATCTCTTGTAGATAACATATAGTTGGATCATAACTTTTATCTACTATAAACAATCTATTTCTTTTTCTTATAGCATTTAGTCAATCTACATTTAAGATAATTATTGATATGGTTGGATTTAGTTCTCTCACTTTTATTTGTTTTCTATTTTTCTGATATGACTTGTTTCTTGGTTCCACTTTTCTTGCCTTTTTTGGGAATTAATATGGTTTAGTATTTCATTTTAATTTTTAGCTATAGCTCTTTGCATATTTTTAGTGGTTACTTTTGGGGTTAAAATAATTTTTTTTAATATTTTAAGTTCTAGGGTACATGTGCAGAACGTGCAGGTTTGTTACATAGGTATACACATGCCATGTTGGTTTGCTGCACCCATCAACCTGTCATCTACATTAGGTATTTCTCCTAATGCTATCCCTCCCTGAGCCCCCCACTCCCTGGCAGGCCCCGGTATGTGATCCCCTTCCCCCTGTGTCCATGTGTTCTCATTGTTCAACTCCCACTTATGAGTGAGAACATGCGGTGTTTGGTTTTCTGTTCCTGTGTTAGTTTGCTGAGAATGATGGTTTCCAGCTCCATCCATGTCCCTGCAAAGGACATCCTTTTTTATGGCTGCATAGTATTCCATGGTGTATATGTGCCACATTTTCTTTATCCAGTTTATCATTGATGGGGATTTGGGTTGGTTCCAAGTCTTTATGTTCTATTATGAACAGTGCTGCAATAAACATGTGTGCATGTGTATTTGTAGTAGAATAATTTATAATCCTTTGGATATATACCCGGTAATGGGATTGCTGGGTCAAATGGTATTTCTAGTTCTAGATCCTTGAGGAATCACCACACTGTCTTCCACAATGGTTGAACTAATTTTCACTCCCACCAACAGTGTAAAAGCATTCGTATTTCTCCACATCCTCTCCAGCACCTGTTGCTTCCTGACTTTTTAATGATCGCCATTGTAACTGGCCGTGAGATGGTATCT
Organism: Homo sapiens; assembly: GCF_000001405.40. Lineage (NCBI taxonomy): Eukaryota > Metazoa > Chordata > Mammalia > Primates > Hominidae > Homo > Homo sapiens. Next base: position 53,476,960 of record NC_000003.12, read on the forward strand.
CATTGTGGTTTTGATTTGCATTTCTCTAATGACCAGTGATGATGAGCTTTTTTCCATATGTTTGTTGGCTGCATAAATGTCTTCTTTTGAGAAGTGTCTGTTCATATCCTTCACCCACTTTTTGATGGGGTTGTTTGTTTTTGTCTTTTAAATTTGTTTAAGTTCTTTATAGATTCTGGATGTTAGCCCTTTGTCAGATGGGTAGATTGCAAAAATTTTCTCCCATTCTGTAGGTTACCTGTTTACTCTGATGACAGTTTCTTTTGCTGTGCAGAAGCTCTTGAGTTTGATTAGATCCCATTTGTCAATTTTGGCTTTTGTTGCCATTGCTTTTGTTGTTTTAGTCATGAAGTCTTTGCCCATGCCTATGTCCTGAATGGTATTGTCTAGGTTTTCTTCTAGGGTTTTTATGGTTTTAGGTCTTATGTTTAAGTCTTTAATCCATCTTGAGTTAATTTTTTTATAAGGTGTAAGGAAGGGGTCCAGTGTCAGCTTTCTGCATATGGCTAGCCAGTTTTCCCAACACCATTTATTAAATAGGGAATCCTTTTTATTGCCCTCTATATTGCTTGGGGAAATGCCCTCTATATTTTTTTTAGTGATTTGTAGATTCTACTGAAAGAAAAATGAAAACTTGTTCACAGGCAGTGTTGAAAGGATAGCTTTCAACTTTTTAAAGGGTTGAAAATTTAAACTACTCTCCATAGTTTCCGGAAAACATCCTCAAGCCTTTACAATTGAGGGTGAGGGCTGTGGCAGCTTTAAAGTTCAAGAGAAGGAAAATACGTTAATTTTCAAAGTTTTCTCCTATTTCAGATCTTTCTGAGGAAAATAATGTGAGGCCAGGTGTGGTGGCTTATACCTGTAATCCTAATACTTTGGGAGGCCCAGGCAGGAGGACCACTTGAGGCCAGGAGTCCAAGACCAGCCTGGGCAATATAAGGAGACCCTGTCTCTACAAAAAAAAAAACACACACAAAAAATACTGGGAGTGGTAGTGTGTGGCTGGAGTCCTAGCTACATGGGAGGCTGAGGTGGGAGGATCACTTGAGCCTGGGAGTTTGAGGTTGCAGTGAGCTATGATTTTGCCACTGCACTCCAGCCTGGGCAACAGAATGAGACCCTGTCTCAAAAAAAAAAAAAAAAAAAAAAAAAAGAAAAGAAAAGAAAAAAGAAAAATAATGGGAAAGAATCCCTTCACATATCCAGTGGCAGATCTGACCTGCCAGAGCCCTGTTCATCTTGACAATGAGTCAGGTGATCTGGGTTCATGGCCACACTGCATGACGTCTGTTCAGAGCAGCACCCAGGGGTTCTCTTCCTTAGCCAGTAGCTTTCTCAGCTTTCTCATGGACCTAGGAACTCCCCAGTGCCTAGATGCAGTGGAGCACATAGATAGCCTTGTGTTGTCTGGAAATGTCTGTGTTTCTGTGTAGTCTCTGCCAGTCCAATCCCAGGATGGAGGGTGGATGTGGGAACCTCTGTTTTTTAATTAGCCTTTAGGGCATAGTCTGCTCTCCACACACTTGTCAGAACAAAGGGATCTTTTTTCTTCAGGGAATAGCATTAAGAAGCAGGAGGTGGAGTAGTATACTTGTCCTGTTTGAAATGGCTTTTATCTGCTGTTGCATCAGTGATCTTTGACAGCTGATCTGCAGTTCTGGCTTAACCATTTACTAGTTGCATAACCTTGGCAAACTCACATCCCAGCATAATGAATCTAGTTTACTCCTTTATGAACTGGAAGTGTTAATATTTTCCCTGACCTACCTCAGAGGCTTAAAGGGTTGCATGGAGATGAAAACCCATTATAAAAATAAATTATTACTATGAAGGGTTAGAGAAGTTTGTCTTAAGAAGAAGGGTAATTTTAAAAAAGAAGTCTTTGTTGCCCCCTGAGTGAGCACAGTTCTTGGGGTAGAAACGGGATATAGGACAATCTGGCACTGAGTCTGCTGAAGGCTGTCCTGCCACTGCTACATCTTGCCCTTCTCTCCTAACCTCACTGCCCCAGGGGTGGAGACAGTCATGACACTGGGCAGGCCAGCCCTCCTCTGTGCTGCTGGCCACCTATGCGGCACAGTCTTGTCAGAGAGCTGACAATCAGCTCCCTGCTGCTTTCTCATCTTTTAAAGTCCAATTAAACATCTCTGGCCACAGCATGATAATTGTCTGGGCTCCACACAGTGGAACGTGACCTGAGGTGGCATTAGGAGACCAGAAAAGAAAGAAAAGCCCTTTTATCTTGGAAAGATCATGTCCCCAGTTCCTTAAAGTGTAGAATCATTGTTCACATTGAGCAATTGCCCAGCTCAATTCCAAACGTCAAGATATCAAAAGGCATGCAGGAGATTTAACCGTGTCCACATGGACTCATGTGCCCAAGAAGCAATCTGGTGGCTTAAGAATTAGCAATGGCATAAGGTATGTGTGAGAAACAGTGAGTCTGAGTGGAAAGTTCCAGCAGGGAGGGATGCTGGAAGGCTAGGTTAGGGCCAGATTGCAGAGGACCTTGATGCCAGGGGTAAAAAGGTGAACTTTGCTTCAGCAGGATAATCAGGAGTCTTACATGGGATTGTAGGGCCTGGTCTCTGGTGGAAGGCAAGAAGATTCTGCTATGGACAGGGTGTCCTGCCTTGTAGATTGCCCTCTTATAACATCTTGCCATTAAATGTTTCCTGAGGTTTATATCCAGCCCTACTAATCATAGTGCATCAGCACATTGTCTGCTTGATGCAGTGGTGGCTCCCCTTAAACATTTAGGAAGTTGCTACATCTGGAAGGATAAAAAACTCAGAAATATGGCCTGGCACGGTAGCTCATGCCTGTAATCCTAGCACTTTGGGAGGCAGAGGTGGGCAGATTGCCTGAGCTCAGGAGTTCGAGACCAGCCTAGGCAACATGGCGAAACCCCGTCTCTACTAAAAATACAAAAAATTAGCTGGGCATGGTGGTGTGCACCTGTAATCCCAGCTACTCGGGAGGCTGAGGCACGAGAATTGCTTAACTCGGAGGCAGAGGTTGCAGTGAGCTGAATTCATGCCACTGCACTCCAGCCTAGGTGACAGAGCGAGACTCTGTCTCAAAAGAAAACAAAACCAAACAAAACAAAAACTGAGAAATATGGACTTTGGTCCTGAACCTGCTATTGATTAATTGGGTATCTGAGGAAGCTCTTTCTCTTGTCAGGGCTTCAGCTTCTACCAGAAAAATCTAGGGAGAGAGGGATGGTGAGACCAAGTGATCTCTTAAGTTTCTCTTCACTTGAATGTTCTTAGGAATAGCTTCAGTTGCTGACATGTCTGCAATTTGTTTATTACGATTTGCCTCCCATGTCCCTAGGATCATTCTGCTGGACCAAGTTTCTGAGGAGCTTTTTATTTTATTTTATTTTATTTTATTTTATTTTATTTTTTAGAAAGGGAAAATGACTTGCTAGCAGTTACAAGATGTGCCCAGTTTCCCTATCTCTTTTGGTCCAGTTTTCTTTCTGCTGTCAGCTGCAGAGCTTAGTACATGATGGGAGGATCACTGTACTTTCTATAGCGCTGGGAGATTAGAGGAAAAAGGGATTAATAAACCATGGAGTGGTTGGGGAAGACTAAATGGTAGATAAAGGCTTGGGCCCTTTGGGTCCTGATGGAGGGGTGAGGATGCAGAGAATTCTCACCAGGCAGAGAGAAGGGAGTCAGGCATTCCAAGTAAACCAGGATGGAGAGGAAGGGTCTGTGTCTGGATGTGTCAGGAGCTGGCCTGGTGAGAGAAGGAAGCACCAGGAAATGAGGCCAGGGCCTTAAAACCAGGCAGAATGGGAGATTAGACTTGATGCTCTAGGACCCTGATACCCAAAGTGTGGCGTGGGAACTAGAAACATCAACATCACCTGGGAGCATGTTAGAAATGCAGAATCTTAGCCGGACGCGGTGGCTCACGCCTGTAATCCCAGCACTTTGGGAGGCCGAGGCAGGTGTATCACTTGAGGTCAGGAGTTCAAGGCCAGACTGGCCAACATGATGAAACCCCACTTCTACTAAAAGTACAAAAATTAGCCAGGTGTGGTGGCACACACCTGTAATCCCAGCTGCTCGGGAGGCTGAGGCAGGAGAATCGCTTGAATCTGGGAGGCGAAGGTTGCAGTGAGCCGAGATCGCACCACTGCATTCCAGCCTGAGGGACAGAGCAAGACCCTGTCTCAAAAATAAAAAATAAAAACAAACAAAAAAGAAATGCTGGGCCGGGTGCGGTGCCTCACGCCTGTAATCCCAGCACTTTGGGAGGCCGAGGTGAGTGGATCACGAGGTCAGGAGATCGAGACCATCCTGGCTAACACGGCGAAACCCTGTCTCTACTAAAAAAAATTACAAAAAATTAGCTGGGCGTGGTGGCGGGCGCCTGTAGTCCCAGCTACTCAGGAGGCTGAGGCAGGAGAATGGCGTGAACCCCGCAGGCAGAGCTTGCAGTGAGCCGAGATCACGCCACTGCACTCCAGCCTGGGTGACAGAGCGAGACTCCGTCTAAAAACAAACAAACAAAAAGAAATGCTGAATCTCAGGCCCAGCTCAGCCCTGCTGAATCCACATCTGCATTTTAACAAGATCCAAAGGTGACTTCATACCCCTTGAAGTCTGAAAAGTGCTATAGTTCAGGACATTTGTTCTCAGTGGTACTGATCACTGGGCCCCACCCCAGGCCCCCTGAATCAGAATTTTCTAGGGATGGGGCTTGGGCACTGGAAGTTTTAAGAAGCTCTAACCTGTAGCCAGGGCTGAGAACTACTGTTCTCATGGTTATAAAGCAAGAATGACAATGTCGGTTCACAGAAGAACATTTAATAAAGATCAGATAGGCAGCAGTATGAAGAGTGTACTCAGGAAACAGAAATTAATAGCAACGAACCAAATGTGCATAGTGAAGAAGACAGCTCCATCATGTTGAGTCCTGAGAGTTGAGAAAATGGCTGTGCTAGAAGTTGCTATGGGGAGCTGGTTTGTAGAGGATAATGAGAAGTGAATTTGGTTTTAGACATTTTCACTGAAATTTGATGGTGGCAACATCTACCAGGAATTAGTTGATGTGGCACTGAGCTTTGGTTAAAGGGCAGGACTGGAAATTTGAACTTGTAATTTATTATCACCAAGGTGGAAGCTGGAGTCATATAAATGGTACAAGACAACCGGATAACAGAATAAAGGCTTTTGTTGTGTATAAATTAGAATCGTAGGCTTGGAAGGAATTTTAGATAACTTTAGGCTAAATGTCTATGCATGAACCAAGTGTACTGGCCTTAGTGATAGAGCAAGGGATGTCTTTTCACCTTGGCCATAGCAATCCTCTGCTTAGAGTCTGTGAAGGACCATGGCCTGGGCCACCTTCAGAGCCCTGTGGGGCTCATTACCAGAGGGCCTGGCCTATGTGAAGTTCCCCTGCCAACACTGTGACTCATCCACACACTTCCACAGTGATATTTTCAAAGTACAATTATGTGTAGCAGAATGTCTTTTCCATGGCTGACAATGTTGCCCATCTGTGAAGTCATTAAGCTCTTGTGCTCTAAAAGCAGGGAGGAGGTAAACAGTGGCAGCAAATTGGGAACCTGCTTGAATGATGGGAGCCTGGGATTCACACTCTATGCCGGGGCTCTGGATCCCTGATAACCTTCTTTTTAAGGGAGTATGGGAGTTGAGCATTAATGCATGGTTCATCCCTGCAGTTGGGTGCAAACCAGATTGAAAATACACACTGGGGCCAGGTGCAGTGGCTTATGCCTGTAATCCCAGCACTTTGAGAGGACAAGGTGGGAGGATCGCTTGAGACCAGGAGTTCAAGACAAGTCTGTGAAACATAGTGAGACCCTGTCTCTACAAAAATAAAAATTAAAAAATTAGCTGAGTGTGGTGGCATGCTCCTATTGTCCTACCTACGCAGGAGGCTGAGGCAGGAGGATTGCTTGAGCCCAGGAGGTTGAGGCTGAAGTGAGCCAGGATCATGCCTTTGCACAATAGCCTAGGTGATAGAGTGAGACACTGTCTCTAAAAAAAAAAATTAAATTAAAAATGAAAATGCACACAGATGAAAGAAGTAGGCTTGGAATTGGAAAACCAGGATTCAAATCTTAGTTCTGCCATGTATTGGCAGTAGCCAAGCCCAGGTTTCCTCCTTAGTAAATGAAGAATTTTGTCTTTTTCACAGGGCTGTAGTGAGCAAATGAATATTGTATGTGAGAGTGCTTTGCAAACTATAAGGTACAATACAAATATAATACTTTTTAAAGAAAGGATGTATAGACAGGTGAGGAAGAAGAGAACCAAATACAATTGGAAGATCTATTGATCTATTTCCATGTTAATTTGGTGGTGGGGGTATGGTTAGGAGGGTGGGGATTGGGGGTGAGGGTTTTTATCTTTCCTAGTGTACCAAAAGGCAGGAATCTGCCCATTTACTTCTATCTCTGTTAAGGTCTACTCATTCTTCCTCCTTCAGCCTCCACAGTCAATCCTTAAGGTTTTTATGCACCTATATTGTACACCTGGTTATGTGTGCACACCTGGCCCTTGGCAAAATTATGCAGAAAGCAAAGTTGCATATAGTGACCCTAGATATTCCCTTTGGAGTAGTCTTCTGAAAGCAGGTGTAGACATTCCACTTCCTGAGAACAAGGTGCTCATATCCTCTTTCTTCCATCTCTTACCTGAGAAGTAAAGGGCTTGTTATGATATTCCAGGGATATTTGCATTTCAGATGGAGGACTGGAGCTTTAAGCTATGACGTTGGAATTTCTGGCATCAGTGAACTGGGTGGAAAAGTGTAGAATTTGATCTTTCTGGCATCCTTGAAACCATAATACACAGTCTTCCATCAGGTCATTGGGCTAGCTTTGAGGCGGAATATTTTCCAGCCCTCAAAGCTGTCATAAATTGTATTATTTACGTGATAAGTCCTATGAGATTCTGTGAAACAGATCCAGTTGCATTACTTTGCAGGGATTTTATGAGAATCAAGAAAAGAACAGAAGAGAATAAGCTATTGTGCTTTTCACATAAGTACTATTGAAACACAAGGGCATTAACATTCCTTATGCTGCCAGAATCTATTCAGAATCACAGAAAGCTACAACCAGAAGAAATCTTACAAAAAGCAATTCATCTGTACAGTGCAATGTCTTCAAACTTTAGAATGAATCAGAATCACTTGGAGGGTTTGCTGAGACAGATTACTGGGCCCCACCTCTAGAGTTTCTGATTCAGTAGGTCTGAGGTGAGTTGGAGAATCTGGATTTCTATCAAGTTCTCAGATGATGCAGCTGCTGCTGTCGGGGCAACTACACTGAAAACCATGGGTCTTGTGGTTTATTATGGATTTGGAAATAGAGTCTTGCTCTGTTTCCCAGGCTAGAGTGCAGTGGCGTGATCATAGCTCACTGCAGCCTTGACCTCCTGGGCTCAAGCAATCCTCTTGCCTCAGCTTCCTGAGTAGCTGGGACTAGAGGCATGCACCACCATGCCTCCACACCTTGCTCTCTCTCTAGAGAGAGACAGGTGTCTCTCATAGAGACAGAGTCTCACTATATTGCCCAGGCTGGTTTTGAACTCCTAGCCTCAAGTGATCCTCCCACCTTGGCCTCCCCAAGTACTAGGATTGCACGAGTGAACCACCACACCTGGCCATTATTCTAGTTCTAAATTGTACCACTGCAGAGTTCTAGGATGTCAACTAAGTGTGGCCAGGAAGAGAACCTTGATCTTCTGCCTCGTCTTGTTAAATCTTCCTCAGGATGATGACCTTGCCTTTAGCTGTCTCTGGTGAGCTATAATAATTGGGGCACTTTGGAGATTCATGAAGAAGTATTTAGAGGAGGAAGTAAAGGGACTAGAGGGAAGAAACTTCCAAGAAGAAAGGTCTATGGGTGATGAAAGGAACCCAGTTAGGCCCAAGGAGCTGGGAAAGGAAGCCAAGAAGTGGCCTGCTGAAGGGAAGGGAGGCAAGCTATGGGTAGAAAGTTCAGAATCCTGAAAGACCTTTTTATACCACTTAGATATTTAGCTTCCTGGGACAAGATGTCCAATCTTCTATCTTTTGGCTATTCTGTCACATCATTAAAAGTCTAGTCTGTTTGTGATGTAGTGTGTTTGCAAAAACTCTCCCATACACCCTGGCATTCTTTGTTAATTGCCATTAAAGTCATGTCAGGTTTTGAAAAATTATGGTGTTCTTGACACTGTTCCCTTTCAGCCTCACGTGTTCCTTGTATTTATCACAATGGAACACTAACAAATATTTATTCAGTTTTATAGACATGTTGACAATAAAGTCTACCATGTGTGTCTCCCTGCCATGGTGATTATTTTGCTCAATATGTGATTGACTGAGATTTTTCAGTGTATTATAAACACACATTAAAAATAGGAACATAAAAAAGATAAAACAGAAAAATGGAAAGTTCCATATTTCTGGATGCAATACCATGCCAACCTGGTTATTAGGACACGAAACAGATAATTTTTAGTGAGTTATCTAAGTTTGTATAATGATTCTTCTTCAAATAAGTAGTTTTGGATCCCATAACCTTCCTCTTCAAAAATTTCTCGAATTAGAACCTTTTAAAAAGTACTTTTTCCTCTGTGTGTTTGTTCCAATAACCTAGGAAATATAAAGTTTGGCTATTTTACCAAACTTTCAAACCCACAGTCCAATTCCAATTTTTAGCATCCATTTTAAACCATAAGCATGAAGCTGCAAGAGGTCACTGCATTTTCATATTGCATTTTTGTCAAACAGAAAGAGAACTACTGAAGTGGCTAAGTCCTCTCTACTGTGTTAATCAAAGGGAATAGAGGGGTGGTGCTTATTTCAAAGGGTCTTATTAGAAAACTGGGATTACAAAAGGTCAATATTTTTAATGATTTCCTATTTAATGATCCTCCAAAGTCCTGTTTAACAAGCTTATGTCAGTATTAAGGATTTGTGACTTAGTGTTTTTTTTTTTTTAAGTAGTAAGAAAGGTAAACAGGTCCACATACATGGTAGGTGCCAAGTCGGAGAGACACTGGTGCCATTTAAACTTCAGTTTTGTTTTGTGAATTAAATATTTAAACAACTGCTCTGAAGAAACAAAAATGTAACTGTAATGTTTGAACTATAAAATTTCTGACGTTTATTGACTTTCTGGATCTCCCTAACAACTTCCTGTCCTCATAAATTTGCTCCTGTGGTTGATTGGATGCAGATCTGTGTGATTTTTTCATTGCAGTGTGTGACTATACCAGTTTTATTTCCGGTAGCTAGCTTATGCTTTTAACCTGGAGATAGCTGTGTAGTGGTGTTGACTGAAACCAGTGTTGTGTGGGGTGTGTGTATGCCTATAATTACATTCAGCATGAGCCATGGGGCTGCATTTATGTGCATGTGTGTAAATAGCTATTTCACTATGATCTCTGTCCTGCTTTGGGGTTGTCAGCATTGATTACTGAATCTTAAATACTAAATAACAGAAATTAAAATTAAGCAAAATTCAAAGACTATTAAAAAAAACCACTGTGTTCAGTTGCTTTGGGACTGTATTTGAACGACAGAATGCACTTAAGAAAAAGGAGAGCCATTACAGTGGATTGTATTAGGTCGGTGCAAAAGTAATTGCACCGACCTAATATTTTAATTGAGGTGGTGAGTTAAGTTCTAAAGTCAGGACATAAAGGTAAAAACTAAGACCAATCAAAGGAAGGACAGACTCCTGCCAGCACCACTTAAGTGGCTCCCTCCGTCCCTCTGTAACTGAGTATATTTAAATTCACATGAGTTATATGATTTAACTTGATGGTATGTGTCAGAAGCTCTGAAACAGTATTTTAAATGTTTGCAATACATAAACAAGATGGGTGATATTATCCCTGTTTTAAAGGTGAGGAAACTGAGGCCCTAAGAGGGTAAGTGACATCCCCCAAACAACATAGCTAGTAGCTGGCAGAGCCAGGATTTGGGCCCAGTTCTATGTGTCTCCAAAGTCTAGGCTCTCCAGTACGCCATCCTAGAATGTGAAGAACTCTTAGGGATCATGTTATATAACCAGTTTATTTCACAGATGGGAAACTTCAGACTTATTCCCTCCTTTCAGTCAGCATGGATAATGGGGTGTTGACTGCATATTCTAGACTCTGCCAGGATTTCCCAACTCTGGAAGTGGAGAGTACTTGGTGCATCAGAGAGTGATGGATAAGATTTAAGAATTGGGTCAAAGGGGATGGGAATGAACCAGTTAAAGGAATTGGAATTACTTTGTCTGATGTGAAATGTAAATCCTATTCTTCGAGTGAACAGTCACTTGATGAAGGATAAAGACCAGCTGGACTCCATGCAATGAGGCCAAAGCAAGAAGAAAGGACTTTAAATTTTGCTGGGTGAGGCCTAAGTCAGTTGTAATGGAGAAGTCCTGATGGTGGTGGGGTATGGCGGTGGATGGGGAGAGTAGCGAGTTAGCACCATGGGGTAGGGGACCTCACTAGACAGTAAGCTGCCCTCTGCTGGCTTCCTGTTTTCCCTGCCCAATCTCAGAGTAGCGCCGCCCCTCACAGTAACTAAAGAAATTCATCAACAAATCTTGTATTGATTAAGACAAAAAGTGACATCTTCTTAATGGATCCATCAGACCTTTCTGTGCTCTACAAATCTTTTCATCCTCTGATCTACCTTGCCCACTAAGGTTAGAGCTATTTTCATGAAGTACGACTGATTCCATTCCTCTGCTCAAAAATGAACCAAAGCAGCCTGAGCAGCTGTTTTCAAAGTGTGGTCTATGGACCCCCAGAGGTAAGGTGGCCAATTGTGGCAAATAAAAATACAGAAAGCCCAAGGAAATTTCAGTTTCAAATAAACAGCTTTTTTTTTTTTTTTTTTTTTTTTTTTTTTTTTTTTTTAGTGTAAGTATGCCCCATGCAATATTTGGACATCCTGTATTTTATCTGGTAACCCTACCTGGGGGACCAAAAGGCCCTCTCTTTGAGGTCAAGACTATTTTCACGGTAACATTAAGACTTATTTGTCTTCCCTAATGTGTTGACATTGCACTGATGGTACAAAATCAACAGTGTTTAAAACTGCTGGTGTCTTAGCATGAATCAGGGCAGTGACACCAAAGTGTACTGGTGGATGCTGCCTTATTCTGTCATGCACTCACTGTAAAAAAAAAAAAAAAGCCAGTTTTACTTAATAATCTCCTTGATGAAGCAGTAAAAATAATTAACTTTATTAAATCTTAATCCTTGGGTAGATGTCTTTTTAATATTCTGAGTAACAAATTAGGACAAATGCATAAAACATTTCTGCTGTATATGATTTCCTCACTTGTGTGATGGTTTGAGGTAGGAAGCTGAATGGCTTTTTCATGGAACACCATTTTTACTGAAAAACTATGTTTATTCAGACCTAAGTATTTGGCAGTTATTTTCTTGAAAATGAATGAAGTAAGCCTGTTACTTTAAAGAAAATCTTGACAGTATTTGTGCCAATTACAAAATTTCAGCTTTCAAGTGAAAATTAGAATTTTGAAAAACTTCTGTCTACCACAGGGAGCTTGACAGTTTCCCAATACTTAAAGACTTTCTGATGAGATTGGTGGTGATAACAATGAATGTGGCTTTTTGATATTGTATAATGAAACGTGTCAACATTTGGAAAACCTGTGTAACTCAGTGAACCAGGATTTTCCAAATGACCAATGCATAATGTTACCAAATCATGCATGGGTAAAAGATCCATTCAAACTGTGAAATAGACTGATAGAATTTAATGTAACATTGTAGAAAGTTTCACTGACATGGTTTGAAATAACACATTTCAACTAACTTTTAAAAGTCAAGTTTTGGTGTCATGGCAAAGAATAATATCCACGATTATCTGAAAAGGCGATTAAAACAGTCCTCCTATTTCCAGCTATATACCTGTGTGAGGCTGAATACTCTTCACATACTTCAGTCCAAACATTCTATCACTACTGATTGAATGCAGGAGCACAAAGGAGAATCCAGCTGTCTTCAGCCAGACAGTGAAGAGATTTGCAAACAATAAGAACACCACTCTTCTCACCATTTTGTTCTGGAAAACAGTTACTTTTCATTTTTAAAAGTATGTTAGAACACGTAATGGGCTTGTGACTATTTTCAAGTGAATTATAAATGATTTAAAAAATGTTCTAAGCCGAGTGCAGTGGCTCATCCCTGTAACCCCAGCACTTTGGGAGGCTGAGGCAGGAGAATCATTTGACAAAGCGAGACCCCCATCTCTACAAAAAAATTTTAAAAAAGGTTGCAGTGAGCTGTGACTGTGCCACTACACTCCAGCCTGGGTGACAGTGAGACCCTGTCTCTGAAAAACAAAAACAGAAACAAAAAGCTCTTTATAATTGTTAGGAGTCTAAAGAGGTCTGAGATTTAAAAAAAAAAAAAATCAGAACTGCTGGGGCAGGGTAACACCTAGACTGCTGAGCCAGACACTAGGGACCTGACACTACTTACTCTGTGCTGCCTTTGCAATCTTCCTTATCACCACTATCTCTTAAGTCCCCCTAGGTCCCAGCCTAACCATTTACTTATTAATTTCTGCATGTACTCTGGACTTCTCAGCCTGACTTTGTGCATCCCATTCATTCCTCTACCTGGAACACATGTCCCCACCCGCTTAATCCGCCTGTTCTGGTGGTTAGTGGGTCAGGGCTATCCCCTCTTAGCACCAGGGCCTGTGGATGGAGGAACTCATTCAAACCCAACTACACAGTTTGTTTAAGGATATGTTCTGCATATAGCCTTCAGGATCTGTTTATCTTCCTTAATTAGAATTCCTGGTGTGCAAAGGACCCAATTTTCCCTCTGTTTTATATTTTTACCATCTAAGGGCCAAGTGTGCTACCATAAACTTTATGGGATTTTTGTAAATATCAGCTGACAATTTCTGGTGATCTATGTGGGCTTTTATGATCCTGTGCAGACTAATCAGAGTATTTAGTGCCCGCTGTGAGCATAACACTTAGCAGCAGGGAGAGGGGGTTAAGGAGGTGATCCTTGCTTAAGGACCCACACGGTGGTTGGAGAGACAGGATTTATAGCCAAGAAGCAATCACACAAGACACAAGAATGTATGTCATCAAAGGGGAAGCCAGGTGCTGCAGGCCTTTAGGGAAGGGGAGGTGGGGGTGGGGGCACACGAGTGTCCATAGCAGCAGTAGCAATCAGAGAAGTCTTCTGGAGGAGGCAGAGACTTGACCGAGGCTTTTTCAATGGAGAGGGGTTAGTGAGAGGTCAGCAAGTCAACAAGGTAGGGATTCCTGGTCAGCGAATAAACAGGAGCCAAAGCAGAGAGTCAGAAATGAGCACAGCATGTTCACAGTCTAATGAGACTGCTGACCACAGTTTAAAGTGAATGGTGCGAGATGATAAGGTTGAACGCTAGTCAGAGGAGTTTAGGTTGAATGTGGAAGGAAGGAGGAAGAAAACATTTTTTGGTCAGGGAAGTGACATGGTGTGTTTTGAACAAGATGGATTATTTGTGGGAGGAAAAATGGAGAATGGGCATCTTGTGCATGACCTGGGGTGTGAGATGGTGAGGTTCTGGACTGGGCCATCAGCAAGGTTTTTTGAAATGCAGTGCACGCAGGTAATCATGTCTGGCATGCCAGCTCAGTGCGTTCAAGTGGGAGTGCTTTATAAATAAGGTCATGGAGATTAAGACCCCACAATAGTGTGTTAGCAACATAATTGGGTTGTAGCACATGTAGCTGATTTAGAGCTGAAATCTTTTGTTTTAGCCTTTCCTCATGTCTTGTTGGCTCAGCTACTAAGTAATTGTGTGTGGTTTTGGGCGAGCTACTTAACTCCTCAGTGTCTTGGTTTTGTTGTCTGTAAAATGAGTTTTGTTTTTTTTTTTTTTTAGAGTTTTGCTCCGTTGCCCAAGCTGGAGTGCAGTGGCACAATCTCTGCTCACTGCAACCTCCACCTCCCAGGTTGAAGTGATTCTTCTGCCTCAGCCACCCACGTAGCTGGGACTTAAGGCGCACGCCACCATCCCCAGCTAATTTTTGTAATTTTAGTAGAGATGGGGTTTCACCATGTTGGCCAGGCTGGTCTCAAATTCATGGACTCAAGCCCGCCTTGGCCTTCCAAAGTGCTGGGATTATAGGCATGAGCCACTGAGCCTGGCCAAAATGAGGGTTTTATAGTACCTCGTAGGCTTGTTACGAGAATTAAATGAGTTAGTACATATAAAGTGCCTACCCTAGAACCTGGCACACAGGAAGCCTTTAAAAGATCTTATTATTTATTTATTCAGTAGTTTGCATTATCATGGGAATATAAATATTTAAATTACCCAATGGGCCAACGCATCTAGAGCTGTGCTGAATCAAGGCCCTCAAAAAAAAAAAATGCTTGCTGGAGACATCGCCAAGATGAGACTCATTCAGAAACTGGGATGGAATGTCAAAAACTCCAATTCAAGGCTGAGCAGTGGCTCATGCCCGTAATCCCAGCACGCTGGGAGGCTGAGGCAGAACTGCTTGAAGCCAGGGCTTGCAGCTTACAGTGAACTATGATCACACCACTGCACTCCAATCTGGGCAACATAGTGAGACCCTGTTTCTAAAAATAATTATTTAAAAAAAAAACCCCAAACCCTCCTGCAATACCATAAACTTGTTAAGATCTAACGCACAAAACCTGGAGACCGAAACCACAATTTAATCATGTCACTTTTGAGCTAAAACAACTTCACTGGCTCTCACTGCCAAGAAATTGAATCTGGTCTTCTTAGCCAGCCAGCCTTCCTCCACAGATTTGGGTTGGCCTTTCCAGCCTCCTCCTCCTCTAGCCCAGGGGGTCTTTGCCTCAGCCACACTGTGCTCCTGCTCATTTTTAAACACACCCACCTTGCACTTCAGTCTCCCCTGTGCCTTTGCTCTTACCCCCAAAGCTCATTCCTCATACATCATTTATGCCCTGTAAAAGTAGTCACCTGTTTTTAATAGACTTTATTTTTTTTAAGAGCAGTTTTAGGTTTACAGAAAAATTTTGCAGCAAGGACAGAATTCCCATATATTCTCTCCCCCAACAGTTTCTCCTATTAACATCTTGCATTAGTGAGCTACACTATATACACAGTTATAACACTGGTACACCCCAGTGTTATAATTGATGAACCAATATTGTGGTACTACTATTAACAAAAGTCTATAGTTTGCATTAGGGTTTATGCTTTGTGGTGTACAGTCCAACGGGTTTTTGACAAACGCATAATGTCCTACGTCCATCATGGCAGTATCATAAAGAATAGCTTCACTGCCCTAGAATTCCCTGTATGCCACCTATTCATCCCTCTTTCTCCCGGTCAGTTTTTAAGAATCAGTTCAAATGCCCTCTCTTCTGTGAAAACATCTCAGTTCCCTCAGTTACAATTAATCTGTCTGATGCTTGTATAGCGCTTTTTCATACTTGTTATAGCTGCTATGTTTGCATGGTATGAAAGAAGTATACACGGCCGGGCGCGCGGTGGCTCACGGCTGTAATCCCAGCACTTTGGGAGGCCGAGGCAGGTGTATCACCTGAGGTCAGGAGTTTGAGACCAGCCTGGCCAACACGGTGAAACCCCGTCTCTACTAAAAATACAAAAATTACCTGAGGGTGGTGGCGCGCGCCTGTAGTCCCACCTATTCAGGAGGCTGAGGCAGGAGAATCTCTCTTGAACTCAACAGGCAGAGGTTACAGTGAGCTGAAACTGCATCACTGCATTCCAGCCTGGACAACAGAGTGAGCAAGACTCCGTCTCAAAAAAAAAAAAAGTATACAAACTTTTCTTCTGTCATTAGGTTGTCCTTGAGGAAGGAACTGTGCCATAGATTTGTCCTGACATCTAGACCAGACCCTTATTCTTAACCGGTGCCTTATGAATGCTGGCTGCACTGAACTGAACAATGAGCAAATATGGTTCGGCTCAGTCATCCACTAGATACAGTATTTTTCCCTCTAGACAGGAGCTGCTGTTTGCAAATCTCCCCCATTCCAAATCTGAGCCAGCAAAGGTATCATAAAACAAACTTGCTCAGGGAATTTTGTAGAAAAGGCCTCAAGAGGCAAGGCTTTAGACCAGGAGTTCTGAAAGTGACATGTGTACTTGTGAATTTCATACATGCTCCTTGGATGGGCTAGTTTCTTTGGAGGGAACCGTCTTCTATTCCCTTCAGATTTTGGATCAGAAGCAGCCATAGGAGAGGTGGCCCAGGCCAGCTTTATATTGTTACTAGACCGTAGGGCGATTTCTCGCCTCTCCAGTCTCCAAAAACAAAGCACAAAAAAGGACAAGAGCCTGGTTGTTTTCATCCTCACGGACCAGACACCCCCTCAGGAAGGCCTCTGGAGAGTCTTCTGTCTGGTCCCCAGTCTCTCTGCCCAGGTGCCCCCCAACAATTGAGGATGACTAGTGTGTTCTCTTTGGGTAAGGAGCACCTTCCCATAAACACTTATTTTTCTTAATTCACGCTGAGCTTTTACTTTATTTTCGCTTTAAAGTCACTGTTCTGAAACGTTCTAAAACGCCGTAGGAACATGCAGATAGGAACAAAAGCAAATAAATCGAATCCTGTGAAGTAACAAAGCAGACGCCCTTCTCCTAACAGGCAGCACAAAGCTAAATGAAAAATATCAGTCATCCACTAGATAAAGTATTTTCCCCTTTAGACAGGAGCTGCCGTTTGCAAATCTCCCCCACCCTAAATCCAAGCCAGCGAAGGTATCAAAAAATAAACTACTCCCTTCAGCTCCCAGACTGGAGGCAACAGTTTCAGCAGCACCGTCTATTTCCTTGAACAACACGAGCGGTTTGAAAGACCTTGGCTTTGACTTCCCTGTACCTGCCTCCAAACACACGTGGGGGCGGGGTGGGGTGGGGGGAGATATTGCCCCCCATCCCCGTTGCCTTCCGCGACGCCAGGCCAGGCGCAGGGCAGGGGAGAAGATGGGGGGCGCCCTGGATTCGCGGTTCCAGCTGCAGGCAGTTACCTGGGGTAGTGAGTGCTCTCTACAGACCCGGGCTACCCCAACCCCCCCGATTCCAGAAAGGGCCGGAGAAAAGCAGGGGGCGCCTGCCCCGCTCCGGAGCAGCCAGGGAGCCCGGCCGAGCCTTGACGAGGATGAGCTCGGAGACCGCAGCAGCTACCGCCCGCTAGCACCTGAGCTCCCAGGGGGCGGGGCCTCCTCCAGGTGTGCGCAGAGGAGGCCGGCGCGGAGTCGGGGCCGGCGCGGGAGCCCGAGCTGTCCCCCAGCCCAGAAATGCGCGGGGAGGAGCGGTTCATCCGCACCCCAGCGCCGCGGGAGACACTGGCGCCGCCTGCCTCCTCCGGGTCCCGGGGGGAGAGCGCACCGTGCGGCGCGGAGGGGGTTAACCGGGCAGCCCGCCGCTGGAGCGCGCTTAACCCTTTGGAGCCCGCAGGTCAGCCGGGCCAGGCTGGGGTGGCGGCACCCCGAGTCCCACGCGACGGCCACCCCGAGCGCGCAAGTGGTGCCGGGCAGAACCGCGCGCCGGGCTGCAGACCCGCCGGGGCGCGGCGCGGCGCGGGCCGTGGGCGGCTCGGGGCGGGCGGAGGGCGGGGGACGGCGGCGGGCGCGCAGCGTCGCCAGGGCGAAGCCGGCGTGCGGCGCGGCGCGGCGGGCGCGGAGCGAGCGGGCGGGCGAGCGCCTCCGTCCCCGGATGTGAGCTCCGGCTGCCCGCGGTCCCGAGCCAGCGGCGGCGCGGGCGGCGGCGGCGGGCACCGGGCACCGCGGCGGGCGGGCAGACGGGCGGGCATGGGGGGAGCGCCGAGCGGCCCCGGCGGCCGGGCCGGCATCACCGCGGCGTCTCTCCGCTAGAGGAGGGGACAAGCCAGTTCTCCTTTGCAGCAAAAAATTACATGTATATATTATTAAGATAATATATACATTGGATTTTATTTTTTTAAAAAGTTTATTTTGCTCCATTTTTGAAAAAGAGAGAGCTTGGGTGGCGAGCGGTTTTTTTTTTAAATCAATTATCCTTATTTTCTGTTATTTGTCCCCGTCCCTCCCCACCCCCCTGCTGAAGCGAGAATAAGGGCAGGGACCGCGGCTCCTACCTCTTGGTGATCCCCTTCCCCATTCCGCCCCCGCCTCAACGCCCAGCACAGTGCCCTGCACACAGTAGTCGCTCAATAAATGTTCGTGGATGATGATGATGATGATGATGAAAAAAATGCAGCATCAACGGCAGCAGCAAGCGGACCACGCGAACGGTGAGCAGCCAGAGCCCGGGCACCCGCTGCCAAATCCGATCCTGTCATGGTCCTCCAGCCCCCTCCCCCTTCCCCGCGGCGCTGGATGGGTTGAGGGGGTTGGAGAGGGTGCTGCCAGCTCGGTGTCGTCTACACAGAGAGGGGACATGCGTGACAGCCACTCCGCGCTCCCCTCCAGGCCCTGAATGTCAGAGTTAATTCTGCATTTGTGGGGTGGGGGCGGCCGTGGAGTGTGTGGAGCGCGGTGCAGCCGGAGGGGCGGCGAGTCGGGGTGATTCGGGTTCAGTGTCCTCGGGCTCAACTTTCCTTCAACGCCCCCGAGCGATGGCAGGAGGGCCGCAAGTCTTCAGCCGGAGCCCCCTTGCCAGCCTCTTCTCGCCTTCCACTCCTCCCCCGCCCCCTCGTTGACTAGGAAGAAGGTCCCTGGTGGCATCCGGAAAATTCTAGGATTGCCCGGTTTCGCCCTCCGCGCCGGTGGGTGAAGCACACCCATCCCCTCGCGGGGGAGGCCCGGCCTCGGTATCGGGGAAAGGGGTTCGGGTGGAGCGTGCGTTCCCGCTCCCGTCGCCGGCTGTGCACACGTCGGTAACCTAGCAATGCCCGGGGAGCCGCTGCCGCTGTGGGGCTCCCCTCCCCAGCTCTGGCCCGGGCACCACGTGCAGCTTCCACGCCGGCCGGGGCTGGGTCGAGGGAGGATGGAGCAGCTCCTGGCCAGCCCTCCCCTTTGGAGACCGCCAGTGCCCCCCAACCCCTGTCGGCTGGAAGCCTTTCCGGGTGAGCGCTCCCCTAGGGAGAAGCTTGACATGACTCGACTCGTCCCCGCTCCGATTGCCCGCCGCTCGCCCGCTTTGCCCTCTTCTCAGGCTTTCAGACCCGTGCTTGCTTTGACTCTTTACTTAGCAATAATTGGCTTTGCAAACGCCCATCTCTCTACCTTGC
Source organism: Homo sapiens (assembly GCF_000001405.40). Classification (NCBI taxonomy): domain Eukaryota; kingdom Metazoa; phylum Chordata; class Mammalia; order Primates; family Hominidae; genus Homo; species Homo sapiens. The sequence continues at coordinate 53,496,173 of NC_000003.12, forward strand.
TGTCACCTCTCTCACTTCTGCTTCAGTGAGGAGACTGTGGCGGAAGGCGGCAGGTGCCTGGGAGATCTGCCTGGGAGATGGCCTGACCCAAAGCTGGCGGGGGCTTCGCATAGGGAGCCTCCTTGAGTTTCTGCCTTGTGTGCACCTGGATACCAACCTACACGGAGATAATTCCCTCTTAGGCCTGGAGGCCCCTGGCATAATCCAGTCAGTCTATCCTAGGTGTAGGGGTGCAGGCTGACTGCCTTGTCTGTCTCTCTGGATGCTGGCTTGGCTGATGCTGCTGCAATTTAAAATGCAAAAAAGCCCTAAAGATGTTTTCTGTTTTCGGAAGCCTGTGGAGGAAATGAGTCCCAAGCATCATGAATTTTCATTTGCAGGAAGTGTCAGTGCATAATCTAGATATTTGTTATGGGGTTTTTGGTATTGCCTGGGTGCCTATGGAAGATTTTTTTTCGGTACTGAAAAAAATGCATTTGTGGCTGTGGAAAGATGTTGGAGTAACACTCTGAAAATGATTAAGACTATTGAATTATTGGTACTGCCTTTTTTTTTCCCCTTGGTGATGGTGGTAGTTATGTTAGAGAAAAGCTGTTGTATGTATCTGTTACTCATTAGAGATAGATGGGTTTTACAAATCAGAGATGCGGAGTAAATGTGGGAATGACCTCAGTTTTGTCAGAAGAAATGCACTAAAAGACCCTTTGTGAAGACATGATGTGAAGGAGTACTAACCCCACTGGGTGTGATGCAGCGGTGATCCTGTGTGATTGACACTGAGACCAGAGCTCGTGGACTTTTCTTGACTCTCCAGCTGACTAAAGCCCAGCTTGTGAAAAATAGCACATGAGATTCAAAATGGAAACATAGGAGTGAATGATTCCCCTGTTATTGATGGGAGACAACCTTTGATTTTTTTCTCCTACCCACTGGATCCTCATTTAAAAAAAAAAATCTTTGTTTTTCTCCTTCTCCCCAGAGGCAAACTATGCAAGAGGCACCAGACTTCCTCTTTCTGGTGAAGGACCAACTTCTCAGCCGAATAGCTCCAAGCAAACTGTCCTGTCTTGGCAAGCTGCAATCGATGCTGCTAGACAGGCCAAGGCTGCCCAAACTATGAGCACCTCTGCACCCCCACCTGTAGGATCTCTCTCCCAAAGAAAACGTCAGCAATACGCCAAGAGCAAAAAACAGGGTAACTCGTCCAACAGCCGACCTGCCCGCGCCCTTTTCTGTTTATCACTCAATAACCCCATCCGAAGAGCCTGCATTAGTATAGTGGAATGGAAGTATCCTTTTTTTGGGGGAAGTCTTTCTCATTTTCTCTTTTACCATCTGTTTTTTAAAAGGATTTGCTTTCTGAAGTGACACAAAGCTGTAGCAGTCTGGAATGCGAGTAACAGAAGTTGTATATAAGGGGTTTCATTGTATATACCTTCCTGTCTCTTCGGGTTGCAGAGGGGTGGCTGTACGGGTATATTTAGCCCACTGTCTGGATGTGTGTATAGTAGTAGTAGTAGGGGGAGGGAGTGACAGCCTGAAACTTCACAGGGGCAGATAATTAAAATGTGAAACCAACCTTTGGTTATTGGACATTAGATGGTTAGTTTTAAATTCAGTGTTGTCTTTGGGCAATAGCATGCATTGAACCTATTGCAAACAAGGTATACAGATTAGAAAAAAAGACTGTATAAGACTCTGTTTGAAGGGAATACATTTTTGACCTTTAGTAGAATCTTCTCATTCTGATGTTTGAAATTTGCTTCTGCAACTACAATTAATGCTAAGGTTGCTTCTAGTCTGACATTTGGTGATTCTAATTATTCAGGTAGCTGCAGATATGAGCACATGCTTCCTAGGGAGAGATTACTTTTGATTTTTTTTCTCTGATCAGTGCTATAACTTCCTGGAATTTCCTTTTGACAAGTTCCAAAGAAGCATTTGGAACGTGAGCATGAGGGAGCCAGTGAAGGGAGAGGCTCGTGTGTGCCTCTTCCTCCTGGGCCCTTATGAGTTATAGAACAGCCTTTTCAGTGGAGGAATTTGCAGTTGCTGCCTTTATAAAAAATTCTGTCTATGTCCTTGGACTGGAGGTACATTTCTGGGTGTCTCCTTTGTATTTTTAAAATTGAACTCCAAATGCCCCAGAATGGCTGTCATGTCCCAGATCTTGGAAAACGATTGTGCTTCAGCCTGCTTAACCCCTTCCCTAAATCTGGAGGCCAACCTCCAGTTACTGCCACTCTTCAGAGAAGGTTGACTGAGGCCTTCTTTCTGAGCAAATGGCTTTTTAATTAGGCAGATGATTCATTGGTCTGGGTAAAGTAAAGCATTTCCTTTCCCCAGAAGTGTGTTTGGAACTGTCAGGGGCCTTAGAACAGTTCCTAACTATAGGAAGGGGTGTGAATGTAGGAATTCCCTCCACCAGGCCCAGAAGGATGGAGGGGCCACACCAAAAAGGGAGGATGTTGGCAGCCAGCTAGAAAGTGGAGCTGAAATCCCCTTATAATTTGAGGATCTAGCTCGGCAGCTATTTGCATGCCCTCTGTCTTTAGCTGGCTATTTTCTGTGCTAATGGACAGGAGTTAAAATGAGGTAACTGTCTAGAAAGATTTTGGAGAGAGCAGCCAAATGCTAGGGTAGGATTTGAGGGGTTCTCATGTGCTTTTTCATTTTGCAGCAGATGTCCCTTCTCTAGAGTGAGTTATGGTGTCTCTCACATAGCTGGGGTTGTGTGTGTGCATTTTCTTTTGAAGTTCTCTAGTCTGAGAACGAGGAGGGAGCTCGGTAAGCCAGCATGTGGCCCAGTGGCATTGCTAGATTCATGACAATGGCTGTACCTTGCCAGGAAGACCTCAGACTGGCTTGACACGACTCTGAGTAAGCAGAGACCTCTTTGTGGGGTCACTACTTTTGTGTGGAGTAGGTGGGAGGCCTGATGCTGTTTCTCTTTGTGCACGGTAATGTGTACATAGCAATTTTTGCATGCAGAGTGAATTCCTGGATCACGCTGCTGTCTCCCTTTTCCAGTTGCCAGACACATGTGTACAGGAATTAGGGGACGTGGCTGCCAATTCAGGGAGAAGCCTGTTTACAAATGGGACAGTTTGTAAAATAGATAGACCCTTAAGCAATATATGATTTTTTTTTCTCTTTTTTTAATGACAGTTTCCTTCTAATTCAGGGAGCAGGCTATAGAAATCCTTTCCACCCCGGGCAGCTCTGTCAAGGCCCCATCCGCAGTGGGAGAGCAAGGGTCAAGGGTCATTTGTTTTTACAGACAGGCATGACAGAGTGTCCTGCCCCCTGGAGGAGTGAGGGATGTTCTCCTTATCAGAAGGAATTGTTAGGATCAGACCCATCTATTTCTCTATTGCTCTGTTCTGCTTCACTTGTGAAAATCTTATGGCAGTGAGATGGTATCCACTTGTACCTGGAGACCAAAACTGGACCAACATAAAGAAAAAAAAATACAACTTATATTTAGTCTTCCTGAACAGTGTTAGTATTTCTCAGATGTGCTGGTTTATCATTTAGGTATTGGGAAATTGAAAAGGAAGAATACCTATTACTTAGGTATTGGGAAATTGAAAATGAAGAATGGAAGAAAGAGGGAGGGAAGAGACTATTGTGTTTCTATGGAGAACAACATTGGGGCCCTTGACTTTAGATTTCAGTGGGGACCTACAAAAAGGAAAAATGGAAAGGGAATTCTGAAGTCTTAAGGTGGGCTATCTGAAAGTTGGATCCCTGGGTGAAAAAGATTTTATAATATTAGATGAGTTGAGAGAACCAATGTGAATTAAAGCTGACTGGCTTAAAAAAAATAAACCCATCAAAATTAGTAAGGGAATAATGTTATTCATTGCCTTTTTTTCGTTGAGTTATGAAAGCTCTTCGAAGATGAAGGTTTTATGAAACTCAAGATCTCTCCAGAGGCCGGGCACAGTGGCTCACGCCTGTAATTCCAGCACTTTGGGAGGCTGAGGTGAGCAGATTGCGAGTCCAGAAGTGAGCAGATTGCTTGAGTCCAGGAGTTCAAGACCAGCCTGGGCAACATGGCAAAACCCCTGTCTCTACTAAAAAAAAAAAAAAAAAAAAAAAAAAAAATTAGCCGGCGTGGTGGCACATGACTGTAGTTCCAGCTACCTGGGAGACTGAGGTGGGAGGATGGCTGGCTTGAGCCTGGGAGGCGGAGGTTGCAGCAAGTTGAGATTGCGCCAGTGCACTCCAGCCTTGGTGACAGTGAGACCCCATCTCAAAAAAAAAAAAAAAAAATGATATCTCTAGAGAGGTAAAGAGTATTTGTTTCCTGTGGCATTTTTGGATTTCCCAGAAGTATGTCAGGATGAATGGAGAATAGTCTGTTCGTATGCTCCAGTTTTAAGTACCTTGAAGTGTTTAGTTAAACCATGGCCTTGCCTCTTGTGGGTGAGTGTATAGGCGAAGCACTGTGGTAAAATCAAGCCCAGGAATTGCAGATGAGGCTGGTGCTCACAAAACCTTGTATTTGGAAAGGCTGAAAACCCAAAGAAGAAAAACAATCATTTTGGCAGATGTCAAATTTTGTGTTGCCAGTTTTGACAATGTCTCTTAATAACACCAGAATGTTTAGGTAAGTATCTCTTGAAGGCTGATCTCAAAGTGATTCTTCCAGACAGACCACCAAGATTGAGAAATGTTAAAGCCTACTTTGAACGTGTCTGGTGCTGATTTCTTATGGCTTTTTAATTTAATTTGTTTACAAATTGAGCACAGTAACAGCATATTATAAACTGAGCTCCAGTCCGGCTCTAATCTGAAACAGTTATAGCCATCGATTCCTCTAGCAGAGAAAGCAGAGGCGGGAGCTGAAGCCTGGCTCGCTGCTGATCACATCTGAGGTATTGGAATATGCCATGAGAAAGTTATAGGTAGAATGAGAAGGTCCTGGTGGCTTGGCCTGGCCCAGTCCAGACAGGCGATTTAGGCTGACCCTGCCAAGAATAGCCCCTGAGAAAATGGCTCTAACACATGGAGGCAAGGATCTGCGGAAGACATTTATCCCATGATGATTTCTCTGTGTCTACCACAGCCGGGAACTTAGTAAGGCTCTTGTCACTTTTAAACCTGTAAGAAGCAGAAACCTAGTTCACACAGTGCCCTAATTGGATGTACTTTTAGGTTTTAATATGCAGTGTGCAGCCGAAGAATGAGTGTAACATGATCCTTGCAACAGAAGAAAAGGACACGGAGAGGTCATTTGGTAGGAGGCTCCACTGTGAGATGACCACCGATGATTACTTCTGCCGAAAACCTAGCAGTCACAGCAGTCAGCCGAAATAGGATTTGTGTATGTCATTTTCCTTTTAAAAGTGCTTTGAAAGTGGTGTGATCGGGAGTGTGATGAGGGACATGGTTTATGTTTCCATAACACATATATACCTTAACACATTTTTTCAGACCATTTGACATATTTATATTATTGGCTATTTTTGCCAATTGTGTGGCCTTAGCTATTTACATCCCATTCCCTGAAGATGATTCTAATTCAACAAATCATAACTTGGTAAGTGTCCTTAGAGTTCCTGCTGGTCCTGGTATATGGTTATCATTTGCTTCTATACTTAAACTGGCAGCTGGCCTTCTGGGTGGTTGAAGTTTATAGCTATGCATGTCGTGTTTCTTGGAGCTTTGCAACAGTGGTTTTTTGTTTGTTTGTTTGTTTTAACCTGTATTCTCAAATTTATACTGACTGAAAGTATTTAAAGTCATGAATCTTTTATAAATAGATATGGAATTTTTATGGAAGAGATTTGGAGCAGATTTTAAAATAACTGTTATCTCCACATAAGTTTTTGCTACCATTCTTTTCCTGATAATATTAGCTTTTTTCTTTTCTTTTTTTTTTTTTGTTTTTAATCTAGTGTTCTTGGGAGTGGTGGGTACTTTGGTCAGTTGTTCTGGTAAGTAGAGAATTATCGTAGACTTTGTACATGAACTATTTTTAGAGAAGTAGAATATAACAAAACTAATAAATCTACATAGAGCATAATTTGGAGAATAATACATGATATTATTGAATACATGATATAATATTAAAGTTTCTACTCCACGTCCTATGAAATGCTCCAAGAGAAAATGATTGTATGGTTAAATAAATCAGGATGCTTCCATATACTTTGCTGCCTTCTTAAAGATTTATAGTGCACATTAGCTTAGTAAAAGCTTTGGGAAGTTCTGCAGTTAAAAAACAGGTTTCCTTTTATTTAACTCAGCTAGTCCCTAAAAGTAATCAGTCATGAATTCTTTAAACATTTTTTTTTTTTTTGGCAAAAGACTTTAACATCATGGAACCAGTGGTCCATGGAACTTCCTTTGGGAAAGGTTGATATAGTTTTTTTTTTAAAAAAAAAGCACTAAAGAGTACTAGACTGGGACTAGGATCTTGTCCCACTCACCTGTCAACTAGCTGTATTTGGGGTCATTTCTCATACCTTTCTGCATTGCTGTGCAGCCACCTGGCAATTAGGAGGATTGGGTAAGAAGATTGCTAGTATCGTTTTTACCTCTGACATTCTGCAATCTTTCTTTGATGATTCAGAAGCCATTTCAGGATTTTTCTGGTGCTGCAGCATCCTTCTTGCAAGGATTGGTTCTTTGCAATCAGAAGCCATGCAGAATGGGAGATGAAGGGGAGCCCATTCTGGATAACAGGAAACTCTATTGTTTTTCTTCTCTTCTCTTAGCTGGTTCCGTTTGTTTTTGGCTTCTCATGTTGAAGCTCTATTTTAGCAGGGCTGGATGTTCCTAACTGAGCGAGCGTTGTAAAGGCAAACACACTAGGCTCTCCCTTGTGTGGGAGAGCTCTGCTGGCTTCTGAAGATAGTGAAATTATGCTCTTGTGAATAAGCCTTAACGATTTATGTACAGGATTTCATGTTACATTTAAAATGTTGTGGCACATTTCAGATGTAATGTGATGTCTATTTGTATGTGGGCTTTAGTAGTTTGATATCTAGAGAATTTTCTAAAAATTTTGGGAATTGATGCTGAAAATACAACTATAAATGGGAGTCGGATAACCACATAAACACTGGTAGTATATATTTGGACAATGCCAGAGATCATTTGTGTAACTTTGGACATTTTATGTAGCTTTTGATTTCTTTGTAGACATGTGACATTAGATGATTGTTTTAAAGAAAAAGCAGAAGTGGTGGAAAGCCTCCCATCAATGGAGATAGATCATCGTAGTCTAGGCCACAGATGGTGTTAGCCTTGTTACCAAATTTAACGACGTGGATGGTGACCCAGATTGTTACTTTTCGTAGCTCAAGAGAACATGATTAAACAAACTTAGAAAATAAATACCTTTCAGAAAGGCAGATTAATTCAGATCAGTGGAATAATTAATGTAGCTGCATGTGTAAGCCAATTAATATTCTGAATTTTTCCCAGGGAAATTCAGGGCACTGATATAGGCACTGTCAGACCATTTGGATTTCTCAGCTAAGAAGTCAGGAAATAAAATACAGGAAATGGATTAATCTTTCCCTTTTGCACCCCTTCTCCAGTGAATCTTTTCTTGACTATTCTTAAGCTTTGAACTTTTTTTTTTTTTTGTGGGGGGGGATTTGGCAGTGTGTTAATTTGGTGGGCCTTTCTAAAAGCCAACGTATATTCCTTTGACCTCTTCATATAGTATTCTGAAACTCATGGCATTCAACTTTGTGTCTTGCTTTCACTTGGGTGGTCACATGGCCAGATGAATTTTTACTCTGCTTGACTCTTTAAATACTTCCTTTCCCACTGTGGGAAGGGAAGATCTTTGTGGATTTCCTTCTGACTCTAAGCAAGGTCCCATGCCATGTTGGTCCTCCCATGAGGGAGCTGGTTTTTTGTTTTTTTTTTTTTAAATACATTTGACCCAATTTGTACTAGAGTGATTGCTCTATTTTTGGGATTGGTTTAGAGGCAGCTGAACGAAACTTATTTTTCATCTGTAGTAAATACCTTTCATTTAATGTGAATGGTAAAATCAAAGGGCAGACGCTGAAATGAGTTGCAAGGCTGCATGTATCTGGAAGCTGCTGGTTTTCTTTGCCTGATAGCTCCATGGGAAAGATGCAGTTGAGCGATAGAGTGAGATCCAGGGCCAGCTTTATGTATGATGTTTCTGCCTGTTACCAGTTACCTAGTAAAATTATGACTTTTTTTGGGGAAGAAACGTGGCCATCCCCATTGATCCAATGTGTCTTTGTTCTAGATAGTATGTAACTCAGCTAGTTTTGGGATTTGGAGACTACCTTGGGGGGCAGAAGTTTTCCCAGGGATAGTTTTTGTTCTTTATTTTTTTAAAAATATAAACACTCTCAAGTTTCTCTGCAGCTTTCGTTTATGGACTTGCAGGGCTAGTGGAGGCTGGAGTCATGGAAACGGTGCAACTCAGTTCCCACAGTAATAGCCCTCCTAGTTCAGTCAATAGCAGTATTTCCTCAGTTCCACTTACTGAAAGCAAATACCATTGATTTTATTATTATTTTTTTTTTAGCACAGAGGAGGGGAATGCCTCTGTATCAAGTGTCAGAGTGGGGATGATTACAATATCATACTTCACTGTGATGAAAAATGCTTTATTTCATATCATTCAGTTTCTTATAAGCAAACCGACATGGTTGAACAGTTTTGAGTCTGTGTAATCTGTTCCTGGTACTCTTCCTCCCGGTGCTACCTCTTACTTCTCTGGAGTGTGGAACTGCTTGAAATTAAAAATGTCCAGAATGGAGATCTTCATCTGCCAAGTCAGACCTTCTTTGATCCCTACTGATGGCTGCACTCACCTCTAAGCCATCTCTGAACCAGCACTAAGCGCCCGGAGGCAAAGGCCCATGGCCCATGTCTCTCTATCCCCTTATCTAGCAAAGTGCCTGATGTACCAGGTGCTTTTTATTTGTTTATTTGTTTTTTTTTTTTTTTTTTTTTGAGGCTCTGTTGCCCAGGCTGGAGTGCTGTGGTGCAATTTCGGCTCACTGCAAGCTCCGCCTCTGGGGTTCATACCTCTCTCCTGCCTCAGCCTCCTGAGTAGCTGGGACTACAGACGAGCGCCAACATGCCTGGCTAATATTTTTGTATTTTTAGTAGAGATGGGGTTTCACCGTGTTAGCCAGGATGGTCTCAATCTCCTGACCTTGTGATCTGCCCGCCTCGGCCTCCCAAAGTGCTGGAATTACAGGCTTGAGCCACCGCGCCTGGCCTATATGCACATCTTTATCCTCTGGAGCGTCTTCAAAATACAGTTAATAGTGAAGCATTCTGAATCCCCAGCCATGCCTGATGCAGTGGTAGGGGTATACAGTAGATGTTCAGTAAATAAGTATTGCTGATGTGCACCAAGCGAATGACTTTCCCAGGAGAAGCGCCACCATCATTCCTTCCTCTGAGCCATGTTTCAGATTTTCTTGGGTGGCAGGTCCCTTTGTGGATTTCTTGCAGGTCCTTAGCTGGGAATGAGTGGGAAGGTGTACGTGTTATTCCTGAAAAGCTTAGGGTCTGCGGCCCTTCTTGTGCACCTCTGCTTAAAAGAGCCCACAGTGTTGGCTTTCATAGCAGAGCAGTCTAGGAAATTTTGTACTCTGGTTCCAGGGCTCAGAGTAGCAAGAGTGCTGGGACCTGTCTGAGAAGCAGTGCTGGGCTGTGGATGCTTGCCTGTGGCACCAGATGCCTTACAGTGGCCAGGAATGCTGCGGGACAGTCTACTTTGATTGCTTTCTTTCCTCCATGGCTGAGATCTGAGTGTAGTGTTAACTGGGCTTAAAAATCAAGTCCGTTGTATCTGCATGGTCACGTAGTTCGGCATCTCATGGCTTTTGCACCTAGAGGTGTGAACCATAATACCTGAAACACAATTTCATAACCTGGCTCCTTGGGCTTAGCCTATATGGTGGAGGTTAGGTCTGTATATCATCAAGACTGTGTCTTTGCATGGTTGTCATTCTGTTGGAATTGAACTTTCTTATTTCTGTAGGCCTAGGTTCTGTCTATTCTTCTCAGACAGCTCATATGCTGCTTCTTCCCTTCAGCCTTCTCTGATACTTGTCCACTCCCCGCCTGCCTACATCTGAGTACTTGCTTTCCCTCTGGACACCCCTGTGCCCAGTCCAACTCTCCTGTACAGACACCAGCCCCTTTCCCCTGGTTTATAACTGTTGTGGGAAGTGGCGTGGAGTGTGATGGTCTGCTCATGGGCTGTGGGGTCTGACAGCCTGACTCTTTGGCTGATTAGCTGAGTGACTTTGGATGGAACTAGAATATGAGTTCCTAGAGGCTGAGACTGCAGTCTGATTTGGGTGTATAGCCTTGTGAACTTAATCCTGTGCCTGGCACACAGGAAGCACATCAGGAAATGCACGTCAAATGAGTGAATAAATAAATGAATGACCATACAAGGACTCCATGGTATATTCTTGTAGATCATTAGTTAATTATCAACAATTGGCTAATGATTAATGTTTGCCTGAGAGGCTGACTTTTTGTCCATTAGTAATGACATCCCAGGAAACACCTGGCAGAGTTCGTCTTTAATTTCAGGAGTATATCTTTCTTTCTTGGCAAATTTAACTATTAAAGAGAGAAGAAAGACAAGTACTTGATACTTTTTGAATCTGTAAGTTATAAACCTGTCTTCTGTATTCAATGTTGTATATTAGCCACATTGCAGATGATTCTATTTGGATGGATGTGTGACTGTCACCTTTCACATAAAAATTGATTGAGCCAGTCATAGTGGTATGTGCCTGTAGTCCCAGCTATGTGGGAGGCTGAGGCAGGAGTCTTGGTTGAGCCCAGGAGTTTGAGACTGTAGGGGACTATGAGTGAGCCACTGCACTCTAGCCTGGGTGACAGAGCAAGACTCTATCTCAAAAAAAAAAAAAAAAAAAAACAAAAAAATGTGGTAGAAGGGGAGAGAGCCTCAAAATGACCAGAGTAGATGGACTCGTGTAGTAAAACTTTACCCAAAGTTGGTTTCCTAATGATATAATGTGAAACAGTCTATGTGCTATACAAATAATTATATCTCTTTTGTTAAGCCTTACGTCATTTTGACAAAGGCTTTACTTGATTGAGTATTGACGGCTTTTCCAAAATAAAATCCAGCTCTTAATTGAGATTTGTGGCTGGGCATAGTAGCTCATGCTTGTAATCCCAGCACTTTGGGACACTTAGCAGGGAGGATTGCTGGAGGCCAGGAGTTCAAAACCAGAATGGGCAACATAGTGAGATTCCATGTCTCCCCCCGCCAAAAAAAAAAAAAAAATTAGCTGGGTGTGGTGGCGTGCACCTGTGGTCCCAGCTACTCAGGAGGCTGAGGTGGGGGGATTGCTTGTGCCTGGGAGGTCAAGACTATAGTGAGCTGTGATTATGTTACTGTACTCTAGCCTGGGTGACAGAATGAGACCCTGTCTCAAAAATAAAGGAAAAAAAGAAGAATTTAGGTTTTTTACTATTAAAATTCCATAAGAGGAATTCCAGTGGGGGTCCTTGCTCATTTGGTTTGTTTTTTTACAATGTGAATATCATTATTTTATAGTCATACCTTATACAACGAACCTCCCCATCTAGACCCTTCACTAGTGAGACTACCTTAGGGTGAGGATATTTGGGTATATTAGAGTATTAGCCAGAACTCTTTGGGTTACAGATTGTGGGAATACAACTCACTCAAATTGGCTTAGCTGAAAAAAAAGTGCGTATGTATGTACAATTTATAAACTCAGTTAACCAAAGAGTCCACTGGGTAGAAATGGCATCAGACACAGCTGGAAAGGGGGGGCTGAAAAGATGTCACCAGCATTCTATCCCTGCCCTGCACCCTCGGGTTTCTGAGCCAGAGTCTGACTGACCTCTAGTAGGTCAGCCTCACGTTGCCTATGTGTACATCTTCCTCAGCTCATTTTGAGGAGGGCATGTGGGGACGTGCATTTCTTTCTTTTTTTCAAATTTTATTTTATTTTAAGTTCCGGGATACATGTGCAGGATGTGCAGGTTTGTTACATAGGTAAATGCATGCCACGGTGGTTTGCCGCACCTATCAACCCATCACCTAGGTATTAAGCCCTGCATGCATTAGCTATTTATCCTGATGCTCTTCCTCCCACATTTCTTTTTTTTTGTTTTTAGCATTTATTTTAGGTTTGGGGGTACATGTGAAGGTTTGTTACATAGGTAAACACAAGTCGCACAGGTTTGTTGTACATATTATTTCATCACCCAGGTATTAAGCCTAGTACCCAATAGTTATCTTTTCTGTTCCTCTCTCTTCCCCCACCACCCCGCAACTCAAGTAGACCCAGTGTCTGTTGTTTCCCTCTGTGTTCGTAAGTTCTTATCATTTAGCTCCCGCTTATAAGTGAGAGCAAGGCATTTCTTTCTTAATCTCAGCTTAAGTTCGGCATTTTAACAATGATTGCATCAGAAACAGAGACCTCTGTAGCAGATTGGTGGGTAGTTTTCTTTTTTTTTAACCTTCCTCATTGGTGTTTGTTTACTTTTTAACTGTCTGACAAATGTGAAAAGTACCCAATACAGGGTGACAGCATGCCCAGCAGTAGAGACACTTGGGTGTTAAATACCAGTGGCGGTGGGGACACGCCCCAACAGACCCCAACAGCTTCTCACCAAAGAAAGTTCCTAAAGGAATGGAAGAGGTTCTAGAATTCTGGAGGTGGGGTGTACAGGGAGGGACCATGTGCACTGTTACTGTTGAGTGGACAGATGTGCAGAAGGGAGGGGTGTCGGCGGGTGTCCCTGCCCCAGCAAGGGTAGAGGGCTGGTTAGCAGTTGATCCAGGAGTAGATGTTAGCATCCCCACCATGCAGCTACAGGATGTGGTCCTCAAGTCCTGTCTGCTCATGTGATGGAAATAAGGAGAGTGGTGGAGGCGGGGGCCTTCCTTTTTTAATTCAGGTGAGATTGGTATTCTCCCAGCTGGGGTTCCTGTGGGCTGTAAGGGTGTTTGGCTGGGCAGGCAAAGCCGGAAATGGGTGGTATGGAGGAAGAAACAGAATAGCTGAAGATGGGATGAAGGAGGAACTGCCTGAACTGATCAGTGAGCTCCACAGCCCCCTCTGTGTGTGTGTGTGTGTGTTTGAGAGAGTAAGAGAGAGCTCATGCTCATGAGTGTGTGAGTTAGGGGAAAGGTGGAGGTGGGCATTGTTGACACAGGCCTTGCAGGACGAAGCCTTCCTTTGGTGGCTTTAATTAAGCAGGGCCCCAGACACTGCCTGGGCTGGAGAAAATGACTTTCTTCTCCAGAACTTCAAAGCAATTATTTTTGCTAATTTTTTCCTTCCTCCCTGTTAGGTGAGTGGTAGTTTTAGAAATCACAGGACATCTGTTGAAATTATTGAATGAGTGAACGCGAGGTGAGGCTGGAGGGAATCAGGGGCTGACCCGAGGGAGGGCGGGGAGGCAGGTGCAGACTGCTCAGTGAGTGTGGTGGGATCCCGGTCTTGGCTGGCCCTGTAGGAGCCCAGCCAGGGAAGGCAGGAAGAGGTGGCCTAGGTTAGCTTTGCCTGGGGATTCAAAGGGGCCAGGCGAGAGGCTCATGCTCTTTCTCCTTCCCTTTCCCTGCCATGCTCATCTTCTGAGGGCTGACGCTGAATCCTTTTCCTGTGTCCGTCAGGGATTCCTGCATAACATAGACTCACAGATACTTTTTTACAGCTATAAGAGGACGTATTTATAAGAAAGGAAATTGAGGCAGCTTTATTCAACAAATATTGATTGAGACCTCCTGTGCAGAGCACAGCAGCCCTGTGTTTCTGCCTTCCAGCCCGCTGCTGTGGCTCCCCATGCCTTGTTGTGAAGGAAAACCTACAGTGTGGGGTTGGAAAACAGCCAGATTTGTTTTCATATTTTGCATTCTTACTATAAATCATCACTCAAAATTGACACAAGTAATACATGAATACATTGTTTCAAATAATTAAAACAATACAGATAAAGTAACAAACCCCTTTACCTACCCAACTCCTTCTAATTACAATGATCAGTTCCGTGTGTCCCTTCCGAATTGTTTTTCACAGCGTGTGTGTACGTATGTATATATCACCTGTGCATTTTGAAACATAAATACAGTTTGAGTATTTTAAATTTCGTGCAAGTGGGAACATGCATTCTATGGCTTCCTTTTTCCCACTCAATAGACCTTACAGACCTTTCCATATCTGTATGCAGAAATCTAACAACTTCATAGTTGGTGTAAAATATTCCATGTATGAATGTACCACAGTTTATTTGTTTTCTTTGTGATGAACATTTAGGGTAATTCCAAAAGTTTTACTGTTTCAAATCATGCTGCATTGAATATCCTTTTGTATGCTTCTTTGTGCATGCAAGAAAACGTTTGTCTGGGATGACAACTCAGAAGTAAACTCTCCGGGTTGGAGGGTATGTGCGTTTTTAATATCCATGTTTATTGCCACATCATTCTTCACTAAGCCTGTACTCTTTTACCTCACACCACATCTCACTGCCTCAGCAGTCATTTCACTCTGCAGAGTGACCTCATGTGTTCTGTATCTTAGGCTGTACAAAAGGAAGTCTTGGGGGTTGGGTCTGGCCTCTCTCTGGGATGTTAGTAGCATCTGGAGCATCTGGTTAGAGTAGAAAGTCCACAAACCTGAGCCCTAGATTTTAGGAATCTATTTTGCACCAGTGACCAGATAAAAGGCACCAAAACTTATTCTTGTCTCCCTTGCTTTCAGTCCCAGGTGCTTAGATACTATTGTTTCTTTTGAGTGAAATATTCATTCCAGGTAGCTAATAGGTAAATAAGTTCCTAATACAAAAACTGAGTCTTATTTTGGAACGTTTGCTTGCTACGGACTGGTTTCATGACAAATACTGCCTTTATGTCCCTGTTAGTTGGGGAAGAAGAATATCCAATCCGGTATGTCTCTGATGTCCCGTGTTCTTATTATCTGTTTTATTTTCACACACAGTAAAATCTCGCTATTATTATGGTGTTTAGGGTTTGTGCCCTTCTTATTTCCGAAATCTCTGAGGTGGTTTAGAAAATAGAATTTGATGAAAGTGGGACAATGGGGAATGGAAGCAAAGTCTACTTGCCAGGGTGCTCGAGGGGAACTGATTGCTGACACCTGGACATGGAATTGGCCTCAAGGTTTCCCAGCAGCGGCGGCGAAAAAGAGTACATCCTGACACACAGGGTTTTTATCCTTTCGACAAAGGGAAGCAGCCACGCTCATTCAGAGCAGCACTTTCTAGGAAGCACATCCAAGGAGGAATCTCCAGCGCAGGTCCTTGTGTAAGGTACATTGTTGGAGCACAATGAGCCATGTCTTCGCCGTGCTTTTGTCGGGGTCAGAAATGCCGCGCAAGCAGATGGTCCCTGCATTCATGTTTTTCAGGGGTCAGGGTACGACATTAAACTGTGGTATAATGAAAATGGAAGTACTTCTCATTTCTATAAAAACGCTGCTTTTTGATTATATAAATTAGTATAGGATGAAAGCTGGGAAGATGAAAAAAGAGTAGTTTAACATAGCCATTATTTAATCATTCATAAAGTACTTTTTAAAGCATTTATTACGGGTAAAATATAGTCCCATTAGACACATTCCCTCTTTGTGCTAACTTGGTTTAACTCAAAATACAAAGGGATACAGGAATTTATGCAAAGAACATCCTCCCCTGCCCCCGTAAAACCATATTTGAATATATGTGGTTTTATTATTTTACTCTAATGTAATTTAAATAAATGACCAATATTTTTAAAAATAAGAAATCCTTGAATATTCTTCAGTAAATAGATAACAACAGGGTATAATGAAACACTGTTTATATTTAAATGACTGCTTTGAAACGGTGTGAAAGCAGCTTAAATGGGTAAAATGCTGCCCTTTTATGTCAGTAATTAGCCCCTTGGTCTTTTTTCACGATAATGCAAAATTGTACTTCTCTGTAGGCTTACACAAATTCTGAATTATTGAAATATAAATTAATGGTGAATCTTTCTAAAGCTCTTTTCAGAATTTTTATCTGGTGGGAGTGAAATTAAAACATCCAAAATTCTAAATTAGAATGTGGCAAAGTAGAGACAGCCAGCTAGAATTTGGTAAAAGACAGGTGTTTAATAAATCTTTTCCTAGACATCCATGGGTTGGTACTAGTGTGGTGGGGTAGAGAAAGCTTTGGCGTGTTTTAGGTTGGCCAAATGAATCAGTTAATTGATGTTATTAAAGCCAGGTGGGACAATAGTAGGTTAGACCGCCTGGTTTTGATTGACCCTGAATGAGGAATCACAGACATGATGAGGTTGGGATTGGAGAGGACATCAGAAACCTCCATATGGGTCTGTTCCTTTTTCAGACCCGCCAGCATGACCTGCCCTGGGTTACACAGTGAGAGACGAACCGCATGGGGATGTAGGGCAGAGCATCTGTCTCCCAATCTGTTTTCTTCCTACCCACCTCAGTTACAACTATGACTCCAGGTTGAAGTTGGGCATCTCCTATCTGACCAAGGGACAGGGTCTAAGAACAGCAGGGGCAGTGATGACAAAAGATTGTCTCTTTAAAGCAAGCTGGGCATTGAGTCAACTTTTCATTATCTCTTCAATTATTTTCTTTGTGTAGTATTAGGTCGGTGCAAACCTAATGACGGTTTTTGCCATAATACATCTTCCGAAAGATAGTTTCCATCACCTCTCCCTCCCCTGCTTAATTTCATAAAATACTTTATTGCTTTCTTCATACATACCAACCTGTAGAAATCATTTGACCATAGATTGCCACATTTATTTTATGGAAATAGCCAGGGCACAGGCCAGCGGATGTAGTAGGGCAGGAGAGAATCAGCAGAGCTGGCTAACAAATGCAGTGGGTCTTTCCTCAGTTTCTTGTTTTTGTGTGGTTAGCTTGCCCTGTCTTTCTGACTATAACTGGAGGCACAGTGGTTATTGCCTTTGTTACTAGCTGACATTGGCTGACATTGCTGAGCTAGGTGGGCTTTCTATATAGGGTCCTGTGCTGAATAACAGTGTTTCAGTTCATCAGCCAAGATCAAAGTCGGTGGTCCCATAAGATTATAATGGAGCTAAAAAATTCTTGTTGCCTAGTGACATCGTAGTCATTGTGCCTTTGTAACATTGTAGCACAATTACTTTATTTTAAAAATAAATTTGGTAGCCAGGCGTGCCTCACACCTGTAATCCTAGCACTTTGGGAGGACGAGGTGGGCAGATTGCTTGAGTTCAGGAGTTCGAGACCAGCTGGTGAAACCTCGTCTCTACCAAAAATACAAAAAAATTAGCTGGGCGTGGTGGCACACGCCTGTGATTGCAGCTACTCAGGAGGCTGAGGTGGGAGAATCACTTGAGCCTGGGTGATGGAGATTGCAGTAAGCCGAGATTGTGCCACTTTATTCCATCCTAGGTGACTGAGACCCCGTCTGAAAAAATAAAAATAAGTAAATTCAATGTAGTCTGAGTGTACGGTATTTATAAAGTGTATGGTAGTGTAGGCTTTCACATTCACTCATCACTACTGACTCACTCAGAGCAACTTCCAGTCCTGCAAGCTCCATTCATGGTGAGTGCCCTCTACAGGTGTACTGTATTTTGGCTTTTATACAGTATTTTTACTGTACCTTTTGTATATTTAGATACAACTGGTGTTATAATTGCCTATAGTATTCAGCACAGTCACATGCTGTACAGGTTTGTGGCCTAGCAGCAACAGGCGATCCCATATAACCTAGGTATGTAGTAGGTGGTACCATCTAGGTCTGTGTAAGTACACTCCGTGTTCACACAGTGATGAAATTGCCTAACAATGCACTTTTCAGGACCCTGTTGTTTATACCTGTTGTTAAGCTATGCATGACTGTAATCTCCTCTAATTCCCATTTAATCTTTACCATAAACCCACAAGGGAGATACTGTTAAAAAAATCCTCATTTTACAGGTGAGGAAACAAGGCTAGAAATGGTTATATTGCTTGCACGAGGCCGTGCTCCTGGTAATTGGCAGGGCCAGGATTCACACCCGGACTTCTGACTCAAGCGCCCACGCTCAAGTACTAGGCCATGAAAGGGAGTCCAGGCTCACAGGCTGATGATGCCTAAACACCAAGCGGAGGAGGGTATGACCAAAGGGCAGAGCCAGAGAGGAGACCATGGGGGAGCTGACGGCAGAACCTTTTGGGGGCGTGGGGGGTGGGGGTCTCTCTGGCTAGGCTTCACATTCATGCTTTTGATTAGTGATTGGAACCAAGGTCTGGGGACTGGCATAGAAACTTTCCAGGTTAGGATTCAGTCCCAGCTTTGCCTTTCACTGGCTCTGTGACTGGGTCAAGCCCTTTCTGCATCTGCTCTTTCTCTGTGGAAGAGGAAATAAAATGGCTAAAGGTGTTATCACAGGCCCTGGCTCCTAGAAAGCACTGTGCTGTGAGCCAGAGGTTTAAGATGGGCTTCAGCCTCACAGCAGTCCTGTGAGGTAGGTGTCGTTAGCCTTAGCTGTAGATGAAGAAACTGAGGCTTGGGAAGACCAGCCGGCTTGCTCTGGGGCACCTGGTGAAGAGCTGGCTGGATGGAGGATTGGATAGTGATGGGTCCCTCCTGCCATACTAGAAGAGCTTCCTGGACAGTTTGCTTGGATTGGAGTTTAATTTCTAAAGCCATTTTTTTAGGTGTTCTTACCAGACTGAGCTAGTGCATCTGTCCCACCGAATAGCCTAAGACTTTAGTGGTCATAGAGGGTTTTGCAGCGGATCTGGTGAAGAAATGAACTGAAAATGAGCCTGCTGGCCATAGGAGGGCCTAGACCTGGACCATACCCCATCATCATTTAGACAATAAAGGGTGGTTAATTCCCTTGGAACACCAAGGACAGAGAGGGGGCTAGTTTAATGGTCAGGATCTGATTCTGCTGCAGCTAGAAGACTGAAGCCTGCCTCTACATGGTGGTCCGGGGTAAAAAGTTCAAAGCTCAGCACACTACCCACAAGGCTTGGTGGTTTCTTTACGTGTGACTTTCTCAGCCGACTTGAAATCCACCAGGTGTCTCTTGTTCTCTGCTTGGCCCAGGTGGGAGCCCCTGATTGTCTCTTGACTTAAATGTTGCTCAGAAGAGGAAATAAAGCAGGAGCTAAGGAGCACAACGATGTCAGGGGGATTCTGGCCCGATGGTCGTGCAGTTCCTAGATTTGGAGTCGTGAAAACAATCACTAACACCTGCGTGGTCAGGGACGGCCTATACGGCACTTCATCATAGGGTCTGATTTTTATCCTCACAGCAGCCTTGTGAACATTGCTGATATTTGACACACCAGGCAGCCAAGGTGTGGGGCAGTTGAATGACTTGCCCAAGAGCAAACAGCAAGTAAGCAGCAGAATTAGGATGTGGACCTCTCCTGCCCTTTCTGCCACACTGTGTTCCTCGTGTCATGGAGTCCTCCCTGCAGGTCACTCGGGTAAGAGACCAAGGCTCACAGATGGGAGCTGGCTTGCCAGAGCTAGGGCTCCTCAGGACCCAGGTGATGGGCTTGCTTCTCTGACATGTGGTCCCTGACCTCTGTTTTCTCACCTGTAAGATGGGGATCATAGCATTATTAATAGTCATGTTGTTGAGAGGATTAAAGGCGATTTTGCAAGGGAACCCTCTGTGAACAACAGATGCTGGCCCATTGATTTCCTTGTGCATCTAGTCCCACTTTCTCAGGCATTTAGGCTCTGCCCTGCTCTGGCTCTCTCTCTCTTCAGCCTTCCACCGTATCAGGAGAGTGGAGACTCTGGAGGAAGACAGATCTTGGTTTGGTTTCTAGGTTTGATGCTGACTGACTGGGTTTGGGAATGAACAAATGATCTCACCTCCCTTGGTCTGGCTTCCTCATCTGTAAAACAGAGATAATAATTCTCATCTCACTTTTCATGTGGGATCTTTGTGAGGAGTCAATACAAATAATGTGCGAGGGAGCTCTCATTTACCAGAAGGCATTAGTTAACTGGTCAAGAATAGTTCAAGAGAGTCTTACCTCCCAGTGAAGTTTAAGGTTTGGCAGTATCTGAGCACTGGGGGAATCTTTTCCTATACCCCCCTTGAAGTGCCATAGGGTTTTGAGAATCAGTCACACGGCACACCTGTTAAATCCCTGTGTTCTTCCATGATTGCTGCCTTTCTTTGCCTTATGATTTTTTCCCTTATTGTGGCCTAGTCCACGGAGGTTGGAAAGAGGAGTGTGCCCTTCCCTTCCCTTCCCTTTCCTCAGCAAGGGGCTAGTTTCTACTCATAGCTCAGGGCTCACCCACAGCATAGCGCTGTGTGGAAGCCTGGTGGGGGCACTGGGTGAGTGGTGCTGCAGCAGAAAGGCCTCCTGCTGAGACGCTGAGGTCAGCATTTTCAGCGGCAGGGAGCCCTGTGACTGAAAGCAGAAAGACCAAGTACAGTGTGAGGACTCGGGTTGGTGTTTGTGGCCACATTGATGGCTTCATGGAAGTATGTTCCCCTCTGTGCAATGAACTAGTAGGGCCTGTGTCTTGGGGCCTGCACCTTTTGATTGCAGGCACCAGGCCCAGCATTTTTTCTGTGTTGCCTATCTGGACGACAAGCCATACGGTAGTTACTAGCGTCCCCATTTTGCAGGTGAGGCAGATGAAGCTAGGAGGCGTTAACTTAAATGACTCTTTGCTGAGGGAATAAACCCATAAGATGACAAATGAGGTCTGTGGTCACTTTCTTCACTGTTGCAGTGCTGTGCCCAGCACTGAGTGTGAGGGATGTCATGGAGAGAATGCTGAATTTGGAGTCCGGTGGCCTGGCTTTGAGTCCCTGCTCTGTAACTTTACTTCGTTGTGACCCTCACTTTCTTCATTGGTCATAAAGCAGGAGGTAAAAATTTAAATGAGATCTGTGTGAAAGCGTTTTATAATCTACGAAGCTATATACACATGGGCGGCATCATCCTTATGGCTGTCTGTTGAGAGAGGGCCTCGAGGAGAGGACTTGGCTTCATCTTGCCTTCTAATCCCTCACTGCAAGGCCCTGAATCCTAATCCCTCACTGCAAGGCCCTGAATCCTAATTCCACTCCATCTCTCCATGATGCCAGTGCCACATCTGGGACCTACGCAGAAGAGTCATACCTGCCAGCACAGCTATGGTGATTGTGCTTGGGAAGAAGTTGAAGTTGCAGAAGGAAGGTGGTAGAGAGGGACTGAAAGAGCCAACCAGGCCAGAGCTCGACAGGACCCTCCCTCCTTCCCTACCCTTCAGACAGGAGCTGCATCACCATTTTCTTTTCCTTTTCTTTCTTTCTTTTTTTTTTTTTTTAGACAGAGTCTCACTCTGTCACCCAGGCTGGAGTGCAGTGGCAGTATCTTGGCTCACTGCAACCTCTGCCTCCCAGGTTCAAGCGATTCTTCTGCCTCAGCCTCCTGAGTAGCTGGGGCTACAGGCGTGCGCCACCACACCCAGCTAATTTTTGTATTTTTAGTAGAGACGGGGTTTCACCATATTGGCCAGGCTGGTCTCAAACTCCTGACCTTGTGATCCACCCATCTCAGCCTCCCAAAGTGCTGGGATTACAGGCATGAGCCACCGTGCCCGGCCATGCATCACGATTTTCAAAGGCCAGCTTCCTGACTGTTCCTTGAACTCCTTGAGATAGGTATTTACTGTGCTTGTGACATGCAAACTGCAAATAATTCTTGCCTCATAATGGATAGGCCTGTAACCCAGCCAGCCCTCTAGGCAAGCAAATGTTATTTCCTAGTTTTAAGTGTGAGCTTAATATGTGAATTAATTTCACATCTTCATCCTCTTCCTAAATCTGTCTTTGTTTTGTCTGATGAATAACTGAAGTAATGGATTTGGTCACACCACTAGCTGGGTAGCCACCTGAGGCTGGAGTTCTGATATGTGGGTCTTGCCTGCTTTCTCTGCACTGTGGCTTTGCACGTCGGGTGCTGAAGCTGGGGAGCTGGAATCAGCTGGTGTGTTCTCTGTAGAACTGAGAGGACTAGCACCCTGGGGTGGAAGCAGCCCTGCCTTCTGAACCACAGACTTGCTTGTGTTTGATCTTATGCTGTTTTCTTACTATTTCTGATAAGAATGTGAACTCCTTGTGAGCAGGGACCCAGTGTCCCATTTCTCTTAAATCCTCTACAGCTGCTGGCATGGGATGTTTGGTAAATAATAGACCATTTAATGAAGCATCACTCTGTCTGTACCAGGCACCTTGAAGTTGCTTTGATTGCTTTGCCTGTTTTCCTAATAGGTGTCCGGTGGTCTCTCTTTCCAATGCAGGAACAGAGTGCTGGAGGTAGAGACTGTGATTGCTTAATGAAGATATCAGAACTTGCACAACCCACACATAGGGCTCCCATCAAAGCAGTAGTTCTAGGGCTGCAACCTCTTCCCAAAGATGTTGCAACACTTGTCTTCAGAGCCAGTTTCTGCTTTTCATTTTCCTTTGCTTCTGGCTAAAAATGGGATCCTGTTGTCACTGACCTTACTCCCCGTCTTTTCTTTAAGAAACTCTTGAGTATTTGTAAGAAAATCAAATCTATCTTCAAATAACCAAGTTTTCTTATCTTTGAGAATCTTGAGTGCAATGTGTCATGGGCTCTGAAGGTCTTACGTTGAGGAATGGCAATATTATCAGAATTACGTGTCCAGCTTCCCAAGCTTACTACTTTGAAGGAACACATATTTACACAATTCTGATGTGTTTATTAAACAAACAGCTTTACCACTTCGCAGTCACGCTTCTCTAAGTCTGCAGTCTCGTCTGGCCTGACTTTCTCCTTGTGCCAAGAATTCCTTCACCTTTTCTCTTTAGCCTTTGGCCCCAGGAAAATGGGAAAGTAAGATATTTTACTCCTGGCCAATGCCTGATTTTTAGAAGCCTTCCTCACTCCCTGGCAAGGCACATTTTCCTGTTACCTCAGAGTAAAGAGACTCGGTTCTGGGGTTCTGCATAGTGATGCTACATGCCTGACCCTTGCTAGGGTTTGAGGGTCCTTGGGAACTGATGCAATCGTAGAAGTCACAGCTGTCATTCAGGTTATTTACAGAAGTAGACAGAATTGCTTCACTTGCCAGCAGGGCGTCTTGAGCTTGACTCAGAAGGATATGTAAGTTTCTGCTTTTTTTTTCTTGCCTGTTTCAAAAACGCATTTTTGATACCAGGAAAGTTAGACAATTTAATCTTATCTGTAGCAGAGGGAGCTTCATCCTTGCTGTGTGAAGCTGTGCGAGACGACAAAGACTGTTGTAGAAAGAGGCCTCTTGCTTATAATTGAAGCATCTTTGACCTGAGTCAGTGTTCTGCAGCCAGGATCAGATAATCAGCACTGGTCACTGGCACCTGGCATTGGGACCTGGAGGCAAAGAATAACAGAATTAATTGGTTTCCAGTAAGTAGCAGGGATCATGGCATGTTCATACTTTTTAAAAGAAGCCTTATTGAGATTGAGATATAATTCACACACCCTATACTTAACTAATTTAAATCATACAATTCAGTGTTTTTTACTATATTCACTGTTAAGCAACCATCATCAAAATCAACTTTAGAACATTTTCATCACCCAAAGAAACCCCATACCTATTAGCTGTCACCCCATTTTCCATTCTATTCCCCCTCCCTAGCCCCAGCCCTAGGCAATTGCTAATCTGCTTTCTGTCTGTGGATTTACCTATTCTGAATATTTCATATAAACGGGATCATACAATATGTGTCCTTTTTGCCTGGCTTAGCATAATGTTTTCAAGGTTGATTCATACTATCGTGTGTATCACTACTTCATTCCTTTTTATGGTAGAATAATCGTCCACTAAAGGGACATACCACATTTATTTATCTCTTCATCAACTGATGAACATTTGAGTGTTTTCCCCTTTTTGGCTATTATGAATAATGTTGCTGTGAACATTCATGTGCAAGTATTTTGTGAACTTAAGTTTTCAATTCTCTTGGCTATATTCCTGGGAGTGGAATTGCTAGGTCATATGGTAACTTTCCCATTTTGAGGGACTGCCAAGCTGCTTGCCAAAGCAGCTGCGCCATTTTACATTACCACCAGCAACATGTGGAGGTTCCAATTTCTGTACGTCTTTGCTAACACTTGTTATTGTCTATCTTTTTAATTATAGCCATCATAGTGCATATGAAGTGGTATCTCATTGTAGTTTTGATTTGCATTTCTCTGATGACTAATAATAGTGAGCATCTTTTCATGTGCTTATTAGCCGTTTGTATCAAATCCTTTGCTCATTTTTAAATTGAATTTTTAAAATTATTGGTTTGTGGCAGGGCATGGTGGCTCATGCCTGTAATCCCAGCACTTTGGGAGGCCAAGGCGGGTCGGTCACCTGAGGCCAGGAGTTCGAGACCAGCCTGGCCAGCATGGTGAAACCCTGTCTCTACTAAAAATACAAAAAATAGTCAGACATGGTCACAGGCATCTGTAGTCCCAGCTACTTGGGAGGTTCAAGCCGGAGAATCGCTTGAACCCAGGAGGTGGAGGTTGCAGTGAGCCTAGATCATGCCACTGCACTCCAGCCTGGGCAACAGAGTGAGACTCAATCTCAAAAAAAAAAAAATTATTGGTTTATAAGACTTCTTCATATATTCTGTATACCAGTTCCTTTTTGGATTTATGATTTGCAAACTCCTTTCTTTCTTTCTTTCTTTCTTTCTTTCTTTCTTTCTTTCTTTCTTTTCTTTTCTTTTCTTTTCTTTTTCTTTCTTTTCTTTCTTTCTCCTTTCCTTTCCTCCTGTCCTTTCCTCTCTCCCTTTCTCTTTCTTTTCCTTTTCTTTCTTTCTTCTTTTTTTCTTTCTTTCCTTTTTTCCTCTCTCTCTTTCCCTATTTCTTTCTCTTTTCTTCAGGCTTTTGCCCTGCTGGCCATACTGGAGTACAGTGGTATCATCATAGCTCACTGCAACTTTGAACTCCTGGGCTCAAGCAATCCTCCTGCCTCAGCTTCCTGAGTAGCTAGGATTACAGGTGTGTGCCACCCAACCTGTGCTAATTTTTAAAAATTTTTGTAGAGATGGGGGTCCTGCTACGTTGCCCAAACTGGTCTTGAAATCCTGGCCTCAAGCGATTCCCTGCCTCAGCTTCCTAAAGCATTGGTGTTCCAGGCATGAGCTACTCACTGCTGGCCTCTTCAATTTCTTGATGGTATCCTTCAAGC
Organism: Homo sapiens; assembly: GCF_000001405.40. Lineage (NCBI taxonomy): Eukaryota > Metazoa > Chordata > Mammalia > Primates > Hominidae > Homo > Homo sapiens. The sequence goes on from NC_000003.12 coordinate 53,521,373, forward strand.
ACAAAAGTTTTTACTTTTGATGACGCGTAATATACATTGTTAGAAGGCCATAGCTGGATTGAGTCTTCAAGGTTGCCTGTTCCAACTCCCTTGTCGGAGTAACGGGAGGCACTGTGATCAGAGAGGAGGGGCCTTTCTGAGGGTCACAGACCCACAAAACCAGGACTGGAGTATAAGTCTCTGGACTTTCACCTTGGGACATTCTCAGTTTCCACCCCACTGTTTCTGAGGGTCGAAAGGTTTGGGTGTATATGTAGGGAAAGATAATTGGTAGGCTCTGAAGCACACAGTTCATTTGTTTTTCAATAAGGAAGAGTCATGTTAGAAATTTTGTCCTTTCTTCCAGAAGGTACACTATATAGCCTGGAGCCACACTGTCCAAAATGGTAGTCACTGGCCACATGTCATTATAAGAACTTAAACTAATTAAAATTAAATGAAATTTAAGATTCTCAGTCATAAAGCTGTATTTTGGCTAAGCATTGTGACTTATGCCCATAATCCCAGTATTTTGAGAGGCTGAGGCAGGATTGCTTGAGGCCATGAGTTGGAGAACAGCCTGGAAAACATAGTGAGACCCCATCTCTACCAAAAAAAAAAAAAAAAGAAATTAGCCAGGCATGGTGGTGTGTGCTTGTAGTCCTAGCTAGCTACCCAGGAGGCTGAGGTAGGAGGATTGCTTCAGCCCAGGAGTTCAAAGTTGCAGTGATTTGTGATCATGCCACTGCACTCTAGCCTGAGTGACAGAGCGAGAAGCTGGGGGAAAAAAAACCACATTTCCATTGTTCCTTATTTATATATGGCCACCGTATTAGACGACATATGGGTTGTTTCCATGATTGCAGCCAGTCCTGTTGGGCAGCACTGGCTATACCCACTGGCATTCTGTCCACTCCTGACCCAGTGGTGCCCTAGACACCCAGCTGTGATCTGTCTTCTGTGGGTCCCTCATCTACCTGCTGCTCAGGCTTCTTCTTTATGTAGTTGCCTCTGGGCTTCCTAGCAAGCCCCCTACCCAGACTAGATGGTCTGTGGGCCCTGCAGGCAGAGACACTTCTTCTGCATAGTTTTTGGATGTGGTTGCCAGTATAAAGGCTAGTGCCTTTCCTCACCTCAGCCAATAGGTGTGACTTGCAGAAATAGAGCTGAAAGATGCTTGCAAGAAGTGTGTTCTTTCTTGGAGAGGTTAGCTCCTAAAAGTGAATGCTGAATGAGTGGATGAATTGATCTACTCTTTGGACTAGGGGAAGATGTTGAAGAATTTTTTATCGAAAATTTTATTGATATGTAATAATTGTACATATGTATGGGGTACATGTGCTATTTTGATACATGCCTGTAAGGTGTAATGATCATAGTGGGTAATTAGGGTATCCGCCACCTCAAACACTATTTCTTTGTGTTGGGAACATTTCAAATCTTCTATTTTGAAATATACAATAAATTATTAACTATTAGTCACCCTACTGTGCTATCAAACACTAGAGCTTATTTCTTCCATCTAACTGTGTGTTTGACCCATTAACCAACCTCTCTTCATCCCCCTCCAGCCCCTCTTCTCAGCCTCTGATAACTATTATTCTACTCCCTGTCTCCATGAGATCAGCTTTTTTAGTTCCCACATAAGAGTGAGAACATGCGATATTTTTCTTTCTGTGCCTGGCTTATTTCACTTACCGTGATGGAAGTTGGAGTACTCTCGAGTTTAGTTCTTTTGGCTGCATTGGTTGGTGGTGTTTTGGGTGGGTACTTCATTTTAGAGGCAGTCAGTTCCAAGAATTTGCAAGATGCTGAGTGAAGTGGGGCAAGAGGCAGGAGTTGGAACACTGGGTGTTCTGAGACAGTGACATGAGGGAGATGGGTGTAGTCCTGCTGGGTGCCCTGTGTAGAGGTTTCCTTTATTTCAGGTTCCTGTAACCCTGAGGGCCATCTGAGCCATCAATCCAAGGTCAACAGGCTATGGAAAAAATCTCAAAACTGCTCTATGTAAAAGGATGTTTTACCCACATCTTAGTGATGGGAGATACTGTAGTTTGGACCAAGCTAGGATATTATAGACCAGAAATGAGTCTGGGGACTATCTCAGACATGAGAAAGGATTGACCAAGAATCATAGCAAATTCACAGTGGCACAACTGAGACTGGCATCCAGGGCCTCTGGCGCTTCGCCATAGGCACATTCCAAGTGCCATGGTGTATGTCTTCATTTACACAAGGACAGGTACTTCATACACACAAACAAGCAAAGCAACTTCTTGGAGACATTGCCCAGGCTTAGATTTTAATTTATTTAACCCACGTTAGGCACTCAGTCCTGCCTTCAGGCCCCCCTTTGCCACTCTCATAATTAGAAGGTATTAAGAAACCTTTCAATTACGGCAAGATCACCAGGGTTCTCATTTCTTTTTCTTATCTCCAGCCTATCTCTAGAATCTATTTTTTGCAGGGAGGACTGTCCTTGACTTTAAAGAAAGCATTCAGAAACAAAGAGACTTGTTATTTTTGAGGTCAGCCTCCTCCACCAGACTCTGAGAGCCTTGAGGGCAAGGACAGTGTTGTCTCTTATCACTACTCAAGGACTGGTGCAGAGTGTTCATTTGGTGAATATCTGTGAAATTCTCATTTTTAGGAGAACTCCCTTTTGCTGGGCTTCTCAGGTATGAGGTCCCTTTTCCATATGGTCCTGAAACTTTATCAATTCCAGTTTAGAAGTAGCGACCTGAGGAAATGGAATAATTCTTCTGTCCATGGTGAGGGGAGGATGGGGGGAAGGTGCTCATTTTGCCTTTGAACTTGATAAGAGCAGAGAACAGTCAGGTTTGTGCTGAGAATGTAAGGGTTACTTTTTCCTGAATTGGGCAGTGGGTGGATGGAGCCCAACAGGACATCCTGGGAAGGATTCCCAGAGCAGGGAGAGGGCAAGCACAGAATTGTGGAAGGAATTCCGTGCCATAAACACAGAATATCTTATTTAACAGTGGAACTTTTTTGCTGTCTTCTTTAGAGGTGGAAAACAGTTCTTTCCAAAGACAAGCTTAATGACTGCTGTGCCAACACACAAAACTACAAGATACATTTAAGCATCAGTTTAGCACCAGAAATGCAGTTTACAGAAGATTTGCATGAAAATCTTAAAAACAGGTTGAAAATGTCCTAGGCTCAGCTAGTGCACTTTTAAGTTAGTAGGAACAGGGCTCTAGGGATGAGATGATGGAGCAGGGATGTGACATAGGTCAGGGGTACATGTGTACCTGGCCTTTGAAGCCTCTTTTGGGGTTCATTTTAATTAATTTCTTGTTCAGCTTTTACCATGGGCCTAAGTTTCTCTGGTTGGAGCAGAGTAAGTTTTCAGGCTGAATTTCTTGGATCATTGCCTTTGTTTTCTTTTTCACATAGCCTGTGGATGTCTGGCCTTTTCAGCCAAGGAAAGAAAATGGAAATGGTTTTAAACACTCACTCACTTGAGCCATGAATTTCAACCATATATTAATTTTGCTTATTTTTGGATTTTCAAATCTTCTGAGAAGCAATGAAATGACACAGGGGCAGGCCACTAGGGTGCTTTGGAGGTTCTGCGTGGCCTGGAGCAGTGGGGAGAGGCTCGGGAGAGTGGAACTGTGCCCTCCCACTCGTGCTACCCACACAGCAGCCTCCTCCCTCACTCTCTCCTTCATGTATGTGTGTTTGAGGTTCTGCTTAGCACTTTATTTGGGGAAAATAAGTTTTCTGAAAACTTATTTTGTAGGCAATAGAGGAGAGATTGGTGTATGTCTTATCCTTACTCGAGTTGGCAAGGACTCTGGGCCGAATATTTAGGGCTTGGCTCTTGCTCCCTCTACCTAGGTGGATTATGCAGTGAGATCTCACTTGCCTTTAACTCATAGTTATTGCTTAGCTCTTAGGAGCAGTAGAAGTAAAAATCCTGGTATCGTAAATGAGCACAATCCCTGTAATAAGTGATTTCTGTGTATTATTGGTAGCTTGAAAAATATTAAGTGTTACCTCCATTTTTTAAATATGAAATAAAGGGCTAGATCAGGACATGAACTCATTCCTGTTGTCTTCCAGAGCTATTTTACTAAGGAGGAGATGACCCAGTGGTGAAGAGTAGGTAGCAGCATGTCAAACCTGGTAGCTTTGCAGTAGGGGAGGTGGGCAGTACAGTGGGAATAAGCTAGAACTAATAATTCAGTGATCATATGGGGCCTTGCAGGTTTTTGTTATTTTCTGCTTGGGTGTAGGTTTTGCTTTGCAAAGTCTGAAGGTGACCTATATAATTCCCATATATTTGGAGCTCTCAGGATGTGCCAAGGATCAGCCCAATTCTCTGAACGTTAACTGAGGGAGTCAGGAGTCCTTCCTGACCTCAAGAAGCTCACAGTTCAGTTGGGGATAGATGGCCTTGAGCTTGTGTTTTAGAGCTCTGGTCCCAGGTAGTGAGCTCAAACCCAGCACAGACTAGATTAAGCCAAAGAGGAATTTATTGGCTCACATTGCTGGCCAGTCCAGGGATAAACTGGAGTCAGCTCAGGCGCTCAAATGATGTCACCAGGATCTGGTTTCTCTCTCTCCAGCCTGGCTCCACTTCCTGTATGTTGATTCCATTCTCAAGAATTCTCAGACACGACCTCCCCTTGTAATTGCAGGATGGCTGCCAACAGTTTCTAGGCCTACGCCTTTCCACCTTCCAGCAAAAGAGAGTGTGAGAGTCTTTGTCCCAGTCCTTCCAGATGGAGTCTTGTTTCTTCCCATTGTCTCAGATTGGGTCACGCGCACATCCGGAACCAGTTGCAAGGCCAGGGACGTGTGCAGCACTGCTGACGTGGGGCCAGGTCATGTGCGTCACCCCTCGACCTGGGGAGGAGCCAACTCTACCCTAAGTTCCTGGGCTAAGAATGGAAAGAGAGTCAAGTATTGGTTATTGGGGAAAGGTAATGATGTAGGCTTGAACTCTGGCCTGACCCATTGTCAGGACAGCCTGAACTTGGGGCTGTATTCCCACCTGACATAGCCTTAAGTCAGAATTTATTCCAGTATGAGTACAGCATCTTGTTACCATGTGGTTTTAGCTGCACTGTGGATTTAGACACCAAATCTTGTCTTCCCTGAGAACATTGTCCTTCCTAGAGGTGGGGTGGAAAACTTATTTCAGGTAAGCATTCGGACCTTGACCCTAACCTTAATGGTGATTACTGTTCGAGGTTTTTCAAACACATAGTGAATAAGGACAGCTGGTGCAATGGCACGCCCTCCAATTGGCTACGTTACACAGATAAACATTCTTAATCTTTCTGAGGTTTTGTATAGAAGAGTGGAGAATTGTACCAACTTTTCTCCCCCCGGTTGTACATCTTCACTTTGTCACCAAGCCTGGATTCCTCATCTGTAAAATAGTATCCCCTCAGAGTTGCTATGAGAAATAAATGAAGTGATTTGAGTAAGGCATGGCACCTGGAACATAGTACATCGTGCATAAGAAGCAGCTATTGTTATTATCTCCTAATTTGTCAAATGAGCAGGGCGTATTGCCAGATAAGCTCTTTAAAGTTTTAATGTTCACATTCTATAAATCTAGGAAAATCTTTCCTCCACTGCCCACCCACACTTGGATTTTGAGAACTGCATCTTCATTGAGGGTAACGTGTTAGAAAGCTCTCAAACATTATAGCCCTCACAGAATGTATAGTACTTCATAATTCACCAAGTACTTTCGTGTCCATTCTCTCATTCAATCCTAGAACAATCTATGATGAAACAAAGCAGGTATCACAATTCCTGTTTTATAGATCAGAAAACTTAGGGCTTAGAGAGATCAAATGACTTACCCAAGGGCATAGTGGCTGGAAGGTTGCAGGGCAAGGCCTATTGCCAGAATCTTCTCAGATATCCCATGTCTGTTGGAGCATTCTTCTACTCCAGTGTGGATTTGCCTTTCTGATGGCTTTGACTGGAGAACTGTATTGGGTAGTTCATCAAAATAAGAAGCCTTGAGTTCATATAGTGAAAAATAAGATCACCTTTTCCCTTTGTTCATTGGCTTGATTTATTAGGATTGTATTCTCAAACCTTTCCTGCTATTAAAGGAAATGACCTTAGTTTGTGTTGCATGAAATAGCATTAAGTCAAGTTTACAACATTTCAAAGTTATGGTCAGTAGCATTCCAATTAGAACCTAAAAAGCTTACCTAGCTGAGGTTTAAGTCGTTGATCTTGGAAAAGGTAAAGACTTCTCAGGGAGGTTGGGCTGCTGTGTATGACAGCTAGACCCTCAGTTCTTGGTCTGTTAACATGTGGCCCATTTCTTCCTATCCATGCCCCTCCATAAAGCTTTGTGCGCTGGTAGTATTTACAGTACTGGATGATAATTATGGCATTAATTATTTGAGATAAATGGAGTGTGCCCAGTAGCCAATAGACTATTGTTAGAGTATTATTAGTATTTTTATAGGTCTTTTGGATAGCATTCTATTTCAAGACATTTGAAAATGTAGACCAGATTAGTCAAAAGCATTGTACATGATCTGTCCATGAGTGTAGGCTCTCATTAGAACTTCTGGAATCATTCTGAAATATACCCAGCTAGATAATACTAAGTCATACCAATTAAAAGGAAAGACTTGAGTTTGAGTTATAGAATGTTGGAGAGAAATCTAGTTTATTACTTTTAATATTGAAGTCAAATTTTGATTTTTCTTTTATGGTTAATATTACCTGGGTCCTAAGAAAGATTGCAAACATGTTTTCTTACCTTTTTTCTTGTAGAAGCTTTATATGATGTTAGCTTTTGCATTTAGGTCTGTGGTCCATTTCAAATTAATTTCTTTTCTATGGTATGAGGTTGGGGTTAAGAGGTTAATTCCAGCCACCTCCCTTGTGGGTATCCAGTTGCTCCAGCAACATATGTTGAAAATGCTTTCCTGTCCTCATTTAATTGCTTTGGTACCTTTATTGAAAATCAATGGATCACATAAATTTGGTTCTGTTTCTAGGGTCTCTGTTCTGTTCCATTGACACATTTGTCTTTATGCTATCTCTGTACTGTTATTATTACTGATGCTTTGTTTTAAGTCTAAACATTGGATTATATAAGTTCTTCCATTTTTGTTCTCCACCCCTCACTACAAGATTGTATTGGCTATTCTAGGTCCTTTGCATTTCTATCTAAATTTTAGAATTAACTTGTCAATTTCTATAAAACAGCCTTCTGGGGTTTTGATTGAGATGACGTCGAATCTATAGGTCAATTTGGGGAGAAGGATAGCTTAAGAACATTGAGTCTTCTAATCACTGAGTGTGATGTATCTCTTTAGATCTTCTCTAATTTTTCTCAGCAATGTTATTAGTATAGAGGTCTTACATGTATTTTATTTATCCCTAATTTTTATATTATTTTTGATTTTATTGCACATAGAATTTTAAAAAGAATCTTCTAGTTGTTTATTACTAGTATATGGAAACATGCTTGATTTTTGTATATGTTGCCTTGTACATGCCGCCTTGTCACATTTACTTATTACTTCCAGTAGTTTTTGAAGATTCTTTAGAATTTTCTATGAACACAATTATTTTGTGAATAAAGATAGTTTTGTTTCTTCCATTCTAATACTTATTTATGTATATATGTATGTATGTATTTTTCTTGCCTTGTAACATTGGCTAAGACCTTCCATATGGTATAGAATAGAAATGGTAAGAGTGTAGACATTCTTGCCTTCTTCTTGAACTCAGAAAGTGTTTATTCTTTCATCACTGAGTACAGTGTTAGTTGGAGGTTCTGCATAGGTGTCCTTTATTGGTTGAGGAAGTTTCCTTCTGTTTCTATTTTCCTGAGAGTTTTTATTATGAAAGGATGTTGAATTTTGTCAAATGTCTTTTCTACATGTATTGAGATAATCATATGGTTTTTCTCCTTTATTTTATTGTGGTAAATTCCATTGAATTTTGCATGTTAAACCAATTTTGCATTCCCAGGACGCACCTCACTTGGTCCTGATATATTATCCTTTTTATATATTGAGGGATTTGATTTTCTAGTATTTTAGCATAGGCTTTTTACATGTATGTTCTTGAGGGATATTGGGTCTGTACATTTTCTTTGTAATGTCCCTGTCTGGCTTTGGTGTCTGGGTTGTGCTGGACTCATAATGTGAGAAATAGTGTGGTACCAGTTGCTCTGTCATGACCAGCAGCAGAAGTCTAGTTTTCTTTAAGTGTGTAGAGTGATGACTGTTAGGTAAAGAGTTAGAATTATTTTAATGATCAGCCAAGAGTCTCTGCTAAGTAACATGAGGTATCTGTGAAATGGCATACATAACTGTTGTGTATGAAGCAGTGCATCAGAGAGGCTGGGAAATACTTTAAGTGGGTTGAGCAACTCATACCATTCCTTATGCTAAAATTGTACTTATATTTTATTAGCAAAATTTCTTTTATCACTGAGAGAATGAATTATCTATCTGATTGCCACTCATAATTTATGGAGTTATCAGTTAATAAGGTTTTATTGTATGTTAATATGAGACTCATTTTTTTCCTTTCTCTCCTCTTTGGGTTGTATTTCTTCCAAGTAAGAGCTTAAATTCATGGGTCAGCTAGTACTGACCAGCATCTGTTGAGTTATTTTGCATAAATTTGGTTACCTGGCCTCAGATAAGAATGTTTTTTTAATCTGTATTGGTGGCATTGTTGGTTGCTGATACTGCTGTAGTTTGTTCTTGCAAGACTTCTGTTTAAAAGAAGGGTTATAAATTCAGTGTAACTCAGAGCAGAGGTAAAGTATAGAATGGAATTAGAAGAAAACGAAGCATCAATTTCAGTAAAGTAGAAATCGTTTATTAAATAAGCGGTGGGTGACAGGGAATTGGGAGTAACCATCCTGGTTCCCATAGTGATGGTGCATCCAGGAAAAATACAGGGAAAAAGGGAATCATTATGGAAGAGTTTTGGGTGTGTGTTGTCATGCTTTAGGAAACTTGCCAATTTCTACACCTCTGTCTTCAGATTGTCGTGTTTAGACACACATCCCACACAAAGTGCTCAGCAGTACTTCTTGTGCTCGTCTTTATCCCCTGGAATCTAGAGGATGGCACCTCTGGGGGAGTTATTGTCTCACATGATTTAGAAAGACCTCCACTATTTTCTTTCCAAGAGTCGAAGGAAGGTGGGTGAGTTGGCCTGGCACCTATAAGCAGGGACCTACAACACTGCTTGAAGCACCTGGTGACATCTGCTTGACAGGCTTCCCCTCCCCACTGTTGTCACCACTTCCATGGGTGGTGGGTGGTGTTGCACGGTGCCCATGGGGTGGTGTGCATGTTCTCCAATGCCACCTGCCCTGCCTCAGTGCTGCCTCCTGTAACAGTCTCATTTGTTTCGCTGGAGTATCCTTATCGAAAAGGTCTTGGGGACCATTTGCCTAAAATGTTCCCCAGCATGAAATGTCCCCCACACTTGCTCTGCACCCGTGCACATCCTCCTTTTCTTTTTTTTTTTCTGAGACAAGGTCTTGCTCTGTTGCCCAGGCTGGAGTGCAGTGGCACAATCAGTGCTCACTGCAGCCTTGACTCCTGGGCTCAAGCAATCCTCCTACCTCAGCCTCCCGAGTAGCTGGGACTATAAGAGTCCCACCATGCCCAGCTAATTTTAATTTTTTTTTTTTTTTTTTGTAGAGGTGAGGGTCTCAGTATGTTGCTTAGGCTGGTCTTGAACTCCTGGCCTCAAGCAGTCCTCTTGCCTCAGCCTCCCACTGGGATTATAGGCATGAGCCACTGTGCCCAGCCTCCTCCTCATTTTTGTAGACATATCAAGTCTGGCCTCCTTCAGGAAGCCTTCCCTAACTAACTAATCAAGCTCCCCGTGTTTCTTTCCTTTAGGATCTATTTTTTGGATGTGTATGGTTTAATATACCCTTAAGAATAATGCGTTTGGAATTGTAATTGAGAAGACAAGGTTTACGTTAGCAGATTATAGTCTAACTCTGATTTTTAGAAAAGTGATATAGAATAGAGACTTAAAAAAAATGACATTCTCACATAGGTTTTGGATATTTGGAGATAGGAGGAAAAACATGTCTTTAAACCACACAATGGGAAGTGAAGTGTTTGCAACAACCAGAACATTTAGGTTATAAAGTGTCAGAGCAGATAATTTAGGCTAAAAGAAACAAAGTTAAATGATTTGGTGGGGGCTTGATTTCTCTGGATTGACCCCCCTGGACTATTGGCTGTTTCCTTCACTTCCAGACTGTCTGGTAAGATTTTTCTACAGAGGTACCTTCTTATTAATGAATTCTTCCCATCACACCCACTCTGTTTGAATTTCTGAATTACCTTCTCCTTTTGGTTTCTGTATCTCAACTTTCTTCTTATTGAGTCTTCTCTGACAGTTTCTTTGAGGGTATTGCTATCAGAGTCAGACATGCCCATGACAAGATTCCAGGCTGTGTAATCTTGAGCAAATCAATCTTGCTGGTCTACTTTTTTTCTTAAAAGAACAAGGAAGCTTGCCTTGCAGGGTGGTTAGAATTTGAGACAATGTATGTTGCATGCCCAGCAGGTGGCAGGTAGCTAATAACAGGTGTGTGCTTGCTCTACACCAGGGATCCCCTCGGTCTTTGGTCTTTGCATATCATAGATACTCAGTAAGCGCTCTCCCAAAGGATTACTGACTTAACAGGTAGGGTAATGTTTATAGCCAAGGGGAGGTGAGTGTCATCAGGCCCAGGTTTGTATGCCTATTTCTACTGAATTGTCGCAAAGTTATGTTTCATCCTATTTACCAAGTTGTATTTACAGAAGACTAGTCCTGTTATAACAAAGCCCATTGAAACAACACCCAGGAAGTAGACCACAAGAAGTCAGTGGGTATCTTACTCTGTGTCCTGCAGGGGGATCTGGAAATGAATAAGGGAGAGAGAAAATGTGGAGTGCAGAGGATGCTGCCTGGAGGTGAGACTTTAACCACATGATTATTCTCAGTTATGGAGCAATGGCTTTGTTCCAGGCATTGTCTCCAATAGTCACAATCACACCATAGGGCTGATGTTTTTTCTATCCCACTGAGGTGTAAACAGAGGCCCCAAGAGGTTGCATCTGGAGGTGCGTGAGCAAAATTTGGAGAGAAGTACCAAGTGGGCACTTCACAACAGGTGAAGAGAATGAAGAGATGGATAAAGATAAGTGTTAAGCACTTTTTGGTGGTACTGGAACTTTATCATGTCTCTTGATTTTTAAGAAAAGTGGCCTATTGACTAGAATTTGAGACTTTCATTATATTGTTCAGTTGGCTTTTGCATGTATATTGCTTTTATGTTTTTGATGCGTTTTTTCAAAACCCTTTAAATTAGTTGGATTTTATGTTGTTCTTAAGTTTGATGAGGTAGACACTTTTTTAGCTGGGAGGAATAGAGAGGCAGTGAGTGTGTTAACAGAACACAGCAACCTCAGACTCCAGCCCCCGCTCTCCTTTTATCCAGCGGTGTGACGTTGAGCCTGATGCATGACATCTTGGCAGCAGAGGTGCTGGTGCTCTGTCAGGCTCCGGGACCCCTGACTGAACATGCCTAGGGTCATGAGGAGGTTTTTGTTCCTGTAACATTGGCCACAACTGCACAGCCAGTGGGTGAGGATGCTGAGATACAAACTGAGAATTTTGCACTTCGACCTAGGCTCTTTGCTAGATCAAACTTCTTTTGATGTCTTAGCCATGATCCCTCTGAGATATCTCTCTCCAAGTTATTAATATATCTGTGTTTCCCATCATGTTTCCCCTTTTGTCTTGGCTTCAAAGAAGCTCAGAGCTAAATTTATTGCTTGATTATAGTTGCTGGATTGGCCAAGGTTTAAAATTTATGTTTTTAACTTTTTTATGTGATTCCCTCCCCATTTTCATTTTGATAGTCTTATTGTTTATTGTATATCACCTTAAATACTTTGAGAAGTAGATCGGGTCTACGTTTAAAAATCGCGTATGTGGGAGGAGAGGGCCATTCGGCAAATGGGAAAGAGATTGGGGTGACTTTGGCCAAAAAAGTTTGGGATAGATTTTTGTATTCTCTTGTATTATGTTATTCCCTATCAGATGGTCTTTGCAGCTCATTTTTCTGTCTTCTTCTGTGTGGTCAGAATCAGGGGAGAGTTTTTCTTTATAAAAATGATTTGTTTTCCTGATAGAACAGTGCTGGTGGGTAACATTCAGTTCTGACCTTGTAGGCAGACCTGGGATTCCCAGAGGGTGCAGGGACCGCAGCACTCACTCTTCTTTGTGACAGGCCTGAGGCAGCTTCCCTGGGGTCCCCAGCCTGCCTCCTCCACGGCTGCTATGGCCGTGGGCGCTGAGCACGTGCAGCTGCTGCCTGATGCTCCTGGACAGGGAAGGATAGATTTTGGGCATAGTTACTAGGTGTCACTGTCTCCTTTTTTCAGCCTGGCTTTTACAAGTAGTTGTAATTTACTTGACAAACACTTATTTGGCATTTCCTTCAATACGCTGGGTACTGAGATGGTTACTGCATTTTTAGGCATTTAACGGGGATAATAGCATCATCGTTAATAATTACAAATATGATCGATCCATCATATAGGCAATACATTTCAGAAGAATATTATTAAAAAGACTCATAGTAGTGGGTGTATGCAGCTGTAGTAGAGGAGCTGAAGCCACTGAGTTACCCCGGGGTTCAAGATGGGGAGCAGCATTCCCATCTGTAGGTTGTGTTCTTGAGTGGGAAGGCCTCCTTGGATACCTCTCGACAGTAATTCCAGGTACTTGAGCTCACAAAGAAAGTGTCTGGGGCCCTCAGCCCTTTGGTGTGGCTCCCAGGGACGCCTGAGTTATTTCCAGAAGTGGCGTGGTGGGTAGAGTGTGAGGGCAGGCCTCGCCTCCCTGCCCCTCTCCCCTGTGTGGCTTTTCCTTTCTGTAATTCAACTGATTGCTTTTCCTTCCAAATTGCTGGCTTAAGCTTTATCTTATCTAATTTTATCTCCTCCAGCCTTGTACGTCCAGAGCATCATTAGGGCCTGTGCCCATTCTGTCCCTCCCACTTCTCTTGGTCTCCCTCCACGTCCTGAGGGGATAGAAAGACGGAGTCTGCATAACCTCCGCATCTTCCTGCCTGGGAGGGCGGCTAGGGTGGTGCCTGCAGCCTCTGGAACCTCTCCATTCTGTGTGCCCCTCAACCTCATGGACATACTGGCGTTTCAGGACCTGGCCCTGCTTTCTCTGTCCCCGTCTCTCTCTGCCCACTGGTTTCTGTGACCCACGCCCTTCCCACCCCATTCTGCCCCTTTTCCTCACTTGCTTTTCTTACCTTCTGTCACATTCACATGCTCACTATTTCTTTTTACTCCAAGCATCTGTTCCTCTAAATCATGAACTGTAGTTGGCATAATTAAATATGTAATGTGTTTATTTTAATATCAATATGTCTTTTCATACACATATTAGTAAGAGACTTGGCTGTCAGCGCCGGGCCAGATCACCATTTGCAGATGTCCACTCACGCCAGCTCCCCCACGGAACGTTTCTTATGCACCTCATCAGTTCTCTTTCTCCTTGTCTCTCTTTCTGTCTCTGTGTCTCTTTGTTCTGTGTACATCTCTCTGTATGTCCCTGGCTTCCTCTCTAACACAAATTGCTCCAATAGGCCGGCACCTTTTCCTCTCCGTAAACCCCAGTTTGTAGGTACACACAGGCACCCAGGCAAGGGTAGAGAAACCAAAGAGCGCTTGTTCACACTTGCTCACACAAGGACCAGCAGAGACCTAGAGCTGCATGCCACGTCTTTATTATCCTTGCTGCTAGCTCCTCTGGTACAGCAGCACTGTGACAGTTTGGAATTTGAGCCTGGGCACTCTCCCCTGAGTGCATCGGTGACGTAAAGGCAGGCAGGCAGGAGCAATCACAGCCTCCCGTCGCCTGTGTGTCCCAAGTGAGCCCCCTCCCCAAAGGGATGTAGGGAAGCCAGTCCATCTGCAAGGTATCTGGAGTGGAGTGACAGGAAGCAGAGGATCCAGTATTATTGGAATAGATTACATGGTATGTGCTTGTCACTTCCGTTTAAAGGTAAATACAAATCTGTCTTTGGCTTAGAATTCTAGCCTCCTGACCTGGGGGGTGAATATTGACTGGCAGGCTTTACCTCCCATGTAGAAAAGAGTTGCGTGCCAGGGTTATAAATTAGAGCTCTGCATTGGATGGATCTTCTTAATGTTTTCTGTGGAGTGGAATTAGAACATGTTGTTTCTTTTGAGGTTGCAAAAAGCAAACAAGGATCCCTTTCCTCCCAGACTAGTGGGAAGTAGACTAATTACTTGAAATCCTGTTTTATCAGCCATAAAACTGAGATGAAAGCTGGGGCAGTTATGAAGATCCTGATATATCCTAGACCACAAATTTCTATTCCTTTTCTGGAAGAGAAAAACTGCATTTTAGGTTTAGATAATTTGGTCAAATTTTTTAGGCTATCAAATGCAAAGATTAAGTTTCTAGAGTCTTGAATTTTAGCACAGAGATAGCATCACTTAACCTTCCCGAGTGAAAATTCCTGCCTTCTAGGTGGTGGGGAAGATCAAACGAGCTGTGGATGCCAGCATACTTAATATGTGTTCAGTAGATATTAGTGACAGATTCAGTGGATATGACGGCTGAAGGCCTGGGTGGCTCTTCTGGGCTTGTTGGTTGGTTTCATTATAATGTATATGGTTGGACCTAAGATAACCCATGTTTGTGCTTCTGTGGACACTGGTGCTTTCAGGGTCTTAACTATATTGTTTTCATGGAAACTTTGAAAGGACTCATGGCTCCAAAAGGGGCTGAAAAGTTTTGAATTTCCTTTTTTCTTTCTTTGCAAAAGATTTTACAGCTTAAGTCATGTAATTAATAACAGGGGAGGTTAAGAGTCAAAGATTTTTCTCTTACCCTGGTCATTTTCGAAGCTGCACTTGGCATGGGTTGAAGCAAATTTGTGTCTTCTTGACCATTTACTTTTTTTTTTAACTGAGAAAATAGATTCTATCTCTAATGAAGTAATTGTAAACAGCCTTGTTAACATATGGTACTGATTTTTTCACAGAAGCATTGTTGAAATGCATGGGAACTACCAGGTTAAAAGACATAAAAATAGACAATCTATATAGTCCAGATGGTATCTCCAAACTAGGGGATCCAAGTGGCATGAGAAACTGTCTAGAGCAGGAGTGGCAAACACGGCCCCCGGGCCAACACGGCCTTATGCCTCTTTTTGTATGGCCTGTGAACTAAGAATGGTGTTTTACATTTTTTAATGTTTGAACAAATAGCTGAAGAATAGTAATATCTTGTGACATATAAAAATGGTACAAAATTCACATTTCAGTTACCATAAGTAAAGTTTTATTGGAACACAGCCCCACTCATCCATTTACGTATTATCTATGGGTATTTTCCTGCTACAATGGCAGAAATGAGTAGTTGCCTAAGATATTTGCTGTCTGGTCCTTTACAGAAAAAGTTTGCCAATCTTTGGTCTAGATGGTGAGGAATTTTAGTTCTCCTATGTGTTAACTGATACATGATTTCGTTTTGAAGTTCAGCTTTTAACTTTCGGTTATTTTTCTTTCTACTTTTATTTTTTACTAATAAAGACAGAAGAAAACCATGGCTGGTTAGTCTCACTGCTCAGACTATGCCTTCTAATGTTTTTGATAATAAAAGTTAAAATGCACATGCTAATTTTATTTCAAACAGTATAAGAAAGCAAAATCTCTCTCCTACATTGTCCTTTATTCCAATTCCTTTACCCAGTGTTAACATTTAATAGTTAACATTCCAAAAAATGTTTTGTTTATACTAGAATATATATTCTTTTCAAAAGCTTTTCTTAAGCTTAGTTTACTAGTAAAAATACTCTTAACCTTTTACTATGAAAAAAATTCAAATATGTACAGCACAAGACAGAAAAGTGTAATGAACCCTGTGTACCCATCATTCAGCTTTCATAACTCTTCGTCTTATAGCCAATCTTATTTAATTTGTGGAATCCATTTCCTGTATTATTTTGAAGCAAATCTCAGGTATATCATTTTTTTCTCAGGTATATCAGCAAATCTCAGGTATATCATTTTATCTGTAGATATTTCAGTATGTATCTCTAAAATATAATAACTTTTAAAAAACATAACCACAGTCTGCTAACACATGAGAAAAAAATAATAATTCCTTAGTGTATATTTGAGCACTGAGTATTACCTATAATTGTCTCCCCACACCCACAGTTGTCTTTTAAATGTCATAGTTTATTTTACTCTCTTTGAATTAGGATACAGGTAGGTTTCACACAGTGTGACTTGGTTGTTGTCCTTTAAGTCTATTTTAATCTGTCTGTTCCCTCTGTACACACTCTTTTATCCTCCTTGCTACTTATTTTTTAAAGAAATGAGGTTACTTGTTAGAGGTTTTACATCCCCATAGTATTGTTTAATATGTTCCTCTCTCCTCTGAATTTCCTGTGAATTTGGTAGTTGGACCTACAGGCTCATAACATTCAAGTTTTGTTTTATTTTATTACTATTTTTTAGCTAGGCTACTTCACTGGTGACATTGAGTCCTTCCAAGAGGAGGCACTTAGTATCTGATTGTCCTTTTTTGTGATGTTAGTACTCATTGATGTTTAATGTGTAGATCAAGTCATTCCTTATGGGTTGTAAAATGCTGGATACTCTTAGTTCTATGATTTCTGTGACATTTATTGGCTTAAATGTTTGATTTTTCTCCATATTTACCAGTTTTTGAAGTTTTTTTTTTTTTTTTTTTTTTTTTTGACAGAGTCTCGTTCTATCTCCCAGGCTGGAGTGCAGTGGGGTGATCTTGGCTCACTGCAACCTCTGCCTCCACAGTTCAAGCGTTTCTCGTGCCTTAGCTTACTGAGTACCTGGGACTACAGGCGCACGCCACCATGCGTGCCATGTCTGGCTAATTTTTGTATTTTTAATAGAGATGGGGTTTCACTGTGTTGCCCAGGCTGGTCTCAAACTCCTCACCTCAAGTGATCCGTCCCCATCGGCCTCCCAAAGTGCTGGGATTACAGGCGTGAGCCACAGCGCCTGGCCTGTTTTTGAAGTTTTGACTTAACTTATTAGTACCCTTTAACAGTGACTGGTTTGTTTTTTGGTTTTTGTAATTTTTAAAAGTATGATATATTTTAGCATATTTACTGTGTTCTGCTGAAGTTACTGACCCTCAGATCATCCCCCTTGTGGTAGTGTGAACCTTCTCACATTGGTCCCTGTGTCTGTTTGGCATGACCTAGTAGTCTCTGATAGCTTTCTCTCTTTCTGGTACAACAAGATGTTTTGGATTCATCTTACACATTTCTTGCCCTGGATCTGGAATCAGCCATTTTCTTCAAGGAGTCAGTCCTGCTGCTTTTTAGTGGGAGATAGTATTTCAGAACTAAATTTTGGGTTCAGAGGTACATATCCATAAACAAACAGCTTTTTATAGTAAAAACACATAGAGAAAATGCATACAGTACAACACCAATGTAGCCTCAAAAAAGAACACAGCAGAGCACCGCAGGGGATCCCTTTCTGAACACAGTCTTCTCCCACTTCCCTCAGTCACCACTCAGTGTTTATGGTAATGACTTCCTCGATTTTCTTTCCTGTTTGATCATTTAAGACAAAATACGTCCCTAAGCAGTATCACTTGGTTTTGTCTGTTTTGAATTTTATTTAAATGGATCATGCTTCCTGAATTTTTTTTTTTGTTGTTGTTGTTCGAGACAGAGTCCTGCTCTGTCGCCCAGGCTGGAGTGCAGTGGCGTGATTTCAGCTCACTGCAACCTCCGCCTCCCGGGTTCAAGCACTTCTTCTGCCTCAGCCTCCCTAGTAGCTGGGATTACAGATGCCCAACACCATGCCTGACTAATTTTTGTATTTTTAGTAGAGACAGGTTTTCACCATGTTAGCCAGGCTGGCCTTGAACTCCTGACCTCGTGATCTGCCCGCCTCCGCCTCCCAAAGTGCTGGGATTACCAGCATGAGCCACCGTGCCAAGCCTCCTGGATTCTTTTATATCTTGCTTCTTTCATTCAACATGAGATTCATTTGTTTTCATTTTCTTTGCAATATGATACTCCATTGGATGAGTAGACCACAATCTATCCATTCTGCTATTGATGTACAGTCAAGTTGTTTCTAGTTTTGTGCTGTTAAAGAATTGCTGCTAACCTTGTATCTGTCTCTGGTTGCACATGTGCATATGTTTTTGAAGGGTATATACATAGAAGTCGAATTGCTGGGTTAGATGCTATGCATGTCTTCTTTCCAATGTGTCATGCCAGCTGATATGCTCACCAACAGCGTGTGAGCATTCCTGTTGCTTCACATTCTTGCCCACACCTGGAATTGTCAGACTTTAACATTTCTGTTAGTTTGTTGATGGAAAGTGATATCTGACTGTGACTTTGGTTTGGTGTTTCTCTGATTACCAGTGAGGTTAAACACTTCTCCATATGTTTGAGTATTGGACTTTTCTCCTTTATGACATTTCTATTCAAGTTGTTTCAGTAAGTCTTTGGTTCATTTTCCCATTGAGTTATCTTTTATTGATTCATAGGCATTTTTATATGTATTGGGTACAGGTTTTGATTGGTTGGGTGTGTTGCGAATTTCTTCTTCCACTCTGGCTTATCTTCACTTTCTTTATGGTGTCTTTTGATGAACACATTCTTTTTTTTTTTTTTAAACACAAATGCTATTTATTTGTTTGTTTGTTTATTTATTTTTGAGACGGAGTCTCACTCTGTCACCCAGGCTAGAGTGCAGTGGCATGATCTGAGCTCACTGTAACCTCTACCTCCCAGGTTCAAGCGATTCTCCTGCCTCAGCCTCCTGAGTAGTGGGGATTACAGACATGTGCCACCATGCCCGGCTAATTTTTTTTTTTTTTTCTAATGGTAGAGACAGGGTTTCACCATGTTGGCCAGCCTGGTCTCGAACTCCTGACCTCAAGCAATCTGCCCACCTTGGCCTCCCAAAGTGCTGGGATTACAGGCGTGAGCCACCACGCCTGGCCACAAGTACTTTTAAAATTTTATTGTAGGACGTCTTCCTCCACTTTGTTGGGATATGTGGTATATAGTAAAGATTTCAAATATAGTAATTATTATTATATACTATTTAGTATTATATGCAACTTATATATGATCTTTTAAAAAAAGTCTTATATCTTTGCCTTTCTATTTAAATTTCCTTTAAAAAAAATTGACACCAAAGAAATAATAGTGTCACATTGTTTGCACCTTACTTTTTCACATACAATTTTATTCTGGAGCTCTTTCTACATTATCCATATGCCAGTCGGCTTCATTCTTTGTCATGGTGGCATGATATATGTATATATTTTTTTGAGATGGAGTTTTGCTTTTGTCACCCATGCTGGAGTGCAATGGCGTGATCTCGGCTCACTGCTACCTCCGCCTCCTGGGTTCAAGCGATTCTCTGGCCTCAGCCTCCCAAGTATTTGGGATTACAAGTGCACACCACCATGCCTGGCTAATTTGTGTATTTTTAGTAGAGACAGGGTTTCACCATGTTGGCCCGGCTGGTCTTGAATTCCTGACCTTAGCTGATCCATTTGCCTCGGCCTCCCAAAGTGCTGAGATTGCAGGCGTGAGCCACTGTGCGCGGCCGGCATGGTATTTCATTGACAGAATTAAGGTTGTTTTTCTTGTTTAAAATTGTGCTGCAAAAAACTCTGGTACATAATCTTGACATAATTTTGCGAGTACATCTATAAAGCAAATTCTAAACATGGGAACTTCTGGGTCAAACAATTTGATTGTTTTAAATATTAATAGACAATATTTACTCCCAGTTAATTCATGTAAAATAGCAGTTCATACAGCCTAAATTAGGAGGTCTAACTGGCCATATTCAGAGAAATTATCTGGATATGAAGTAATTTTTTGTTAGGTCTAACCTGTATTAATGACAATATGATTACAGTATTTTCAAAAGATTGACACTTAGCCATTCTCCATGTTTCAAAGGAATAAATGCTAATTTAGCCAAATAATAGTTTGGAGCAAATTTTGTGGGAGAGCCTGCGCTTGTGTGGAGCAAATCCCCTGTCGTGTTGTGAAATGGGCGCGGAGAAGCCTGTTCTAGTGACTGTCGATGCTCTTTGTGACAGCTAACGTGAGGGCTCTCCGGCTCCTGAGTCATCCTCCTCCCCAAATGGGGGACTGACCAGTCTTTTGGATCTCTGATTTTGTTAAAGCGGAAATGTTTTTCTCTCCCATTCCAGTAATTCTTTGAGTATATCTGTTTTTCTTCAGATGTTTCGTGAGCACCTGTGTTCTGGGGAATAGTGAACACCGTGAGGAAGGTGGAGTGTTGACTATGCCATCCACTGTTTGTCTTCAAGCAGATTACTGTCGCGTAGGGGAGTTGTGATGTAGTGTATTTGTATAACGGTCTTTTACCATAAGTGGGTATTACTCCCTCCAGGACATCATTTAAGTCAAGGCAGCTGAGACAATCACAAAAGACCACGTATTTTATGATTCCATTAATATGAACATCCCAAATAGGGAACTCTATAGAGGCAGAAAGTAAGATCAGTGATTGTTTCAGGCAGGAGAGAGTGGGGTGATAGGGAGGTGATAGCTAAAAGATACAGGGTTTCTTTTTGAGGTAATCAAAATGTTCTAAGATTGACCATGGTGCTGGTTGCATATATCTGTGAATATATTAAAAGCCATTAAATTGTGTACTTAAATGAATTGCATGGTATGTGAATTATGTTTCAATGAAGCTATTAAAAAACATTAAAAACAAGCAAAAAATGCAGGTTTTTTTTTTTTCTCAGTTGTCTCAGTGAAGTTTTCCCTGTAGGTTTCATAGTTACTTTAATTGAATGGATGGTAAAGAGTTGTCTGGTCTGGGCTAGATGCAGTGGCTCGTGCCTGTAATCCCAGCACTTTGACAGGCCAAGGAAGGTGGATTGCTTGAGCCCAGGAGTTTGTGACCAGCCTGGGCAACATATGGAGACTTTGTCTCTACAAAAATAAAATAATTAGCAGAGCATGGTGGTGGTGTGGCTGTAGCACTAGCTACTCAAGAGGCTGAGGTGGGATGATCACTTGAGCCCAGGAGTTCAAGGCTGCAGTGAGGTTTGACTGTGCCACTACATTCCAGCCTGGGCAACAGAGCAAGACCCTGTTGCTTAAATAAATAAATAAATAAATAAACAAATAAATATTCAAGAATTCTCAGGTCTGGATGTAGGGTTAGATGCAAGTTAGATATAAGTGAAATAGCCGGTTTACTTACCAATAGACAGGAAAGTAGTCTTTTGTGATTCCCTTCTCCACTAAATACAAATCAGTGCTACTCAGGGGCTCTTTAAAGAAGGAGTTGGCCAGGTGTGGTGACTCACGCCTGTAATCTTAGCACTTTGGGAGGTTGAGGCGGGTGGATCACCTGAGGTCAGGAGTTCGAGACCATTCCTGACCAACATGGAGAAACCCTGTCTCTAAAAATACAAAATCAGCTGGGCGTGGTGGCGCATGCCTGTAATCCCAGCTACTTGGGAGGCTGAGGCAGGAGAATCGCTTGAACCCGGGAGGCGGAGGTTGTAGTGAGCCGAGATTGTGCCATTGCACTCCAGCCTGGGCAACAAGAGCGAAACTCCGACTACATGTACCCTAAAACTTAAAGTATAATAATAATAAAATTAAAAAAAAAAAAAAGAACAGCAGCAGTAAAAAATAAATAAAGAAAGAAATAAATAAATAAATGAAGAAGTCAATCGGTACCATAAGAAAGGACAAAAACCAAAACAAACCCAAAGCAAAACCAAAAACTCCCCACAAACCAGCCTCCCCTAACCCTTTTAACTCAAAGCTTCGTAATGTCTCTGAATTTATAATTACGATTTTAAAGAGCACTGTTTCTCATGCCCCATCCCCCAACCCATTTCGGGAGTAAACCTTTTCTGTCAGGGTGAGGAGAAAGTGGGTAAAGGACTTCAGCATTTACAGTTGAGTTAGTATTTGTTGTTCTCCAAATGTGCAGGATTCAGGGCCCTCTCTTTGGTAGGTGTGTGGGAATCTATTGGTATTTATTGGGTTCTTAATGCCTGCCTGTCCTTGTGTAAGACACTCTGGCAGTACCCAGGAATACATCAACCAGCTGAGACAAACATGAAGAATAATTATTGTCCTAATAATAGCTAACATTTATTGATTGCTTACTATGTGCTAAGCCTCTAAATTTTAAAGTTGTTGTAAAAGCAGGAACAAAGCCTGTGACATGTACCATTGTCTTATTTAGCTCTCAGAATCACAGTGGTAGAGGCACTCTCATTATTTTACAGGTGAGGAAACTGAGATTCAGAGGGCTTAGATATCTCGTCCAGGGTCACATGGCTGGTAAATGGTAGATTCATACCCAGATCAGCCTAACAGATCTGAACTTTTTCTTGTTGGGGGAGAGGGGCAATGGAATTTTTAACATTTTCATTGCACAAATAATGCAAATTAGGCAAGAAAAGCACAAAGAAGAAAATAAGAATCATCCATATTTCTACACACAGATTTGCTCATCTTTAATGTTTCTGTGTGTTTCCTTCGTTTGTGTTTTTATGCCTTCTGATTTATTTTTATATCCAGTCAATCTCTGTCAGCCCATCAGTGAAGGCCATTGCTAATTCATTAAAGACCTTGGGACTGAGGACATACAAATCATAATCAGGATATTTCATGGACTGGGGATTGTGGGTGGGGGAAGGATGCAGATCTGACAAATTCATGCTGTGGTCTAACTCAGAGAGGGTCATCTTGTCCCAAAGTGTCCCCTCAGTCTTTCTCTCCTTCCCCAATTAAGACTGTCTTGTGAAATAATTAAAAATATCTATAAAGGGGCAAATTTTGCAGCACATATAATTATAGAAATTATATAGTACAATATGGACAAATGCAGGGCTAACAGTAATTCTTAGGGCTTTCACAGATGGGCAAGGTTGGGGGTAGGGACCGGCTGGAGGCAAAGAGAAGGCTTCCTGAGACAGAGGGGACTGGGGCTGGCTCCCACCCAGATGAAAACCTGCAAATCTCAGGGAGAAAGCTTCATGCACTATGAAAAGGTCACAAGAACCTCCAGTCCTGGGATGATGCAGGCAAGGGAAAAATCAAATGGGACTTTCCCCATTGAGTCATCAATCATTTGCCTGGTGATTGGTGGGAGTCACCTGTGTGTTGTGCCTGTTCCCAGTGGGAGGTTAGAGCTTCATCTCTGAATTAATATCAAAAGAAGAGCTGTCTTTACAAATCAATATGCTTCTCACAAGGGGATGGCATATTTAGATGCAGAGGTTGGCATGGCGAATCGGATGGTTTGAGGGTAGTGGGGCATCTGGGTTAAAGGCCCTGATGTTCTACAGACTTGGGTTTGAATCTTAGCTGTGCTACTCTCAAGCGCTGTCACCTGGCAAGTTGCTTCATCCCTCATTCGAGGAAGTGGGGCCACTGGAGCGTCTACCTCATAGGCTTACAGGTGGTTGGGAGGATTAAATGAGATGAGCACATGCAGCATTTAGTACAGTGCCTGGCATAGAATAAGTGCTCCATAGGGATTAGCTAATGTTTTATAATTCTAAAGGGGAGGAAAGATGGATATTAAGGTTGGAGAACTATGGATCCTTCCCATTGTATTCACAAAGAAAACCATGCCATGAGGCTTTTTTGGCAAGTCACTTTAACTTTTTGGGCCTAGGTTTTCTTAACAGTGAGATGCTGGGTGGTTCTAAATGATCTTTCAAATTCTGCCCATGACTATAATCCTATGATTCTGCAGTTTTAAAGAGCATCTTAATGAATACAAAGTACTTGCCAGAATATTTTCTTTTTTGATTCTCCCCACAACAGTAATGGGCCGATGATGATTCCTGCCATTTTCCCAGACCAGGCAGCAGAGCTGGCAGACATTTAATGACTCTCCCTCACAAGGCCATGGAGCTCGTGAGAGAGCATAAGGCCAGGTTCCCTTTACACACATGTGGTGTGTAAAACGGATGTACCTCGATTGGGCTTTTGCCCTTGTCATGGAACTGAGCCCGAAGGAGGTTCTTAGAGGAGCGGGGTGAGGATTTCAGGAGAGGTGATTCCCAGGGGAGCTTCAGGCCAGGACTGTCATAGTAGAGCAGTAATTTATGGGCTTCTGACAGCTTGAAAAGGTCATGGTGTTCTTCTTTACTTATAAATGAAAACAAAGTAATTTGGGGGTCAGGGAAAGACGAAAGGGCTTGTGCAGACTGACCTCAAAATCCCTGGTGGTTATCATGTAAAAATTCGATTTGTTTGATGCAATTAGCCAAACCTGGACACTTTCTTCTCCTTCTCAAAGCAATTGGGATTCAGGGCACAGGATAAAACAGAGTTGGGGCAGGGGGCAGGGAGGAGGCGCTCTGGCAACAGTGGGAAGTCCAGATTGTTTCTATTGTGCGTGCTGATGTAATTCTTTTTCTGCAAGCCCTCTGTGGTTTATCACTTTGCCTTCATGCACCCTTCTTATAAAGCAATTACAGAATCACGGGAAAATAGGCAGTAGCAGTGTGAATCAGTGCCTTTTGGAATGGAGAACTGATACAAACTGGGCTTCAGTTTGCAGAGGGTTGAGGAATGTCTAAGGCTCGTGGATGGGGGAAGGAGAAGTGACAAGGGATCACAGATATTGTATATTGGGCCTCTTTGGCCAGGCCCTCCAGTCCCCGAGGCCCTTCTATGCTGCTTACTGGCTGCATGAGGGCTGTGGCTGTGGCCGTCGCCGTGTCAGCTGAGCTTGTAATTTAGATGTTACCACTGCTCAACTATGAAAAGTCAGGATCAGCAGCTTTGTCCTAGTGCTGGGAGGGAGGTGTGGGCCCTGGGGGAACCGGCAGCTGGATTTAGAGTGTGACCGATTCCAGGAACCCAACAGAGCTGCACTAGGGCCCTCCTCACCTCTGTGGGTCTGAATTTGGGGTAGGGTTCCCCAAACCAAACTGTCCAGACTTTTCTGTATTGACATTGAGTCTATAGTCATTAGTGATCAGGGTTCCGATTAATCTGTGTCCTTATTTTAGAGTAGCTTTTGGCTTAGGGTTCTGGTGACCAACTGGTCACAACCATAATTTAGCTTCTGAAAGGCCATAAGAGTCAGAATTTGTCTAACAGGAATCTCCACAGAGATCCTGCTGCATTTATAATTGGGCATTTCCTCTGCATTTACTTTTGCCCCTTGTCTCCTACTCCAAGCCACCCCCATGTGCTTGAATGTTGAAAGTTTTGGGTTGCCAGGCTCAACTTACCAGCATGGTTCCATTTCTGTGATTATTACTAACTGCATTGCATCATACACAGAGCAAGTGGTTGGAAAATAGACCTGCGTCCTAGCAGTGGGCAAGAGACTCGACTCTCCTGAATCTCAGTGTTTTTACTTTTACCATGGGAGTTGTAAAATATCCAGCCCAGTATAACATTGGCTGGATGTAAAACAGCCTAGTATACAACATGGGCTTTGTAAAGTGAGGTGCTGTTGGAAAGTTGTTTGTAGTAAATTGTATTATTACATACTATACTTATATAGTACCAAACATTGGCCCAAAGAGTTTTATTTTGTTACTTCTTTTTGATCTCATCAACCATGCCATGCAAAAAAAGAGGCATTTTAGAAAAGAGGGAAATGGAGGCTCATGTATGTTGAGTGACGTGTCCAGGATTATTTGCTGAATAAATGTCAAAATCAGCAGTACAACTAGGTGTCTGGAATCTTAGTCCAGTGCACCTGTCATTGTGTGCTGGGTGCAAGGCATTAAGGCTCACTGGTTGTGGTCCTAAGTGCTCCCCTGCCTTTGCCTGCTTGCCCCCCATTCATTTGTTCATTGGCTATTATGAGAGCAGCTGTAAGCCAGGCCCTGTGTTAGGAATGCTGCTAACGAGGGCAACAGGGCTCTTGCTCTCTTGGAGCCTATTGTCTAGTAGGGGAGACAGACTTAAAAAAATATTATGGCGTCAATTGATTCTCTTTATTTTCTGCATCCTGTGAATGCACAAGGGCCCAGAGTGGAGAGAGACTTGGTCCCCTCATCTTGGGCTTTGTCTTACTTTCTCTTTCCTTCTAGAAAGTTGTGAGTCAGTTCTTTAGATGGGTGCGTCAGGGTTCTGCCTTCCTGTATTTGAGGCTTTGTGTACTTGGTAGTTGGAGATGATGGACGTTGCATTTGTGTGGGCTGAAGAGAATTAAGGAAGAAACGAGGCAGGGAAGTTTCTCCGAGGAGGCACATTTTGAACCCGCTGTTAACGATTATGGCAGTGGCCCTTTGGAGGCAGCTGCCTCTCTTGCTGACTGTCATGACCCAACCATGGCAATTTTCACTGAGACTGCACCTTCTGTTTGTGATGTTTTAGTTCAGGTTTACATTATCTGAGTAGAACTGGGAATGACAAGGCTATGAGGTCCTGCCTATGCCCCTCTAACATCGTTTCCCCACCAGAAGTTTTCTCCTGAGGATGTATTAAATGCCGACTACTTCCTTGGAATTGCTGGATAGCCTTTCCAGCGTGAGCAATGGGGACAGCTCCAGAAGAGTGGCACATCAGGCCAGGGAGGATTATCCCAGATTTTACAGCTGGGTAGGTGGAAGGCAGGTCTGGCTTGTCCCCACTTCCATCAAGGAGTAGAGGTGATTTGCAAATTTCTCTGTGGTTTGGTTTACTTCTTTCTCTTGGTCCTTTGATTCTTTCCGCCTTCGTCTTTCCTTTTTCTTTCTCTTTGCACCTTTCTCCCCTGAAAGATCACTTGGCAGAATGGTTAGAAAGTACTACCTTTGTGGCTTAGTTGATGGTGCACAAAATAACTGAAGAAGAAAACATACCTTGGCTTTGCAGATTGTATCCTTCTGGAGAGCTGAATTTTCCAGAGTGCTAAAGCTGAATTGTATCCATTGTAAGCAACAAAGCTTTTTTTTTTTTTTTTTTTAAAAATTATCTTTAAAGAATCCATTTTAAAAGGAAATTCTCTGAAAATACATTACACATTTAACTACCTTCAGAAGCAGCCGGCTGAGAACTTAACCCGACATTCTCTCCATCATGCCGGGTCACTGTTAGGAACATCCAAGATTCTGCTGTGCTCGAGTGATGGTGCCTTCAGGTTGCTTGCCCCTGCAGGTGGTGGCTCCAGAGTCTTAGACTTCTCTGGTTCTTCTTTCTTTTCCTGTCCCATCTGGATCCCCCAAACCCTGACCCCTCAGACTGTTAGGTATTATTTCTGCTTGTATTATCTCTCCCTTTCTGATTTGTGTGTTAAGAAACAAGACAGCAATTTATTTAGAAATATAAGAACAGCATCTGCCATGTAGTGGTTCTTATTGTAGATACTGCAATAGTTTGCATAAACGTTCCCATTTAACGTCCACACAGATCTGTGAGGTGAGCAGCATTGTGATCCTTATTTTACAGAGGCAGACGCTGAGTGGTAGAGAAGATGACCACATATTCTCCTTGCCTGGAATACAGGAAATGAATTCAACATTCATTCATTGGGGACTTCTATTGTACTTGTTAGATATCATTAGTTAAAAATAATTGATGTTGGGGGTGTTGAGCAGTAACAGAAGAGTTAAAAAATAGAATATTCTCATAGTCTGGTTATGTACAGGGCTTCACAAATCTTTGTGTTGTTTTACAGCACTTAGCGGGCCTTAAGAATGAGAGAAACAGTCTGCAAATTAAATCACAATGCAGATGCCATCTTCTCACTGCTACTGTGGGGTTTAGCTCTACAGATCAGAGGATGGCTGAGTATAGTAGGCATTTTCTTTTTGTCACGTACTGATGTCACAATACTTTGTGTTCTTTTATGTGGTCTAATTGCTTCAAACTTGAATGTGCTTTCATTTAAATCCATTTATGTTGCTTTTGTCAAATGGGAATGATTTCCATATGAATTTGAATTTACATACTCATAGGCCCTTGAGACCGTGTGGATATAGTGAACCCAACTCTTGGTAGACTTGGGCTCTATTTTTGCCTCAGCCACTGACTTGTTGACTTGCTGAAGGGCCTTGAACAGAAATGATTACTTTTCTGGACTTAACACTCCTCAGCTGTAAAATGAGGTAGGAAATCTGATGTGATTTCTAGTTGGGGACATTCTAGAAGATTCCATATTGTATCTCAAATGACTGTTCAGAGACACAGTCTTTAGGTGCTCACTCTAGAGAGGACTGTGATAAGCATAAAGCATAATAATGTAAACCCTAACTTACAAGTTTCTTTAAAAGTTGACTCTTAAGGGTATTACACTTGCTCATATTTTAAATATTTAAAAACAATTAAAATTTTTTTCCTTCATATTCACCATTGGCTTTTCAAGCATGCACAGAAGTGGTGTGCAGATCGTTTCAGATCAATTTATCATAAAATCTAAGTTGATAGGTGTTCTCTTAATGATGTTCTTATACTGCCTGTTCACCTTGACCCTTTAGCTTTGAGTAGATTAGAGAGTGTAGGGGAAAGATCTTTTTCCCTTCAAATACTCAAAGGATCATGTGTTCTCTTGAGCAGTTCTGCAAATCCATATAGGACAACAGGAGAATAAGGATTTAAAGTGAAAGATTTCAGTCGGCTGCTGAGCTGCTGGGAGGAAGAGATGGTGTGTGGTGCTGACCTGTCCCTGATTGCCCCTCATAGAAAGCGAATTGGCTCTCCCCACGTTGGCTCCCATGGAAAGGACTGATGGGAGAGAGAGTGAGGAGAGCTGGGGATGCCCTTCCAGAATGCTGACCAGGGCACGTGGGAGCAGTGGTGCTGGCTGGCCTTCAAGATCCCTTTCTGCACATGGGAGCTGAACCAGTGAGATACAGCACCTGGATCAGGCAGCGCAGAGGAGCAGTGTGGTTCTCCTCTGTGGTGTGAAATTACCCTGGAACCACCAAGCAGGGTTCAACAGCACTGATCCCTCCCATCAACCCAGGTCTAGGTCTCACTCCCTCAGCACCATCTCGCAGCTTC
Source organism: Homo sapiens (assembly GCF_000001405.40). Taxonomy (NCBI): domain Eukaryota; kingdom Metazoa; phylum Chordata; class Mammalia; order Primates; family Hominidae; genus Homo; species Homo sapiens. Next base: position 53,550,408 of record NC_000003.12, read on the forward strand.
TAGCACCCCTGGAGGCTCTGTGAACCTCTCACCCTGCATTCCTTGACTCTTCATGAACTGTCGGCCTTCCTGTGTAAGTGGGTCAGGCACCATGTGACCTGCTCACTGCCAGTTTCTTCTTTGAATAGATGTTTATTTCATGGATCATTTTGAAGATTCTCCGTGGGTGTGCAACATGGTTTTAGAATGTTGGGTAATTTCTCATGTGTTCTTTGAGATGGATGGCTTCTCAGTCGTCTTTGCAGTCAGCCACTGTAGACTTGAGTTTCTCTCTTGCTGTCTTCATTTTATTGCTCCATATCTGAGGAAAACCATGTGAAAAATCCCTAGACACATAGGAGCCCTGAGAAGTGGTGGCAGGGAATGCTTGGGGGACAAAACAGATTTTAGAGTTACGGGTATTTTAATTAAAAAAAGAGAGACCCAGAATTGTTTTTCACTTAAATGAGCAATTATATCTTTAACTTGGGGATGGAAATATGTTGTGAAATTTGTTTAGTCAGCTCCCTCTGAAATAAATAAAATTACAGTGATGATATCATTCTTGTTTAAAATGTTTGAAAAGGTATCAAGACAAAGTGATTAAGGCCTAACTGTTTGCCAAATTTTCTTTAAAGCTCCATTTTTGGGGTATTTCTATGCCAAAAAACATCTTAAACTGATGAACATATAGTTCTCCGCACTTGTATTGGCTGGTTTTTAATTAGATGACTGTTTTAATAGTGGAAGAAATACATTTAGGTTGGGCCTAAGCCCCAGGGTGCCAGATTTCAATCCCAGAAAAAAATGTTCTCTCTGTTTAGTGCTAATGTGCACTTAAATAGCACAGGTGTGAGTGCTTTTCCCTGGCCACGGTCACACATGACTTTCCCAAGGGCTGATTGGTTATGGGGTTGGCAGGTTTAAGGTCAGGTTCCCCGGCTTGCCCTCCACCCAGAGGAGCCAGGACTCTCAGGCTCCCTGTAAGGGAAGAAGTTACCCAGATCATGAGCCTGTTTTGTCTGGGTCAGACTGACTTGAGCCACAGGGAGTGGGTACAGAAGCCTGGGTTGCTGCCGGGTATGACCCGACCTTCGTCTTGTACCCACTGTCTCCTTCCTTTTGTGAGTCACCAGCTCACACATCTACATGCCTGTAAATGAACTATGAGGTATCGAGTATGTGCTACCTACCGTGGTGGATGCTGGGAAGGATGAACCATGCATTTTCCTAAACCCACACTTCGAGGTTTACAAAGATAAAATCTCATGGCTCTTTGCCATCCCCTTCTCAAGAACCTTCACTGGCTCTCTTTTTAGTTAGGAAAGAAGGTCCAAAGCAAAAGAAAGGAAACACAGGGTGTGAAGGCTGGACTCCTACCTAACACACCTGTCCATTCCAAACAAACTGGCCGTGCCTCCTCCTCGATCTCCCACTTGTGTGGGTGGCTGTGTCATTTCTGTGCAGCAGCTGATGGTGAGGTCTTTCACTTGGCTCCATGGTGAATGGGGAAATTCTCCCAGGCACTCTTCCTGCCTCATCTGTGACCGTTTGTCTTCCCCTGGGGCTATAGTTTGAGTACTAGGTGGTATTTTCAGTCTTGTCTTTGCCCTGAGGATGCAGAAGTACTCTATGGCTATCCCACTCCTGACCTATGCCCAGGCCCCCTCTTCCCTCTGGGGGTGGATCCCACTTGTACGGGCAACTCAGTGCAGTACCCTGGAAAATGGCAGACCTGGGGTATCTCTGGTCTCTGCCACTGTCTCCCAGTGTGTGTGGAGGGGCTGTATGCTTGAGGCATTATTTTACTGTGGCTTACCTCCTTGGTGTTTTCTCCAACTTGGAGCTTGGGTGAGAATGCTCAGGGCTTGGTTGACACCTCTTCATTGTCCCAGAGGTGTAAGGGCTGGGTCGGAAGCTATGCCACCAGAAGCCATGCTGCCCTTTCCACCAGATACTTCTGTTTCTCTTCTCGACATAGACCAATTCCCTTTCTTTCTTTTTCTTTTTTTGAGACAGAGTCTCGCTCTGTTGCCCAGGCTGGACTGCAATTGCACAATCTCAGCTCACTGCAACCTCTGCCTTCCAGGTTCAGGCAATTCTCCTGCCTCAACCTCCCAAGTAGCTGGGATTAAAGACATGCACCACCATGCCTGGCTAATCTTTGTAATTTTAGTAGAGACAGGGTTTTACCATGATGGCCAGGCTGGTCTCAAACTCCTGACCTCAAGTGATCTGCCCGCCTCGGCCTCCCAAAGTGCTGGGGTTACAGGACATTTCCCTTTCTTGTTTGATTTCTCCTGGTATCTTCTTTCTTTCTCTTTGGACTTTCTTTCCTATCTCATATTTATTTTGCTTGGCATTGTAGTAGAAAGATAACATGTTACCACTTTACCCTCCAGTCTGAACTTGGAACTGCTGCCATACACTAAAAGGATTTACTATTCTTAAGGATTTCCTTCCATCCTAAACTACAAACTTTTTCAGGTCAGGAACTACATTTTATTTTGTGTATTCCCACTGTACCTTCACCTGCTGAGTGCTTAATAAACCCAGGACAGAATTGAAGGCAGGCTGAGCCTGTATAGGAGAGCAGTTGCTTTCAAGTTATGTTAAAAACTCCTGGGCGGGAGCATTCAAAAATTACTCATAGATAACAAATCCAGCTACCTGCACGTGCATGAAAGCAGGGAACTAGAGCCACTTTCAGACAGTGACTTCAGCTTAGGAAACAAAAGGTTACTTTAAAGTAATGCTGTTTTACTTATGTTTAACCAATTCTAGTTGACACACTTATTCAGAATGGCCTTACTGCCAATTAGTGGAGCATGTTAGTGAAGTTTGTAATAAAGTCCTAATTTCCGTGACTAATGAAGCTTTACTTGTGTTCAACACAATCCCTGCTCTCAGTTATGAAGTTATAAAAAAATGTGTTTATGCTGTTGCTGCCGCTGCCCGTCTGTCTGCCTCCCTGCCTGCCTGCACAGTCTTTAAGAGCACTGTTGCTCTCCTCCTGTTCCTCACGCATTTCAAGCACAAATCCCTACCATTCATCAAAGGCATTTGCTGGTGGTGGCAGGGGAAATGTCACAGCACTGCTGCCACCACTGCCAGGTATCTTTTTAAAATGTAATGTGTGTGTATGGGTATGTGTGTGTGTATGACTTCCACCATTTCTACGGGAATGTTTTTTGATTAGAAAAAGAAATAGTTGTTACATTTGCAATTTGTAACCAGAACCATTTTCTTTCCAATGCAGTTGTAACAGTGTAATGATAAGTAGGGTCTTTATCCAACCCTATGACAAGTCACATGTACACACGCCAGACATAGGCTCCAGATTCTGTAATATTTAGCCCTATACAGTCAACAGATTTGATTCCCTGGCAGTCAGTCTTTGCATTGGAAGAGAGAGTAAAAATTAGGACTGGTGAGTTCAAAGGTTCTTCTAAGGCCTAAGCCTTTGCAGTAGGAGCTTTCCATACTAGATATGTTACCTAGAGACTTGTGTTAAAGTGGAAAATCATGGGCTGGGCATGGTGGCTCACACCTGTAATCTCAGCACTTTGGGAGGCCAAGGCGGGCAGATCATGAGGTCAGGAGATGGAGACCATCCTGGCTAACACAGTGAAACCCTGTCTCTACTAAAAATACAAAAAATTAGCTGGGCGTGGTGGTGGGTGCCTATAGTCCCAGCTACTTGGGAGGCTGAGGGAGGAGAATGGCGTGAACCCGGGAGGCGGAGCTTGCAGTGAGCCAAGATGGCACCATTGCACTCCAGCCTGGGCAACAGAGTGAGACTCTGTCTCAAAAAAAAAAAAAAGGTGGAAAATTATCATACAAATCATATTTGTGTCAATCTTTGTGAGGGTGTCCTAAACTGTAAGTGTGCCTATATGTGTGTTTTAAAACCAGAATGTCTAGTATTGTACCACAGAAAAAAGACGTTACAAAAATAGAAATTGTGTCAGTAATTTGCTTTTACTGCTATGAACAATCATATGCAATTCCTACAAGTCATGCTGTGTCTAGCCTCACAGCCCCCTCACTCTCCAGGCCTTTCTGCCAAACTCAGCTTCTCTGTGAGCATGCCCTGATGAGTTCAAGGGGCTCCCTTCTTCGTGCCACCACCTTTGAGTCCACAACAGGATGGCTGTTGAATTGAACATGCACTTAGATTTCGTTACCGTTTCCTAGGTCTTTTTCAAATACATTCCGCTTCTCTCTTTAGTTACTTTTTAGTCTCCCTCAAGGGTAGGGATTAGATTCTTCTTTGTTCCCTCTCCCATAGCACAGTTTATGTGGCTTTTGCTGCGTGAGGTTAAAGCACATTGGTGGCTTACATCTTATCCATTTGTAACCACCCAGGGACCAGCACATGGCCTTGTACCCAGTAAACAATCAATATTTTGTTGATTAATGATGCCTAAAGCTGGTTAAGTTCTTGGACTCAACATTCTTCTGAGCTCAATGACTATTTGCATTCTAGTCATAAACAGGAAAAGGTTCTGTTGGCAGCCAGGGAGATAGTAAATACCCCTGACTCTCATACATTGACTTAATCAGAAACAACAACTTCCCCTTTTCAAATTTGCATTGTGAATGATAATATCATTTTCAAATATGTAGGATTATGACATTTTAAAGAGAATATAATGAAATAGAATGAAGGTGAAAACTTGTAATTATATTAGAGCAAAACTATGTTTCCCATAGCTTATATCCTACTATTTCTATGTAGTGTATCTGGCGTGGTCCCATGAGGATGCCATAACCAAATGATTGAACTAGAAACTGAGAAAGACTTATCAAACATTTAGTGTCACGGGCTTGTGAGATGAATCAATGCTGGGATTTCCAGCTATGTTTTTTATGGCCCTGTATTTTACAAAGCTGTGGAAAATATTGAGCATTTGAACAAGGCTCTCAGTCACAGTCGTATAACAAGATGCAGGATAGGGCTTTGCCCGTGGAGTTCAGTGTGAAAGTGGCTGTGGTTGGTGGACCTTCTGCCCTTTCCCCTATTGCTCTCTGGCTGCTTTTTCTGGTGGGTGTGTGTGTGTGTGTGTGTGTGTTTTTTTTTTTTTTTTTTTTTTCTGAGGTACTTCCCAGGGAACAGAGAAATAAGTTGACAAAAGGCACATATAAAAGAGAGATCTAGGACTTTCTAAACCTGAGGCCCACAGCCCTTTCATTTAATGCTATATTGGCACATGTCTTTTTTCTCTTCAAATCATTCTCAATCATGGTCCATTTCTCACCACCCCCTCCTCCCAACTTGTTATCAGTTGCGCCTGACCTTTTGGGAAGGAAGAATCTTTAAACCCTGTTTGCATCTCAGCAGACGGGAATGCCTGCCTACTTCTCATCTAGGGCTCCTTTCTCTGCCTTTAGAAATTCTTTTTTATTCTTGATACACACTGCTCAGATTATTTATTAATTTAAAAATTAACATACAGTAAAAATCGGGGTGTGTGCACGTGTATACAGTTCTGTGAGCTTTAACATATAAATTGTTGTATCTCTTACCACAATTAAGATAACAGAACAGTTTTGTCCCCCGCAAAACTTATCCTGCCTCTTGTAGTCCTATTCTTCCTTTACCCCAGCCCATGGCAACCACTGATCTGTTCTCTATTGCTATAGTTTTGTCATTTCCAGAATGTCATGTAAATGGAATCACTCAGCATAATGCCTTTGATATTCATCCATGTTTAGGAGTGTGGAGAAATCGTTCTTTTTTATTGCTGAGTAATATTACATTTATGGATATAGTACAGTTTATCCATTTATCTGTTGAAGGAAATTTGGGTTATTTCCAGTTTCTGGTGATTATAAAAAGGTGCTAGAAACGTACAGGTTTTTGTATGAATATAGATGTTCACTAGCGTAAATACCTAGGAGTGGAATTGTATATTTAACATTATAAGAAGCTAACTGCTTTCTAAAATGGCTGTACCATTTTGTATTCCCACCAGAAGTGTATGAGAGCTATAGTTGCTTCACATTCTTGCCAACACTTAATCGTGTCAGTACTTTTTATTTTAGCTTCTGTAATAGGTGCGTAGTAGTATCTCATTTTGGTTTTAATTTTTATTTCCTAATGGATAATAATGTTATGTTATTTCATGCGCTTATTTGCCACCTGTTTATTATTATTTTGGTGACTTGGTGAAGTGACTATTTCTGTCTTTTGGGTTTCTTTTTACTGTTCAATTTGAAAAGTGCCCCATATATCCTGGATCCAGGTCTTTTATCAGATATGTGATTTGCAAATATTTTCTCTCAGTCTATAGCTTGTCTTTCTATTATCTCTCTTGCTCTCTTTTTTTTTTTTAATTTTTTTTTGAGACAGAGTCTTGCTCTGTTGCCAGGCTGGAGTGCAGCGATGTGATCTTGGCTCACTGCAACTTCTGCCTCCTGGGTTCAAGTGATTCTCCTGCCTCAGCCTCCTGAGTAGCTGGGGCTACAGGCATGTACCACCATGTCTGGCTAATTTTTGTATTTTTAGTAGAGATGGGGTTTTACCATGTTGGCCAAGCTGGTCTTGAACTCCTGACCTTAAGTGATCAGCTCACCTTGGCCTCCCAAAGTGCTGGGATTACAGGCATGAGCCACCATGCCCAGCTGTCTTTCTGTTCTCTAAGTGTGTTTTGCAGAGCAAAAGTTTTAAATTTTGATGACATCCAGTTACTTGGTTTTTCCTTTTATGAGTTATACTTTTGATGTCGTATCTAAGAAATCTTCGCCCAACTACAGATCATAAAGATTTTCTCCAGTTTTTTTCCTAGAAGTTTTATAGTTTTACATTAAGATCTGTGGTCTATGGCCAGGCGTGGTGGCTCACCGCTGTAATCCCAGCACTTGGGAGTCCGAGGAGGGCGGGTCACCTGAGGTCGGGAGTTTGAGACCAGCCTGACCAACATGGAGAAACCCCATCTCTACAAAAAATACAAAATTAGCCGGGTGTGGTGGTGCATGCTTGTAATCCCAGCTACTTGGGAGGCTGGGGCAGGAGAATTGCTTGAACCCGGGAGGTGGAGGTTGCAGTGAGCCGAGATTGCGCCATTGCACTCCAGCCTGGGCGACAAGAGCGAAACTCTGTCTCAAAAAAAAAGAAAAAAAGAAAGATCTGTGTTCTACTTAGATTTAATTTTTGTAGAAAAAGTATGAAGTTTAGGTTGAAGTGCGTTTTCTTTTGCATATGAATGTTCAGTGTTTCAACTCTATTTGTTGAAAAGCCTATCCTTTCTCAACTGAATTATCTGTACATTTGTCAAAAATCACTTGGCCATACTTGACTCTATTTCCAGACTCTATTCTGTTGGTCTTTGTGTCTGTCCCTTCACCAGCACTATACTGTTTTGATTACTACAGATTTATTGTAAGTCATAAAGCGGGGTGACTTGAATTCTCCAGTTTCTTATTTCTCAAATTTTTGTCGTTCATTTTAATTCCTTTGTCTTTTCACATAAATTTCAGATTCAGCTTGCTGACTTCTACCAAAAAAGCCTGCTGTGATTTTGATTGCACTGAATCTATAGATCGATTTGGGGAGAATTGATATTTCAATCATATTGTTTTCTAATTCCTGAACATGATATCCTTCTCTATTTATTAAGGTCAGCTTCTGTTGAGTTGATCATGTGCTTTTGACCTTTATTCTATTAATATGATGTATTACACTGATTTTTGTTTGAACACAATCTCACGTTCTTCATATAAATCCCACTTAGTCATGGTCAAAATGTTTATATGTTTATATACTGCATTCAGTTTGCTAGCATTTTGTTGATGATTTTTATGTCTATATTCATAAGAGATGTTGGTATGTAGTTTTCTTTGTGATATCTTTGTGTGGTTTTTGGTATCAGGTAATACTGGCCTTATAGTATTCCCTCCTCTCCTGGTTTTTGTAGAAGTGTTTATGAAGGATTGATGTGAATTCTTTTTTTGAACATTTGGTAGAATTCACCAGTTAAGCCATATGGGTTTGGCCTTTTCTTTGTGAGAAGTTTTTTGATTACTAATTCAATCTCTTCAGTTATTATAGGCCTGTTCCAATTTTCCATTTCTTCTAGAGTCAGTTTCAGTAGTAGTTATTTATTTATTTTTCCTGAGAACTTGTCCATTTCATGTAGGCTATCTAATTTGTTGACTGCATTTCTTTTAGAATGAATTCTCTTAGTTTTCATCCCTCTGAGATTGTTCTTTCACCTGCATTTCAAAAGGATGCTTCTTGCTAGGTAAAGGATTATAGATTGACAGCTCTTTTCTTTCAGCACTTTATCAGAATTGTTCCTCTTCTTTCTGACCTCCATGGTTTCTTCTGAGAAATCTGTAATAATTCAAATCATTCTTCTCTATGCTGTATGTTGTTTTCCTCTGGCTATTTTCAAGATTTTTTTCATTGTCTTTAGTTTTTAGCAATTTGTTTATGATCTTTCTAGGTATTGATTTCTTTGAGATAATCCTGCTGGCAGTCTGCTGAGCTTCTTGCAGTGGTAAGTTTAGGTCTTTTGCTAAATATAGGAAGTTTTCAGCCAGTATTTCTTCAAGTATTTTTCCTACACAACACCGTTTCTTCTCTTCTTCTGGAACTCTAGTTCCAGTATTTTAGTATTTTCTTTTTAGTATTTTCTTACAGATCCCTGAGCCTCTGCTTATTTTTATAATCTTTTTTTCTCTTCATGTTTTACATTAGATAATCTCTATTAATCTAAATTCACATTCACTCACTATTCCTGCTATTACCTCCAGTCTGCAATTGAAGCTATCCAGTGACATTTTAAGTTTTATTGTATCTTTATTTTCAAAATTTTTGTTTTTGCTATCATTCCATTTATTTTAAGAGTATTTAGCCTTACTTCTTGGAGCATGGTTAAAATAGGTACTTTAAATTATTTGTTTGATAATTCTGGTATCTATGCTATCTTGGGGTTGGTGTCTTTTGATTGTCTTTTTCCTTGCAAATTGAGAGTTTTCCAGTTTTTCGTATGTTGAGTAATTTTGGAGTATGTTCTAGACATCTTGAATATTTTTATTCTGAGTCTTATTTATTATGGAGACTGTTTATTTCCTTAAGCAGATAATCGACCTGGTTGCAAATTCTGACCTGACTTCTCTGGGCTATGTTTCTGACTTTGGTTCAGTTTTCAAAGCCTTTACAGTGTCATTTTAGTCTGTTTCTTTTGTGTGCAATCTATTGTTCAGTCTGGGACCTGGGCAATGATATCCTAAAGTGAAAATCTGAAGGCCACTGGCATACTTTTAGGGTCGGATCCACAACGAAGAGCTTAAATGTGAGCCCACATGTTAATATGCCCCTTTGTGATGTAACTCTCTTGAGCTTCCTTGGTTCCCTGATGTCCTCTTTTTGCTGTCCTCCAGCTAGAAAGCGAGGAATTTAGTTCCTCTGTTCTCCTGCATTACTTTACGTGACTGTGTCCAAGGCCAAGCGCTTGAAGGTCAGGGAGAAAAAGAAGCAATGGAAATTCGCCCCTTATTCTGGGACTACAACTCTTGTGAGAATCATTCTTCTTTCTCAGAGTTTTAGGTACCTGCTCCGCCTGTGCTGCTGCTTCTTGGTACTGAGGGATTGTCTGGGGGCTGGGGTGGGAGGGATTGGAAAAAAACAAAGCAATACAGATAATTTCTCTGAACATTAGGAGTTCCTTTTTTTTTTTTTTTTTTTTCCTTTGTTGGCCAGAAAATGAGGGTTCTCTTCAGGTTATTTCTGTCCATACCCAGCTAGCACTTTTGGATGGTGAGCTGCCTTTGAATCCAGACTGGGTGATACTGGAGGGGGAAAACAGTGGAAAATTCTCTGCTGGTTTGGTGATACTCTGAGTTCTAGTCTCATTTCTCAATCTATTTGTTGTTATTTACTTTTCAGAGTCCTCTGATTCTTCATGTTTTCTGTCTAGCTTATATATTTGCATTTGGTAGGAAAGATAGGGTGGGAGTTCTTACTCCATCTTGCCTGGAACTGGAGCCTCTATATTAGTCTGTTTATTTATTAATCAAATCCTGCATAGAGTGGGATTTACCAAGCCTGGTTTCTTGAGATCCTAGGATGTATTCATAATATGTATCATGGAATTCTCAAATAATGCTTATGATAAAATAAGCTTAAATTTTCCTTACTTTAAAGCAGAGGCTGGCAAATGTTTTCTGCACAGGACCAAATAGTAAATATTTTAGTCTTGTGGTCTCATAGTCTCTGTCATAACTTCTTAACTCTGCTGTCATAGTGTAAAAGCAACCACGAACAATACATAACTAGTAAAGATAGCTATGGTCCAATTAAACTATTGATTGACACTGAAATTTGAATTTCTTATACTTTTCATGTGTCATGAATTATTATTTTTTTGATTTCTTACAACCGTTTAGTAGGTAGTGGGCCAGATTTCGCCCATGGGCCAAAATTTACTGACCACTAATTTATGTCATGGATGGCTCTATGGCCCTGATCAACAACTCCTCTTGATTGAAATTTTCTGTCTGTTCTGGAGAAACAAAGATAGGAAAGCAAGAGAAGTTCTAGAAATCCTATGGAATGCTTATGGATACAACCTGTAAGCCAAAGTAGCTTCTCAGTCTTCTTTTGAACTCCTTAGGTAGGGCACAGAGAGAGCTCATAGATGTTTTATCTTAATTCATCTCCATATTACTTTGTAAGGTAAATGCTTTCATCTTCATTTTATGGATCAAGAAACTGAGGCACAGAGAGGACTGCTAGCATGTCTCAAGTCATGACTAAACTGGGATTTGTATCCAGGCCTGTCCAGCACCAAAGCTGTTGCTCTTCACACTCTAGGATGGCACAAATCTCCTTTTTTTCTGTTTTATCTTGTCTCTGTACAAAAAAGCCATGTCAATAATGGTATAGGTCATTGAAAGCCTTATACTTTAAGACTGCTGCGCTCTGGTCTGGACTTACTCATGAATTATTGCATAACTCTGGGCAAACCTCTTCATTTCTCAAGGTCTTAGTCTCCATGCCTATAAAATAGGGGATTGGATCCCTATTTTACGTTTATTTCTCTGTCATGGTAGCTGTGAGAGTTTTGTCAGTGAGCATCCTAATCACAGACAGCGACTTTGGAAAGAGATGGTACACCTTGTCATTGGAGGGCTGTGGGGAGTTGTAGAGAACAAGCTTCATCCTGGGACCATGTGTGATGGCTGTTGACATAGAGCTTTGTAGCTGTCAAGGAAAATAGAGTAAACACACTACTTCCTTTTGATCTTCAGTTTTTCGCAGTATGCTCCTAGATCATACTTCTCTTGATTTAGTGATAGCCTTATAAATTATTGCCACTTTCTTTGAACCCTTATTGGTATAAGTCGGTGATAAATGCTTGAGAAACTGGGCCTTGATGAAGTACTGGTATACCTCGTTTGGAATTTGTTCTGAAAATGGTAAAGCATTTCTTAAAGGCTTTGTTATAATATGAAAATGTTCATTGCTTTTTTTGTTCATTCTATAATTTTTTTATCCCTTTTACATTGCATGTCTTGATTACATAGTTGATTTGATATTCTCTGAAATGTGATGGAAAAGAAAATGTAAACACAAAATTAAAAAGCAGAGGAATGAAGACACATTTTGTGTGCTGCTTCGTGCCAGATAGTTTTGTACATATCCTTGTACAAAGTAGTGGTCTCATTTTTACCACAGTGAGTAAGCCCCTGGTCTCTACCTTTAAGGAACTTAGAGTTTGATAGGCTTAGTGGTTCTCAACTGGCATTACCCTCTCTTGAGAGTATTTAGAAATCTGTGGAGCAGCTGCAATTGTCACAAATATTGAGGGATGCTGTTGGAATTTAGTGTGTGGGATTTTATCACAATGAAGAATTATCCCACCAAAAATGTTTATAGATCTCCTTTTGGGAAACACTGTGCTGAGTAAAATAGTAGTAATGATAATAAAAACACTTGCATATTGAGCACTGCCATTGTGTTCAGAGAACTCTACAGATACAGTCCATATTCTCTGATATGTAGCTCTAAATTCAGAAATCTCTAAAATTGAAGTGGGTTTTTTATTAATCCATTTGGTAAAATGTGACCTGAATTGATGTGAGAACTTTTATTTTTTTAAAGCTGAGAACTGTATTTTTTATAGCTGTATTGAAGTATAGTTTACATATCAAAAAATTCACCTGTTTTAAGTGTACAATTTGGTGATTTTTAGTAAATTTAAAAAGCTATATGTAACTCTTACCACAATCCAGTTTTATAACATTTTCATAAATGCCTCCCCCCCCAAATTCTCTTGAACCTGTGTGAGATGATTTCCAGATGTTTCACTGAAGAAATATGGAAGTGTTTGATTATGGAGTGCTGCTCCAGATCCTTCCTGAATGCTAGGTATTCATTCATTTTGAATTCCAAATATACCCGGCTGCAGAAGTTTCTTGTAAGAGATTGTGGACTGTATGAACACATCCCATCCCCACAATAACCCTGGAAAGTAGATGCTATTATTGTTCCTTGTTTTGCAGTTCAGGAAACTGAGGCATAGCCTTTATACAAGGCTGAATGGAATGTCACAAGAAAGTCCAGTGGGGGTCCAGAAGAGAAAATCTGTGACCACTTGGCCTGTAACCGAATTTGCCTATATTTAAAGATGGAGGAAATAATCTTTTTGTTTTGTTTTGTTTTTTTAGTTGATACTAAAGGATATGCATAAAGTATTTAAAGTTTAACTCAAGATCCAGTGGATATGTGTGGACCCTCACTACCTAGTCTATAACTCACCACACCTTTCACTCCTTTGGGTGTCCATCCTTATCCTCTGTCCCCCTCCCACAGGGATGACCACTGTCTAAAATTTGTGCTTATCAGGCCAGGCACGGTGGCTCACACCCGTAATGCCAGCACTGTGGGAGGCCAAGGCGGATGGATCACCTGAGGTCAGGAGTTCAAGACCAACCTGGCTGACATGATGAAACCCCATCTCTACTAAAAATACAGAAAGTAACCAGGCGTGGTCGTGGGCGCCTGTAGTCCCAGCTACTTGGGAGGCTGAGGCAGGAGAATCACTTGAACCCGGGAGGCAGAGGTTGAAGTGAGCTGAGATTGCACCACTGCACTCCAGCCTGGGTGACAGCCTGGGTGAGGGCGAGACTCTGTCTCAAAAAAAAAAAAAAAAAAAAAGTGCTTATCTTTCTTTGATTCTCTTTAGTTTTACCACATATGTTTTAATTCCTCAGCAACACTTTAATTTTGCATATTTTTGAAGTTTATATAAATGGAATTATACTGAGTATATTCTTCTGTAACTTAGTTTTCCCTCAATAATACTTCTTAGATTTATCGGTAATTCATTAGTTTTCATTGTTCTTTTGTAGAATATACCATGATCTATCTATACTTTGACTGTTGGTGGACATTTGTGATGTTTTCTTTTTTTCTAAAAAGAGATAATTCAAATGGTGCTATATTGAATAGTCCTCCTGAATTTTTCTTGATACATATGTGCTAAGGATTATGTAGGCATGAAATTTCAGGGTCCTATTGTGGGTACATCTTCAGCTTTATTGGATGATGCCTAGTTGTTTTCCAAGGGGTTATATAAATTTATACTCCCTCCAATAATTTATAGATGCTAAAATTTTTCCAATCTAATGGTTCTAAAATGATATATCATTCTGACTTGAATATGTATTTCTGTGATGACTAATGAGATTGAGCATCTTTTAATATAGCCATTTAGTTTTCCCTTTTTGTGAAGTGTCCGTTGAGTCTTATGTCCATTTTTCTACTGGTTTGTCTTTTTTTTTGAGACAGTCTTGCTCTGTTGCCGAGGCTGGAGTGCAATGGCATAATCTCAGCTCATTTCAACCACTGCCTCCTGGGTTCAAATGATTCTCCTGCCTCAGCCTCCTGAGTAGCTGGGATTACAGGTAGTTGCCACCATACCTGGCTAATTTTTGTATTTTTAGTAGATACAGGGTTTCCCCATGTTGGCCAGGCTGGTCTCGAACTCCTGACCTCAAGTGATCTGCCCACCCCGGCCTCCCAAAGTGCTGGGATTTGCTGGGTTGTCTTTTGAATACTCATTTATTAAACTTCTTTATGTGCTCTGGATACTGATCCTTTGTTGTTTATACATGATAGAAATGTTTTTTCCTTCTTTGTGGCTTGTCCTTTTGATCTCTTTTTGGTGTCTTTGGATAAACAGAAGTTCTTAATTTTAATGTAGCTAATTTATCATTTTCCATTAGGAGTTTTTTTCTTTAGTTTTTAAATTAGCGTTTATGGAGTACTTTGTATATCCTAGACACCTTTCTAAGCACCTTATAAATATCCATTAATCCTTATAACATTAGAGGCAAGTACTGTTGCTATTTCCATTTTATAGGTAAGGAAACTGAGGCACAGAATGTTAAGTGACTTTTTCAAGGTCACTCAGGTAGTAAATGGTAGAGCCAGGACTTGAACCAAAGCTGTTTAAGGAATTCTTAAGAAAACCTTTTCTACCATGATAAGATGTGCAGATATTCTTATATGTCCTCTGAAACTTTTTTGTTTGTTTGTTTTTGTTTTTTGCCTTTAGCATGTAGGTCTTCAGTTGCTCTCTAATAGATTTTTGTGTGTGGTATGAGGTAGGGGCCCAGTTTAATTTTTTTCCATGTGGATTATCAGTGTTTCAGCACAGATTACTTAAAGTCTAACCCTTTCCCCACCTCTATAATACATGCCTTATAACAAATCAAATTTCCTTATATGCTCATATCTATTTCTGGGTTCATTGTTTTAGTGGTGAATTTGTCTCTGTGTCAGCACTGTACTGTATTAATTAGTATGCCTTTATAATAATTCTTGATATCAGTAAGTCAAGTCCTTCCATCTTGTTCTACTTTATCAGCAGATTCTTGGAAAGTTTCCTACTCTTTAAAAGCAAGATTGCAGGATAATTTTTGACTGTAACACACACACACACACACGTACACACATGCATACACACATTGGGGCTTTGGAAGATGATTTGTCATTGCTATTGTATTGACTTGTTTCCTGAAAATTTAGCAGATATAATTTCATTTGAGTGGCTTGAGCTCTATTTATCTGCATGGCCAAAATCTCAAACACACATGATGTAGTGGCTTGTAGAAAGCTTTTGATTCTTGTTAAATGGAGAGGAGGGAGAAAGGAAAGGAAAATCAGTCTGGTAGATTACTAGTGTCTTCTGTTTAAGTTCAGTTGCGCTGATAATTCCAGAAAATATACTGAGGAACTTCAAAAGGCATGTGGAACCTTGTGTAGTATGATTTATACTAATCATAGTATGTGTGTATGATTGTATAAGGTGAAAAACAAGATAATGCATCTTCTATGATTAAGTTGCCTTATTTATCAAGTAAGAGGTAACTGTACCCCGTTGGTCTTAAATAGCTGATATGTGGTTTGGTACTTAATACTGTCTATTGGAGGAATTGAAATAGAATACCCAGAGATACCCAGAGTCTCCACTGGGAATACTTCTGCTCCCCAAATGTGATATCAGAGTAATATCAAGTAGAATGTGGAGTACACCCACCTATTGAGGCACAAACTGCCCTCTCCCATGACCCTTTCTCTGTAGAAAGTATTACTTATACTGTAAATAGCAGTCAAATTTCAAGTAACATCAGTTCTCTACATCTTAGCCTTTTCCAATCTGGGTGGCCAAAGTGAAGAATGATTAGGTACTGAAAATTTATAAATGCCGTGTCTGAGAATTTCTAGACAATGGGAAGACACCTCCCTAAGGAAACCTGTCAGTCTGAAGTCTTCCCAGCTTTCAGAGCATAGCAAGTTCTTACCATAGCCTGGAGAATATGTGATCTGCCAGTGCCTGCTGCCCCTTCACCTCTTACTGACATCCCCCTTCTCTCTGCAAGAGTGACTGCCTTGCTGTTCTTCAGAATGCCAGGCACCCTTTCACCCCAAGCATTTGCTCTCCTCTTCCTTCTGCCTGTATGTGCTTCCCTGGATGGGTGTTTGGTTTACTCCTGATTACCTGGGTCTCTGCTCGAATGTCATCTTCTCAGAGAGGTCCTCCCTGACCACCCTCTCCCATAATAGCACCCACATTCATCTCTGCCAGCCCTCCCTGAGTTCCTACATGGCACCTGACACATATTCACTGTCTGCCCTCCCTCGCTTCCCCTCCCCACACACTAGGAAGTCACTTCCTAGAGGACCAGGGACTTTGTCTTTTTAACTGCTGTTTCTTCCACACATGTGCCACAGCGTGGCACATGGGAGCCGCTTGAGAGCTGTTTGCTGAGTGAAGGAAGCTGTTGGCTGAAAGGAGGGCAGAGAGGGCCTCTGGAGCAGGCCCGTGCCCCACCAGCCCTCCCCGAGAGCTCCTGCGGCAGCTTGCTTGCCTCTCTGTCGGAAACTTGCACCATTTAGGCAGCTCTTCCATGAGTATTCTTCCATTACATGCTAAGCACCTTGAGACAAAGGTCTGTCTTAAGTTCTTTCCCTACTGTCACCCCTGCTGTTTTCCTTCAGGGCTCGGACTGAGCCTGGCACGCTATTTGCTCATGCTATTTGTCTTCAGCTATCTGTTAAGAAGGCATGCGGGTAGCAGTCATCCTCCCCAAGGGGAGCAGCAGATTAGGCAGCACTGTAATTCCTTAAGCAAACTCCTGGCCCAACTAGCATTTCCATTCTGAATTCCTCTATGTACTGTCTTTGAGTCTTATGGAGACGATAATCTTGGTGAGAAAAGGGACCAGCCATATTCACTGCAGGATCTCCCGTGGATGCATAGCATGGTGCCAGAGGCATGGTACCCCAACTCAGCACACACTCACTAATAATTCATCGCTAAAGTTCACTTTGGCCTATGTGAAATTTATTATTGTTGATGTCCAACATTACACTAAAATTATAAGAATTTATGTACAATCTCTGTACAGGATCTGTAGGGAGCACACAGTTTTTCATTATGAAAGAGGCTTCGTTGCTCATCTCAGCTCCTGTGCTGTTGAACAAAAGGTGTTAGACACACACCCATTCCCTACTTGGGGTATTCACAAATGTCAGACCTCAAAGTCTCTTCTGAGTAAATTACTGCCTTTGCTTCATTTAAAGGTGCCCTTGTGACCTTAAAGAATTCAGCCACCTTTCAAAATAGAGCTGTATTTCTACTCCCACCTCACCAGAGGGTGAGCCTCAAGTGTTTGATTACAGAGGAGCGAGAACTTACTCTCTAGGATTAATGTAATAAGAGATGAAGAGCAGACAACATAGCCACTCACCGAAAACCATGTATTCATAAAAAATAAGCCAAGCCCAAAGTCTGGATTTCAGAATATTTTCATTAATAAATACTTTATTGCAATGAACAGCTTAATTGCTTAATCTCTGTGTAGTTATGGACATGTCTTGTATACACTGCCTGGGCTGTATACACTGTGTACACTGCTGGCTGGATGGGCTTAGGCAGAAGCAAGGGTCAAGGCTTTTGCCAGTCTTGCAAGGCAGGCTTGCATCAGGAATTCCTAGAGACTGAGGAGTTCTCATTGTAGGTTTCTTTCTGACTGAAAGAAGCATGGTGCGGGCAGAGCACTAGGCTGCGGGGGTTAGAAGACCTTGCCTCACGACTCTAAATAAGTCGTTTAACCTAATTGAGCCTCAGGGTCCTCCCCTAATGGAGACGGACACATCAAGGGGCTGTTTGGATCAAATGAGATCATGTGACTGTTTGTGGATAATGAAGTTCTGTGGAAAGAAGATGGGAGGGTAGCATTGCATACTGTCTTGGTAAGACCTCAGACTTGCTTAGCTGCAGCTCTTCACCCTCTTACGGACCTGCAGCTGAGCAGCTAAGCGTGATTGGAAATGTCATTCAGCTACGATGACTGGTATTCTTTAAAATGACCACTGACTTCAAGCAAGAACTTCACACCACTGGCATTGATGCTACATTCAGGACCATTCTTTCTCATTTCTAGACAGTGATTTCATATATTTTCCTCTCTCCCGAAACCTCCAGCACCTTCCAGCCTCACTCTCGGCCGATGGCTTTACTTCCCATTTCCCTGAGAAAATTCAAGCCGCCAGGAGAGAACTTCTCAAAAGCGCCCACTGCCACATCCCCCTGCCTACTCTTCTGTCCACAGATACTGCTGCCTCCCCTGTTAGCATGGGTGACCATACACACTCCTTGCTAAGGCCAGCTTCTTTACTCGCACACCAGGTTGCATCCAGCCTTGCCTGTTGAAGTCCATGGCAGTGCCGTTCTCCTGCCTCTCTCCTGCTGTCAGCTTTTTCTTCTAGACTGGATCTTCCCAGTCAATACACACAAACATACTCTTGTTAATATCTCCCACTTAGATAACCCTTTATTGATTCCTTTTCAGTCATTAGCTACTACCCCATTTCTCTTTTCCTGTATGGCTAAATACTTTAAATTATTTTCCATATTCCCTGCTGCCTATTCCTCCTCTCATATTCCTCTTGAAACTCATCGTCATCAGGCTTTTGCTCCCTCCAGCCTACCAAATCTGCTGTCATCAAGATCACAACTGGTCTTCCTGCTGTTAAATCCAGTGGTCAGTTTCCATCCCTCACTGTACTTGATTCCACATCTAGCATCCTCCCTCGTTAATGCACTTTCTTCTCATCTTCTCATGGCTCCCAGGATACCACACTTTCCTGGTGTTCCCCCCACCTCACTGTTGCTTCCTTTCAGTCTTCTTTCCTGATTCTTCCTGGCCATTTGTTGTCTTGTTGGAGTGCCTGGAGGAGTCTTTAGGCCTTCTCCTCCTATTTCTATCAGCACTCGCTCCCTCAATGATCTTACCCAGTCTGGAGTTTCAAATCCATCCAGAAGCTAACATCTCATGCATCTCCAGTTGAGGCCTCCCTTCCACACTGCAAGTTCTCACATCCCTCTGCCCTTGGAGAGGCACGCCCTGTCCTACTTACCCTCCCAAGTGCTTACCACTGCTCACTGGCTTAGGCGTACGTGTTGGCCAGGGGTTGTCATCTCTGTGCTCTCCACTAGAATGTGGGCTCCACAATGGAGGACTCCGTTTACTGTTGTATCCATAGCACTTAGAAGAGTGCCTGGCACATAGTAGGTACTTATTCAATATTTTGTTAAAGGAGTGAATGTGTTAGGTCTCCATATACAGTGGAGATTCTAGTAATTCGCTGTCTCAGGTCCTGTCTCAACTCTCCCTACTAGTATTAGGGTGCCCTAGCCTTTCAGAGATGGTCTTTGTCTTGGAACTCTTACTAAATCTATTTGATAAAATATGATTGTTTCTCTAGAACTCTGTTGAATTGATACCAGGCATTCAACTATGCAGTATTAAATGTATTCTTTATCATTGATTTGGGGAGGCTATTTGGGATAGTAGAAAGATCTTTGACTTTAGAGCCAGATACTTCTGAGTTTAAATTCTTGCTCTGCTGCTAAATAGCTACAGAGCCTTAGTGGAAACATACAGTCTTAGGCCTTAGTTTTCTCATTTGTAAAGTGAAAGATTTGGTTCATAGGGCTCTTGGGAGAAATTACATGCTGAATATATGAAATGCATCTAGCATAATCTCTGGCATATAACAGGCATTCTATAGTGGTAACTATGATGATTATGGTCCTTAGCTATACGGATAATCTTAGGATTGCTTGCAATTCAAAACTTTTTGGAAAAAAAAATGTAATTATTCCTTTTAAATACTGGCCGTTGGTCTTTGGTTCAGAACATAATTGTCTAATTTAACATTGTTTCTGTGGTAAAAGTTAGATTTGATTTACATTTCAACTTACAGAGCCTTTTTCAGGAATTTATTCTGCTTCAAAGATCAAGGACTTCCTTTCAGTGAAACTTAACGACAGTGCTTAGGAATGGAATGCTCTGGAAGGATTGTCTTCTAATTAATGAGAAAGGAGCTTATTTTGTGGGGGAGGTTCTAAAATGCCTTTATATGTGCACTGAGCATAATTCCAAAGTTATACAGTAAACACTCCATGAATACTTGGTTACTTGTTTTTGCTCCAGAGATACTTAACTGAACTCCTCTATTGATTGCCCTGAGGTATAGCTATGGAAAGTAGAGGTGATGCTACTAAATACAAATTCAACATAGGCTTACAAATATCTTAGAGGAGCTTTTCTGGCTTTGAACTGTAAACGTCAACGGAGCTATATTCATGATAATTATATCTTGATTGTATCTTCTTAGGGAAAGGATTGTCAATGGTCCTAGCTCAAAGGAAATTGAACAAAGAAGTTAAGATAGCACATGCAAACATACACATCCGTGTGTGCCCAAACATACGGACTCTCTCACACTGTTAAATAATGCATGAGCAAAATATTAAGTGCAAGGTACAGTCTAACGCATATCACTCTGCAGTATGTGGTAAGTGCCAAATGAACAGGATAAATTTAAGTACTGTAATTTCAAAGAACGAGTCATTAGCAAAGGCTAAAAATGGTCAAGGAAGGCTTCCTGGAAAAAGTGAGCTTGGAGCTGGGCATTGACAGATGAGTCACACTGTGCCTCATGATGCAGTGTGCAGAACTGGTCCAGCCAGGGTCAAGTGGATGGCTCTCAGGCCAGTCCACACCCTCCTCTGGGGGAACTAGGGCAAGTCTGCTGGCTGCCTCAGTCCTTCCCTGTGAATGCAGCCCATTATTCCTGAATCACATCCTTGTCTGCCATTGGTGATTTTGGGTGCTTCGTGGGCTTTGGGTCAAGGCAGGGGGTTCTTAAGTGGGGAGGGCAGGAAAGGGAGTTTAGGATCACGTTTGTTGTGGGGAAGTATCTGAATGATTCATTTGCTGTGCGTGTCTGAATCTTTCTTTGGAGATGAGTTGATGAGGGCAAGCTTTGGCTGTGGATTTCTCTCTGGTGATGTGATTTGATTTGATGGATAATTATGGAAGAGAAGGAAAAGGAGATTCAGGATTCAGACACAGAAAAACCTGACAAACGATTCACAAACACTTTTCTCCACCCACAGAAACCCAAATACTTAGACTGTGCCTTGTGGCAGGGGCAGTAGGGTGGCTGGAGAGAGCTGTCACATGCACTCACTTGCCCAGCTCCATGGATTGTTTACTTGGCAGCCATAGCTGTCGATAGTTGGTTATACGAATGGGGTGTGTTTGGCCAGGATCCCGTAGTCTCACTTAGGCCTTTCATAATAGTCATGACAGGTTCTCTGTGGTCAGGGAGGCTGGGATAGAGGTGGGGGAGCTGGAAAAGGATGGGCCACCTCTGTCCTGTCCATAGGGTGACAGCCACAGTTCTCCATAGGAACCAAACCTGCAGGTGTGTCAGTTAACCATGAACCCTAAGCAGGAAAATAATATCGCCTTTTTTAGACCTCCGCAATTTGTGTCTCTGCATAAGACAATGAGTTTTATTGCAAAGGCCTAGTTACAAAAAAGCGTGTCCTGTGTGACGATGACTGTGACTGTCCCAAGCTGTTCTGCTTCGGTAGGACAGTCCAAACCAGAACCAGGACCAGGCTTGCTTGACAAATCCTCTCTAAAGGAACAGGTGGTAGGAAACTTCTGACCCTCAGCGATTGGACTCAAAACATTCTCTGGAAGTGCCTTAGACATTACCCTGGTTTTACAAATGAGAAAACTACCACTCTGTCCATGGACTGATTTGTTTGAGGTTACCAAACTCTTCTTGCCTGTCTCTTTCTCTCTTTACATGCTGTTAATTTGTTGTGGACTGCCAGATTTACATCTCTTCCCCTGACCTGTTGCTATTCTAGACTTGTATGTTTCAAAAGCATCTCAAGCTTGCCATGTGCAAAATGGAATCCAGCTCTTTCTCCAAGCCTGGCCACTCCCAGCCCTTCCAGTCCCAGTGGATGGTGTCAAGTCCACCTAGGGTGCTGACCCCACAAGTTGAGCCTGAGAATGTCTTGGATTTCTTTTTATCCCTCTACCATCGAAATCATCAACTTTTTTGGCCCTCTCTGCCTCTGGTTTGTTTGTTTGTTTGTTTATTTATTTATTTATTTATTTATTTATTTATTTATGTTTTAGAGATTGGGTCTCATTCTGTCACCCAGGCTGGAATGCAGTGGCACGATCTTGGCTCACTGCAGTCTCGACCTCCTAGGCTCAAGCGATTCTCCCACCTCAGCCTCCTGAGTAGCTGGGACTACAGGCATGTGCCACCATGCCCAGCTAATTTTTGTATTTTTTATAGAGACAAGGCTTCACCGTGTTGCCCAGGCTGGTCTCGAACTCATAAGCTGAAGTGATCCACCCGCATTGGCCTCTCAAAGTGCTGGGATTACAGGCGTGAGCCACAGTGCCCAGCCTTCTGGATTTATTTTGAACCTCTCCACTTATTTCTCTTTGTCTCTGCTACCACCTCCCTGATCTAAACCACCACCATCCTTTGTGCCTCCAGTCTCTTCTCCACACAGTCTCCAGAGTGGCCTTTTAAAAACAAAGCTGAGCATGTTCCCCGTCTCAACACCCGTTTATAGACCATCTTTATATGAACAGAACTCAGGCTTTGTGCTGGCGTCCACAGGCTGTGTGTGGTCCCTGTCTCTCTCCTGCAACCCTGTCCATCTTCCCTCTTGCCCATGGCACACTGGCCATATCAGCATCATTTCAGTGTCCTTTGAATGATAAATATTTGTTGCCACAGAGCTTTCAAACATAGTTTTCCACCTGAAAACTTCTTTTTATCCATTAGTTTGTAGCTTAGATGTCGCCTCTGTTAGGCCTTCATGGATTCCTCCATCTAAAAAGTCCTCCCATATTTTTCTCTATCATTATGGCCAGCTTGTTTTCTTGACAGCATCATTTATGATTGTTTATTAATTGATCTGGTTATTCTCTGTGCCAACTGCTGGCAGGAAAGGGCTGACATTTGTTTTGCACCCCCGTAGGAGCGTCCTTTTATTCCCAGCTGGCTTCCTATTACTGTACCTTCCCCTCACTCCTCCACACTTGTCTCCTTGCTGTTCCTCAGCCGTGCCAGGCTTGCTGTGCCCTGGGGCCTTTGTACTTGCTCGGCCTTCTTTTAAGAACTTTTTTTAAATACTGGTATCTATGTGGCTGACTCTCATTTTCTTTAGATCTTTACTCAGAGTCACCTTTTCAGTGACGCTAGCTCTGGTCCCAGTGTCTAAAACTGCACCTGCCCCTGACACTCCATACTGAACTTCTTGGCTTTATTTTTCTCCTTTGTGCTTCTCCCTATCCACCATATGGCACATTTTACTTATGCCATTTATTGTCTGTCTCCCCAGCTAGAATGACATCTCCATGAGGGCAAGGAGTTTCTTCTGTTCTTTCACTGTTGTATGTCCAGTATCTCGAATAGCTCTGGGCACACAGGCACTCTATACATGGTTGAATGAATGAATGAATGAATGATTTCATGAACAAAGTGTGTCCAGTCACTGGCACATAGTGGGCTCTCCTTATCCTTTTTATTGTGGTGAGATACAGTGTATCATTTTAACAAATTTTAAGAGCACAGTTCAATGACATTACATTTGTATTGTTGTGTAACCATCACCACTGTCTGCTCCCTACACTTTTCTGAAATGAAGGAGTCGAGGAATAAGCAAGTAATTGAGTGAGGGACTCTTGGCAAAGCAGTTGTACAGTGTCGATCTCTTGACTTGGAGGCCCAGGGGGTCCTTTCCATTGCACTGTGCTCTGGAGGAGGAAGGGCAAGAAGATGAGTCTGAGCCCCATCTCAGGGTGCTCGATGCATGCAGCAAGGAAGCTCAGTGTTTCCACACGTTTCAGGTTGCCTCTGTTCTAAATGACGAGGGTGCTGCCCTGTCTCCCCTTCCTTCTGCCGTGCACACACCTGCTCACACAGGCACCATGTGTACACATCCCTTCCTCTGCACTGGAGGAAGCACCTTTGCAATATTTCCAGCTCATGGGATGGTGTGAAAGGGATATGCTCATTCTCCTTTGAACCCTTCTCACCGGATCTCCATCATGAGGGGACTCTCTCTGCCTCCCTTGGTGTTCTCATCAGCACCTCGTCAGGTGAGTATTCCATTGATGGCAGGGAAGTGTTTATTTTTAATTCTAAAGTAAATCAGATTACATAGAACACAAAATGTTGTGTTGGATCAAAACCATTGACTATGAAATTCTCCCAGATGGATGAAAGGCGGGGGCTTGTTTTCAGCCCTTAACCACTTCTTCTCACAAGCTGGTTAAATTCTACGAGAAGTCCATCCTTGCGAGCACTTCGCCATCACAGGCCCTTCCCTTGGGGAGCTGTGGCATCTCCCCCACCCCCAGCACACTCACACCCCCCAGCAGACGGGAACATTCTCATGCTCACTGTCACTCACGTGTGTGCTGTCCCACGTGTTCTCACTCATATGCACTAATTACACACACACACCCAACCTGCAGGTTTGCTTTTGACACGCCAGGAATTACATGGGAGCAGCCAGAGAGCCCAAAGTAAGCCTTGAGATGACTTTAACCCCTGTGAAGCCCACAGGGTAAGACCCCTGCTCAGACCAACGTGACAGGCTCCTGCTCATCACGTGAGTTGCCCTGGATTCCTCGATGACGTTGCAATGGTGTCTTCTCAACAAAACCTCATTGAGGTCTTGAGACAGGGGCGCAGGCCAGGCACATCTAAGTGTTCGAGGTCTTCTTTGTTGAATTCCACAGCATTATGTGTGCCTCCAGGATGTGCCTGGCACATGGTTGGCCTGGGGTGTTTGGAGAGGACTGGGTGTAGGCCGGACCCTAGAGGAGCTTATAGGACAGTGCTGGCGGCAGAGGTGCCCATACCTGCGTCCTGCATGATGTTGCGAGCGTGATACCCGATCTGTGCACAGGAAGCTGCGGGAGCTTGGAGGAAAAGAGAACCTTGCTCTGTGGGATGAGAATGCAGGTCAAGGTCAGGGGAGAGTTCAGAGAGGCACTTGCCAACCTGAAGGTGTGGAGATGCTGCCGTGCATGGGCAGGAAGGGGAGTGGTGGGGCAGAGAAGTCAGGGTGTGGGGTGGGGGCATGGTTCCAGGAAGCTTCCTATTTTGTCTTGTCAGCAGTAGATAGGAACTGGATTGAATCGGGATTATGCTCACTTCTATTGTTAGCTCTGATCATTTGTTGTTTGACTTCCTGCTTTCCCACTAGAGATACGAGTACATGGCAAGAGATTTCTGAATTCCCACACCACAGGTGTGGCCATGGTGCACAACATTGCAAGGTCCAGGGTCAGTCGTCATTTTGCTGGTAAGGAAGGCATAAACTAACAGCCCAGTAGACAAATAGCAGTGTCCCTTCATGCGGTTGTTACTTTGTGAGAGTAAAGACATACACCAATTGGTTTAATGTATTCGGGTAGATTTTCTACTAGTCGTGTCCGTTTAAAAAAATCACCAGTCAGTTCTCTTTATCGGAAAAGGTATTAGACACCTGTAGTTGAGCATGTGCTGAGATCTGGTGTTTTGTTAATTGCAGTATTTGATGATACTGGCAAAAGTCACTAAGAGAATCCTCAAAACATCTTGTTAGAAATGGGAAGAATATTCCTTGACTGGCAAATTTTTTTTCTGTTCTTAAAATTAAGCTTATAAATGGCTGGAAAAATTAGTTATTTTTTCCAGGCTTTAGTTGGGAAGAGATTTTTGTGTCTGGTGGGAACGTTCCCTCTCTCCGTTGATGCTTGAGAAAGCTACAAGACGCTGATGGTGTTGGTGGCAGCTTTGCCTTATCGGCTGTCCTGGATGTCTTGGCCTCAGATAAGACACTTAACCCACAGTGGGAGCATGCTGCTGCTTTTCAACTGGGAAACGTTACCGTCTGTTTCCATCACAGTGGCCCATGACGAAGTTGAAAGATGCCTCTGACATTTGTTATATTATAAAAATGCCAAGAATCTCCTAAAGTTTGACTCATAGGTCAGTTTGCTTTCTTAAAACAAAATGGCAACCAATGAAAGTTTTCTGGTGAGTGTTATCCTCCGAAATTTTAAGTGGATTTAAATAAAGTTCAGTCCGTGGATGAGAGGATTCTCAGTGAAATTTTCAGTGTGCAGAATTACTCGAGGCCATTGAGCAGAGTCATTGCTTTCTGTAATGTTTTCCCATAAGAACACAAGAATCTCCATCCTCCATCAGACTAATAGTTTTTCCAGTCCAGCATTTTGCCACTGAGAATGGAATTAAGGGAGTTGCTGTGGGAAGACCCCATAACCCTTCCAGCCATCACCTCAAAAACGTAGGAGTGTGCTTTAAATATGTGTAACTCCCCTTAATAAGCTATTATGGAGCCCTTATTCATATGATTCTTGAATTTGTCTAAATTGCATTTGCAGCAGTTTTTATTTTGGGCTGTTACCATCTGGTGGAACGTGGCGGGCAGTCTGAACAGCAGCCAGTCAGGATTTACCCCATATCCCCACCAAAGGATCTCATTCCTTTATCCATTCAATTTTCATGCTGATTCATTTGATTCACTAAGTAGAATTGATAAATGCCTACATTGTTCACCTATGTGTTGATTTTTGGCTCTTTGTAAGGGCATTGCTTTAAATCATGTTACCAGTCAGTTCTTATTCTTCCTCTTAATATGTAAGAAGTGCAGCTTCTTCATATTGGTTCCAAAGGCACAACTCACCATATTTTCTCTTTCATTTTCTACAGGGGCAATCGGAGCTGTAGAGCCTCTGGTTGGTAACACCCATTGTAGAATAGTGGGGTGTGGGCCTCAGAGAGACTGAGATTATCGCTGGCCCCATTGTTTACTGGCCATGTGGTCTGGAGTGCTTTGCTGCATCTCCCTGGGCTTGGCTTCCTCATCTGCGAGGTGGGGGTAATAGGTGGCTTCTCATAAAATTGGACTCACTCAGACTCCCTCAGTTGCAAGTGATAGCCCAATTTCAGTGGACTTCTGTGAAAGGTGCAGCTGACCTCAGGTGGTGCTCGATTCCAGGGGGTGCTGGGGAGGAGCTGTCTCTTTCTTCATCTCTCAGCAGGGGTTGTCTCTGTTTGGCTTTCTCCTAGGATGTGGTGGCGAAATAGCCACTGGCAGCCCTGGATTTATATCTTACCAGTGTGGCAACCCAGCCAAAAGAGACAGCATTTTTCTAATAGAAAAATTAGAGAAATCCCATGGAGGTATCTAAGTGCTTGGCATGGGGCACAGTCTGTTCTTTCCTGTTGCGGCCAAGGGAGGAGAGTTTTCTGGCCCTGCAGTGGCCAGAAGATGGAGTCACTTTTACCCAAACCACATGGGGAAAGGATTCCCCACAGAAACGGAGGTTCTCACCAGGGGAAGTGGAGGGAGGCATTTACAACAGTGTGAGATTACAACAGTGGCCGCCCTGGAGATGTGAGGGCTGTGAGGCAATGCAGGCAGAGCTCCTCAGGCAGAATTCTGTCATGCAGAATTCCCAGTAGATGGAATCCAGCCTCTTTTTTCCTTCCCTTTACTGCTTAAGGAATGCAGCTTCTTTAGATTGCTTCTAAAGGCACTTCCTTCAAACATTAAGTTGATTCTACCTTTAATACTTTTATAAACTTTTAATTCTATGTCCTCTCAACCTGGATGTGTTTTGGAAAGATTTATTTTAAGAGGGGGGTTGGTATGGCAGGGGGAAATTTCACTTAATCTGCTTTTTGTCATTCAGTCAAAAATTACGTATGGAGCCTCTGCTGCATACAGAACACCCCAAAGTCTGTGGGGGATGGAAAGGAACCATGAGAAGCCCCTTTCCTGGGGTGTCTGTGGCCCGTTGGAATGTGTGGTGGGTCAAGTGTGTAGATTCTGTGGTATAAGGTGGAATATGGGCAAGTGCTGTTAGGGAGGTGGGAAGCTGGAGGGAGCCCAGAGTGGAGCAGAGCCCCATCCAGCTGGGACAATACAGGAGGACTAGATGGAGGGGGTGGTATCTGAGCCAGGCCTGAGGAGGGGTGTGGTTTTATAGGCATAGCTGTTGGGGGCAGAGTGGGGTGGAAGGAGGAGTGGCCCAGCAGAGGTGAGGGAGAGGGAGCTGACAGCTTCATTCTTGATGCTCACTTTATGCCAGGCTCTGGGCATTTGGACAAGTAACAGTTCATTGCTCTATTCAAGGAAGAACCCCATCAAGTCATGGGTGCCCAGCCGAAAGTCTTTAAGGGGTCGAGTGAGGGCGTGGAGGAGGCAGCCTTCATCTTTCCTGAAAGGCACAGAGATGGGATGGTGAGGATGAATCTGTGAAATGATGATGATTCCTGGGTTTCTGGAGGCGGAGGTCTACAAGGAGGGTGGTGCAATGGAGCCAGGTGGTGGAAGACCTTGAATGCCAGAGTAAGGAGTTTGGTGGAGATTGTTGAGGCACTAGTTCTTCAGGGAAGGCCTCATGGGTGTGTGTTCTGTGCAGTTGCCCAGGGCCCCATGCTCAGCTTAATGCTATGGTATTGTCTTCTTGAAATTCTTAATACTTTTGAAACAAGGGGTCCTGCATTTTCATTTTGCACTGGACTTGCAAATCAAAGCATGCTTGGGGGATGATGTACTTTAGAACAGAGCTGTGCTTTAGAGAAGAGGTTGGGCCATAGTTGGGAGGCTGTTTGCATCCTTTTGAGGAAGGGGGAGTAAAGGGCCCAGACGAGGATGGGTATGCTGGGGATGGAGGGAATTCCTCTGACAGCCTGTGGCCAGGCCCGAGCAGCAGGCGGAGGAGGAGCCGCCATCAGCTCTTGACTGGGGGACATTCTTGGAGCTGTCCTCTAAGTCAGGCCTGCAGGTGACTTCCAGGGATAGCGTTGGTGTTCCAAACGGCAATTGAGAAGACTGTCTTAATATTTTTACTCTCAACAGTAAGCTAAAGCTGACATTGGCAGTCTCATTCAACGAATGTGAAATAACCAGAAAAGACATTCCAAGGCGTTCTGGAATCAAACAGATGGACGGAGCAAACATGTTAAAAACAGTAAATCACAACTTGAACTTCAGCTAATCATAATTGCATTTCTCTTTCCTTATTTAATTTTGAAACATCTTCCTAAGTAGTTTTTTATTTTGGTTGCTTTTACTTAAGAGACCTTGTTATTATAGGGCACCCCAGTTAAAGATGCCTCATATATGACATCTGAACCAAAAAACCTTATCATTTAGGACATGATATCCTTTCTGAGGTTTGAGAAGTGGCTATTTTGTCTCTTACAAAGATTTGTAGGGAATTTACTGAGGGAATTGTTGAGGGACTAGTGAGCAATTCTTGTTCACATAGAAATGAACAAAACTGCATTTACCCAGTGATTTTCAAAAACATACTCCCAGTAAATCAAGGTTGCTCTGAACTGAACTTAGGGTCTCAACCAGCTGCAGACCAGTTACATCTTAGCAAGCAGGGCTTTGAGTGGTGCAGTGGGCAGAGTGTGTGGCTCTGACCTATCAGGTGTGATCCCCTCCTACTGTGCACTGTTTCCTGTCTGGCACAGACACAGGCAAAGCACTTTTGCTGAAAGGACAGAAAGACTCAAGGTGAAGGCAGTGCCATGCAGGCCCCGGATGCTGTGCTGAGTGTCTTGGAACTGAGGAAGCCGCTGATGGCCAGTGGGGCCAGGGCAGGGCTTGCGAAAAGATTCAAGGCTTCATTCCAGTCACATGGACAGACTGGTACTGCTTTTCACATTCTTATCAAAAAGGGCTGCAGGCAGGTACAAAGACCACTGCAGCCTTTCCTGTCCTCATGGCATTGCCCTACAACTGGCCACCTAAAATGACCTTCTCTGCTCCTGCATCCTTTTAGGAATGGGTAACTTGGTACCATTCAGATGTGCCATGCTGAAAAAATGAGAGTGCTTTCTTTTGAGGGAGTTGTGGAGGAATACATGATGTCCTATATGGGAGGCCCATAAGGTTAGTGAGGTAAAAAAAAGAATCAAGAGTTTTTCTTGCTCTGCTCATTCACCCATAGTGATGGAGAGATTTGATTTCATCTGGATGCTCGTGTTCCACTGACAGTGAGTACTGCTCAGCCAGTGCTCGCCGCCAGGTAGTTAGGTGTGTCTTTTACAATGTTTAGCACAGCGAATAGAGAAAGTGCCTGGCAGATGCTTGGCCATCTCCTCTGCATCTCCCATCGTACCAAGTATCTTGCCTTGTGCACAGTAGGTGCTTGTCTGTGGGGCAAATAGATACATTTGCAGTTGAAGTAATCCTGTTTCTCTGCCTGAAGTAAGAGACATTCACCATCTGTAGAGTGGGAATTGTGACTTCCTCTAGATGCAGGGACAGTTTTGTAATAAAGCATCCTCATAACCTCACTTGGCCCTTTTTGGCACAAAGACCTGTGAAGGCGGAGACCATGACCTATTTTGCTCAGCATTTATTTCCCAGTGCAAATACTCAGTATTTGTTGAATGAATAAACAAATGGGATACACCTGTCTTTCTTAAATTGCAGAAGTTCATTGCTTAAAGTAGCCATGTATGTCTTCATCAAAGTTTCTTCAGTTCTCAAAATCTTCTCATATATGTCTGTGCATACACACACTCACTCAACCCAGCAGTTGGCATACAATGGCCATTTGGTATTTGTTTTGCAAAAGAAGTTAGTAAGTGGCAGTAGGTAAAGAAAAGGGCACTGACTGGGAGGTGAAAGATCTGGACCCAAGTCCAGGTTTGGCCACCTAAGCAATCTGGAGACCTTGTTAAGGGGCTGGGTATCCTGTCTCGCCCAGTCAGAATCTTGCTGTCTAAATGGGGCTAATCACTGCATATCTTGAAGGTGGTTTATCCAGCTCACAAGAAAGAATTGATGTGCAGCGCTTGTCAAAGTTAAGCCTTGTACATGTGTGAGGACTTTGTTCTTGTCACCGATATATGCTCGGATCCCCATGTTTGATGTGTGGCTAATGTGTATGCACCTTCTCCCTAGTCCACCCTGAGAGCTGAGGGTGTCATTTTACCTAAATAAAGAAATACATTGTTAATGTAGAAAATTTAGAATTCACAGAAAATTGTAAGTAACAACAATTACCTGCAGACTGTAGCCCAGAGATAACCACTGTTAATCTTGTGGGATGTTTCTTTTTGTACCTCTCCTAGGCAGGTACATTCACATCACACACACACAAAGACACGGTATTACTTCAGTCACATAACCATTATTTTTGTATCAAATTTACCCAAGTAGATAACCCATTCCAGGAAAAGAAAGAGACTTAACTTTGTTGTTCTGTTACTTTCTCAGGGCCTAGTGCACTATGAGACCGAGCAGGTATTTGTTAAATACTTAATGGCTTTCTGGAACATCAGGGCTGACAAGATTCTGAGTTATAATCTAATGTTCTCAGCTGAAGTGCAGGAGAATGAAGGCCTATGGAGAGAAGCAGGCCCAGGGTCCTAGGGCTGGATGTAGCTGAGCTAGAACTCAGAAATGTGCTGTTGTCTTGCCCACGTCTACTCTCTACTAATAAGTTAAGAGGCACATGCAAGAAGGCCCATCTGGTTGGTGCTTCTAGCAGAGAAGCTGATTCATGCTTAATTTTGACCACATCTCTAGGTTTGTGGTTACTGCTCAGAATCAGGATAGCATCTGGGTATCTCGAAGCTGCTGTCTCCAGTGGAGGCTTTGGACTGATCTCACAAAGTTATGCTGATTTCTACATCAGCCTACATCTGGGGTCCTTCTCCTGGTTATCATTGTTTGTACTGTATGCACAGATCCCACGCCCTTACTTAATAATCCAGCCTTGGTGGAAGTATATTCTCCTGTGTTTTTGTTGGAATATACCAACCCTGTATTGCCCTGCCCTGCCTTTCGAGCATCGTGAAAAGAAGTCCTTCTTTCTCTTGGTGGTTCTTGCCTCATGCTCTCACCCTCCCTTTTTGTGGTGTCTTACTGAGCCAGTTGTTCATTCCCCAGCAAACATTTCATGTTTACAGTCCTCAACTAGGCTATACTGTGGAAGATTCAGCAGATGTGCAAGCCCAGCCTTTCAGGATCTGAGTCGAGAGAGAGAGGGGACATTATATAGAGAAATTATAGCTCAGTTTATAAAGTGGCCAGTGACCCAGGAGAGCGGCAGAGCACAGGCTGTGGATCCTGGGTGGCAGGAGGCCTTTGTCATGGTTATTGGGGGTATAGGGAGCTGGGCAGGCAGGGATTTGAAAAGAGGGGCATTAGAGCTTGACTTGGAAAGGGGGACTGGGATGTGAACATTTGGAGATTGCAGGAGAAAGCATTCCTGGCAGAGCAACAAGTAGTAGATGAGAAGGGTCACAGGTGGATCCCTAGGTGGGGGTAGCTAAGGATTCTCAGGATCTGGTTGCTCAATAGCAGCAAGTTGAGTTCTGCACCTCTGCAGGCCATGACCTGGGAAAACATCACCTCCCAAGCCCCCCACTGCCTTTACTTGTCCAATGCTATTGGTGCAAGTAGCCTGGCAAGTTGATACAACCAGTTTTCCTTTGGGACAAGGGACTTGGTGAGGGGATCTGTGGACTCCTAAGAGCCTTCCAGTGGATTCCAGGTGATTTGGGAACTTCCTAAAATTGCACAGATGATTTTGTGTACATGTGCACCTTTCCCCCACAACTTTCAAAGATCTCTGTTACCCTTGAAAGTGTAGGAGGAAGAGGGTCGGCATGTGGATTAATTTTAAAACCATATTTAAAAAACTCTCAAATCATGTGAAGTTTGTAGTGGAAAGCTCCATTCAGTTTGAAAGCCTTCACCATTCTCAGGCACAGCTCACTGATCTCCTTAGTCTGTGCACCCCTGATGGGCAAGATTATGTCTCATCCCTGCCCAGAACTTGGCCTCAGAATCTTATTTGTGATGTTTGTTCAGGGAATAAAATAGCTTTGATGTGGATATAAATTTGCATGTGTGCTGACTTGCAATAGAGTGGATTTTTTTTTTAATTGCTACCTCTAGGATCCTAAGGCTGACTTTATGTGGAGGAGACATTTCCAATGTCCGTCTTCCTGCCTGGTCCCTACCTGACCCTCCTTATTAAGCACAGGGATAAGCCTTGGCATGTCCTGCCAGCAAGCTGAGGGCTGGGGCTGTCTGGCCTGTACTTGCCAAATGTAGTCTGAGCTGTCTTCTCTCTAAAGGACTCTTCAGCCCCATGACCCCCAAGTATAGAGCCAGACCCAAATGTGCCTCTTCACATGTTCCAAGGTGGGCATGCTTGGGAACCTCATCCAGCCCCTCCTTGACCTGAGGGGTCTGCAGCAGCAGCCCATGCTCATCTTAGGCAGTATAAGGACTCCTGTGGCTGCAGAACCACGAGGTGGGACTCTCCTCAGGGGCTGCTTCTTGGTGAATCTGCACTCTATTTATAATCAAAAGCTCTGCCAGATGGACGTGAGGTGCCCAGCAGAGGGTAGGAACACTGGCAGCTGCCTTGGCATTTTGTTAAGTAGGTATGCAAGTTGCTGGCCCATCAGAGAGCTGTAAGGTGCTGGAATGACAGAGCCATTTGTTTTCCCTTGTGACATGGTCTGTTTTATAACGTGGTGGGTGAGATCAAGGGAGAAGAGTGGGCCCCTTCATAGTTTTTCAAAGTCCTTTTTTCCTTTTTTAGAAAAGTTCAAAGAGGACATTGACTTTCTACAGTCACAAGCATCAGCCTGTCTTGGAGAGACAGCAGCTGTGGCATGTAGTATTTTAAGGTGATGAGCCAAGTCAGACAAGTCCTGATATAGGTGGGGTCTGGACATCCTGAGTGATCATTCTCATCTACCACTCCTCTATCTGGGCCATTCTCATTCATTCAGTAGCTCATGGATTGTCTCTCTATCTGGGCCGTTCTCTTTCATTCAGTAGCTCATGGATTGTCTGTCTATCTGGGCCATTCTCATTCATTCAGTAGCTGATGGATTGTCTAATATGTGCTGAGGAGAGAGGGAATAGATGCACATGGATCCTACCCTCAGCAAGCTTTCTGAACAGGAGGCAGTGGACACAAACAGCTGTAATTAGCACAAGGTAGCATGAAGCATTGTAAGAAACTTGGAGATGTGCGCTGGCATGGGGCTGGGGTCAGAGGTGGTTGGATTGATGTTCCTGATTCCTCCCTTCTGGGATGCTCGTGTTTTATTTATTTTATCTAAAACCTGCAGAACCTTTACCACTTGTTTCTACCTTTAACATCTTATTGCATTTATAGCCTCTCTGTTCATCTGTCTGTCCATCCATCCCTCCATCCATTCACCATCTAACATTTACCATCCTAAGACAGGATGCAGAAGGAAGGAAGACTCAGTGCCTGCTCTCAGGGAGCTCACCTTTGATTGCTTCCTTATGGTCCCATTTGTGTTGGGGGTTTTGTTCCCCAGCTTAACTGTAAGTTCCTTGAAGGTCAAAGACTGTCTTCTTCAGTGTTCTTGGAAGTTGAAAAATCTGTTTGGTCAGTGGATTGCTGCAGCTGTCGTCTTGGGTGTATGTGCTTAACAAAAGGCTTAAGAGTGTGTGTCTGCAGGGCACACCAGCCTTGCTGTTTGCAGTGCTGCACAGATGACTCTATTAGAGTCTTTTGGTTCTGATTTGGAAATCTAGAGTGGTGGGAGGGTGGGAAGGGAGGTGGGGAAAAATACAATGTCTCAATAGACCAAGTTCCCAAAAGTGTATCTGCACTTGAGGCTTTCCTGAAGAATGAAAAGCTTAATTCGTGCCTTTTCTTTATGCTACTTGTTCTTTTGTCTTTTTTTTTTTTTTTAAGGAAAAGATGTGTCAATTTCAGTTGCCTAATTCATTTTTAATATGGGTCAGAGCTGCCATATTCACACGCTTTGTCTCATCACACCTAGGCTTCTGTTGAAATGCTTGCTTCACAAATGAAGTTTAATTAATAGAAATAGGGAAGTGAACACAGGGCTGATGAATCTGGGGAGACATGACTTGGTGCCTGCCCAGAGAGGTCCCTGGGTCAGATTCCTCCCGAGCCTGTTGTCAGAGGCAGATTCTTACTTAGGGAGCCAGGATACTGGGAGTCAGGCTGGGGCATTCATCAACAATGCATAGCATAGATTTGCTTCTTAGCAGATGTGGCTGGCCTATTTACAGTTAGAAGAATTGTCATTGTTTTAGAAAACTTTTTTTGACCAAAAAATAAAATAACCACCAACAAAAAACCCAGACTCTTGAGTTGAGGCCAGGTTTGAATCTCAAAGCAGGTTGACCTATTTTCATTACAGCATTATCAAAACTTGTGATTCTACCTCCCTAACATGCTTTTCCTGGTGTCACATGAATTGAACACCTGATTCAAGCAGGAGAGAGAGAGTGAAGACCTTGTCCTTGTCTGGGGCGGCCCTGTTTCCCACTGTGCTGTGGTCTGAACCTCTTTGAGTAATGCCTCCCAGAGCTCACCTGCTAATGACTGTGCTCCACCTGGGGAGGGGCTATTGGGAGGGGCTGGTCCACGCAGACAGGGCTGTACCTTTCACGAAGTGCTTTCACATCCCCTGTTTGACCTTGACAACTTCCCAGTAAGGGAGGCAGTGCCTGCAGTGTTATCCTTGGTCCACAGGGGAGGAAACTGAAGCTCACACAGGCAGGCAGGGGGAAGGCCTGGGAGAGAACTTTCAACACTGGCATACCACGGGGATTTGTGAGAGCACCTGCCTGGAGTCCCTGCCTCCGAGAACTTCGACTTCTTTCCAGATCTTCTGCTCTCTTATTTGATTTAAGTAGATCCAAATATGGTTCAGGAACAAAGCAGGCCCCAAACTGTGTATAGGATATGTGGGTAATGGGCCAGAAAGCTCACTCCTCTGGAAAATGTTGGAAAGTGACCTCTCCTGAGCATCCCAGTGACATGGCTGGATGCCCTGTTGAGATATGAGAGAAGGGGCTGGGGGACAAACCCATGGCAAGGGCACTAGCTGAAGGAATTCATGCAGAGGAGAGGAGAGGGCTTTTCCACTGACGTTTCCTTGCCTCTATTCTGTGTGTGTGTGTGTGTGTGTGTGTGTGTGTGTGTGTGTGTGTGCATTCCTCCTTGGAAGATGAGAGCTTCTGGTCTCAAGGGGCCATGCCCTGTTTCTCAGCAGCCTCCTCATCTACTCTCTTGGTTTTCCTCATTCTCTTCGAGGTAACAAGTCCTCACCTATTTTTTTTTTTGTGGCACCCTACAGTGTCTGCAGTGATAAGAGCAGGTATCTTTAAAAAATCAAAGCCAAATTAATCTACTTTGGTTTTTTAAAGTCCCCATGGTCCACAAAAATATTTACAGGGACTGGAGATTATCTGCTAGTATTCTAAAACTAACAGTAACAACGATTCTTTACATTTTTATAGAGAGCTTCAAACATTTTAGACTATCTTTACTTCTGTTTTCCTGTTATTCCTAGTACCTCTCCAGATTAGACAAGATGATATTAAATATTTCCATCTTACAGATGAGCAAATTCAGACTTAGAGACGATAAGGTACTAGCCCCCTGGAAAACAACTGCACTGAACCTAGGTCCTTTATTTCTGAACAAGACAGGCATCGTGTTGAACTTCATGAAGAAGATAATCTAATAATTGAAAATACATCAAATACAAGGACAAATAAGAGACGCTGGGGGGGTAATGTGGGAGAAACCTAACCTTGTCTGAGGGTAAAGGCAGTGTGTAGGTGAGACATGGATGCTGAGTTGGCCTTTGCTGGGTGAAGAGAGTCAGGAAGATTGTCCAGGGCGTGATGTGTTCCTGGAACCGTGGGGCCCCATCTCAGTGGGCCTTGCAAGCCAGGATGAGTGCTTTGGTTTGTTTTTAAAGCTGTGAGAAGCCACTAAAGGGTTTTAAGCAGAGGACTGATGTGGGTTTTAGAAAGACTGCTGTGGCTATTAGGCAGAAACATGTGGGGAGGGGCAAGAACAAAACTGGAGAGCCAGAGCAGGCAGCTGTTAGAGTTATTCAGGGAAATGTTCGTGCTGTAGACTCTGGGGTGACTGAAGTGGGAAGATTCGAGAACTATTGGGGTGTAGAAGGGACAGCAGCTAGGGATTATTTGGTTGTGGTAGAGGACAACAGGTAATAGAGACTCAGGATTTTGGCCTGGATGTAATGGGGCCATTTTCTGAGTTAGGTAACTTTTTACATTACAGGGTCTTCTCTGGGACCTGCGGGGGCCTGTTTTGGGCAGGAGGGCAGGAGCATGGACTCATTTTGGGACATGCTGAGTTTGAAATGCTTTTAAAGTATGTTATGTGGAAACTTCAGGCAGGAATGGGGACAGGTGGTTCTGGAGCTCCAAAGAGAGAAGTGGGCTGGAGGTGCAAATTCCAGATTCATTGCCACAAAGTGAATAACTGGAATAGTGGACAGGAATTAGACCACCAAATTCTGTGATTCTTTCGTCTTTCCCGTACTTCTTGAGGGGATTTATAAACTCAAGCTCAAAATAGGAACCTGAGCTTTAAGAGAGATATAGCCACGTTTGGAGTTGGTTTAACAAAGGCTGTTCTGCGGGTCCCAGAGAAGACCCTGTAATGTAAAAGGAGAATCTGGTAGGTAATTGGAACCAACAAATATACTTAATGTTATATCCCAGTGATGGTGATCTCAGAACTCACGGTTGGTTGTACGAATGCTGGTTCCTGGTCTCTGTAGAATTGCTTCCTTATGGCTGCACATTCCATCAAGTGGTTCTGCCCAAATTTACTCAATTAGATCTTGGTGGTGCATTTCACAATAAGAAATAATTCTGAAATACACTCATAATGGTTTCAAATTTTAGATGAATTCTTTGGATTAAGACCTAGGGGTATTTCCTTGGTTGTAGAGAACACACACTTTTATGACTCCTTGTTATGAAGGCAACAGACTGTGTAAAAGAACTCTGGAGTTGTTGGGGCAAGAGCTATGTGGTGTTTCTCCCTGAAGCCCTCAGAGGGTTGTCCTCCTCGGATTTCAAGGGACCCGCTCTGTGAGGCACACTGGAGTCTCAGGGGCAAGCTCTTTTTCACTGACTCACTCACCAGTGTTTGCTGAGTGTGTCTCATGCCTTCTTTCTTGCTTGCCCCTGGAACATGCACAGGACTCAGACCCAGCCCTGCTTGTGGCCTGGGGCTGGTAGATCTCATGCAGGTAATCACGGCTGAGGATGAGCTCTGCTTTGTGTGAGTTCTGGATGAAGTCTGGGGGAGTTTGGAGACGGGAGATGCTCCTTCTGCCTGGGGGAGTAGAGAAATGCTTCCCAGAGGTTATGGAAGGAAATTGGATTTGTGGAGGTGACTGACAGATCTGTGCCCCTTGTGTCAGTGTCTCTAGCTGCGACAGACACATGGGTCAGCAGGCGACCCTTGTTTTCCCTGAGAGCAGCAAAGGCCCTGGTGAGGATGTGTCCAGCACTACAGGACTGGCTAGCTGCTTTCTTTTTTACCTTTCAGTTTTCAAGGTATGAATTTTTAACCAGATACTTTCTAACCTTAAAGTGATTTGGTACTCCCAAGGAATCATTCTGAAAGTTAGGAAATTTATTTGTGATTCATTGAGTTGAACTATCAATAACTGTAACAGATTCCGATCTCCTTTGTGGAAAAAAAAAGTAACTGTCTTCTCAAGTACAAGAATGAGAGAAAGGGTCTTGATTACCATTTTGTCCTGTTCACCTTTTTTGGAGAACACCTTTAATTTCTTGGCCACACCGTGCTCGTCTTCATTTTGCACAGCACCACTGTTGTAACTCCTAAAACTTACGCATCACGGCAGATGTGTGATTCTTTCATTCTTTAGATCTGTAGTTTTCCCTTATACAGAAGTTAGTGTCTTCTCTTCCAATGTATTTAAACCTTTAATGAATATTTCATCAAATGAACTTCATGTCTTGTATTTCATTATTAATGTTGTTTATGAGACCCTATCCTCATTAGCATAACTTACAAACTAAGAGGAAGAATGATATTTTAGGACAGTGGTTGGTGAGAGAATAGTTGCGCATCCTTCTACACGTGTCAAATGTGGGCCTTTAGCGAGCCTGCAGGAAAAGCTGGGATGCTGAGTATGTGTCTCGCCTGGGGTGACAGATGGGGTGTTCATGTTCTGTGAGCTCTCAGCCGTCCCGAGTGTGTGGCTGTCCCTGCAGCATTTGGACGAACTCCCGCCAAGAGGAAGCCTGGGCATGGGGGTGCTGTGAGGCAGGACTGAGTGTATGAATCAAGGTCGGCCTTGTCCTAGCTGGGTGACATAAGCCAAACCCCTTGCCGACTCTTCAGGGTCATTTTGATCTTCCCGCCACCCAGATGTCCCCTGGTTCACTGATGACCCCGATAACTAATGTGTCATTTTCCTCTATGTGCTTTTCTTTTAGAGACAACGTCTCCTTCTGTTGCCCAGGCTGGAGTGCAGTGGTGCAGTCATGGCTTACTGCAGCCTTGAACTCCTGGCCTCGAGTGATCCTCCCTTCTCAACCTCCCAAAGCACTGGGATTACAGGCATGTGCCATTGTGCCTGGCCTTGTTTTGGCAAAACCATATGGATGTCCCATCTAACACTCCAGCCTCTCATTTCAAGGGCCCTTTTCCCCTTTGGCCATCCACTTCCACTTGCATACCCTGGGCCTCATGGTTTGGGTGGCTGTTTCAGCTCCTGAACCTCTAACTTAGTGTGCTCCTCACCAGCCTTGCCCTTCTCTCTGGCCTGCCTGCTCAGCATCACCCAGGGCCTGTTTTCCCTGCAGACCTGGGCTCTCCTCCTTGGCCAACTTAGATGCTAGACCTTTCACCTCACCTCCTCAAATCCCTTTGGTCCTTTTCATCACTTCTGTGCAGGACATCCCAGCCCTGGATGGATCCAGCTAGTGGTCCTGGCCCTGCCTGGCCATCCAGCCTCAGCTCATGCCACTGCCCCTGCATCCACTACTGTTCTGCTTCATGAGCTGCCTTCTGTTGCTCTAAGGAGTCAACTCCTTCCCACCTTGGAGCTTCTAGACCGTGTCCTCTCCCCAGATGGCTCCTCCCTCACTTCGTCTATTACTTTAAGCTCCACATCATCATTT
Source organism: Homo sapiens (assembly GCF_000001405.40). NCBI lineage: Eukaryota > Metazoa > Chordata > Mammalia > Primates > Hominidae > Homo > Homo sapiens. The sequence goes on from NC_000003.12 coordinate 53,590,316, forward strand.
GTTTCCTAGGGGAGCCTCCTCTGACTGCCTGGTTGAGGTCAGGCTTGTCGTCCAGCCTATACTTAGGATTGTCACTTACTGTTTGTGTGCTTATCTGTTCAACACCTGGCCCAGGGTTGTATAGGGCAGACCTAGTTTCAGACCTTCTGTTCCTTCATGCCCATGAAATGTCCCAGAAATCCTATTGCCTTGGCATCCAAATGCCATTGCCCAGACTGTCTCCTATAGTCAGAAACAGCTCAGAAAGCTTTTATCAGCATGAGTGTCCTAGTTTTTGGTTCACAAAACAACTGTGGTCATCACAGTTCTAATTCCTGTTGGTTGGTTGGAGAGTCAGTACAGAGTATTAGCTTTGGGCCAGATTCCTTGAGTTAAATCCTTGCCACTTATAACTAGGTGAGCCTGGGCGGCCGGGCACCCTCTCGTTTCCTCATGTAGAAGGTGATCATGGTGCCCACATCCTGGCATTGCCGAGAGGATCGAGTGAGCGGGCATAGGTACTTCTCTACACTGAGAAGCACTGAGCACTTGGTGAGCATCCGGAAACATCTGCTGCTGTTAGTGTGGGCTGAGCTCTGTCCGCTGTGGGCTACAGAAGGCCCTACTGCCTGTCCTGCATTTTTCTCTTATGTATGGGCTTTCAGTAAACATGTTTGGATTGAAATACACATTTGAGGAGGCACTGGACCCAGACCTTTGAGCCTGTGATTCCAAACCCTTTCCTCCTGTGCAGTTGCAGCTCACTTCCCACATCACTCAGTCCTGCCTCTAAGCGACACTACACTGTCACCTTCCTTCATCATCACTGTTGGCGCTTTCACATAAGCAAGGGCCCCATGTATTTTTCTCTTATTCTCTCTGTCTGGAATACTCTAATTCTTTCCTTGAATCCAATGTTCTGTTCACCTCCTCCTTTATATTTTTAATTTTTTGTTTTATTTATTTATTTAGTTTTGAGACAGAGTCTCACTCTGTTGCCAAGGCTGGAATGCAGTGGCATGACCTTGGCTCACTGTGACCTCCGCCTCCTGGGTTCAAGTGATTCTCCTGCTTCAGCCTCCCGAGTAGCTGGGACTACAGGCATGCACCACCACGCCCCGCTAATTTTTTGAATTTTTAGTAGAGACGGAGTTTTGCCATGTTGCCCAGGCTGGTCTTGAACTCCTGAGCTCAGGCAATTCGCCCACCTTGGTGTCCCAAAGTGCTGGGATTACAGGGGTGAGCCACCACACCCAGCCCACCTCCTCTTTTAATACCAGCTTCACAAACATCCTTCAGGATATGTCTCCGGACTCTGAGCCTGTGTGTTGCTCTCTGTCCACTCAATGCTGTGTCGATTTGCCCTAGTAATTGGCAATTATAATTCTAAGATTATAAACTACAGTATCAAAGGTAAGAGCAATGTTTCCTCTCCCAGGAACTACACAAAGCGTAGAAGAACTCAGTATTTCCTAGGCCTTCAGGAAAAGCTTGTTGACTAAAAGAAATAACCAGTTGACCTGGTTTTGGTGTCCGTTTATTTTTGCGTGGATATGAGGTGTACCCTGGGATCCTTGTTAAATCTCATGTTACTCAGCTTGTTTTGTCACCAGTGTTGGGCAAAACTGGGTGACAGGCTCTCCACCTTCTCTGCCCCTTTCTTTTCTTTCCCTGCTTTTCCAGGAACACCTTGATTCTTCTGTACGCTAGGGTGTCATTTCTCTCGTTCCTTCAGCAGTTCAATGAGAGTTCCTGAGCACTGCCTACAGTGTGACAGGTGCTCATCTGAGCGTGAGGAGCAGCAGTGAACCAAATAGGCAGGGCTCCTGTTCTGGTGGAGCTATGTTCTAGTGGGAAGAGAGGTGATAAAGGAATATGTCCACGACATAGGTGGTGCTTCGATTCTAGCAGGGAAGACTTATGTTGATTGGCCAGGAAAGACGTCTTTAATGAGGTGCCATGTAGGCAGGGATCTGAAAGAAGTGAAGGGAGCAAGCTGTGAGGATAGCCAGGGCAGAGGGGATGGGCACCCAGCCTGGCTGAGAGTGTGTGTGTGTGGGGGAAGGAGATGTTTTTAATTGGAATGGAGTAGGGGTGAAAGGAGGAGCTGGAGGCATCAGAACATAGAAGGCCTTCTAGGAACCCCCTAAAAGGGCCTTGGATGTTACTCCGAATTAGATGGAGAGCTGTTTGAAGGTTTTTGGGAGCAGGGGACATTATCTGATTTGTCTAATGTCACCTTAGGTCTCTCATGAGCTTAAGGAAATATTAACTCATTCATAGGAGGAGGGAAGTAACTTCTGTTTTAAGGAGGGACACTTGCCTAATTCCTCTTTGAGTAAGGCCTAATCTGTCAGAGTCGTGGTTGGACTGTGTTCTGAACTGTAGCATCCCAGGGCCTGACCCTAGTTCTGTTTTTTTTTTTTTAGATGGAGTTTTGCTCTTGTTGCCCAGGCTGGAGTGCAATGGCACAACCTCAGCTCACTGCAACCTCCGCCTCCTGGGTTCAAGCGATTCTCCTGCCTCAGCCTCCCAGGTGCCTGCCACCACGCCCAGCTAATTTTTTGTATTTTTAGTAGAGACGGGGTTTTGCCATGTTGGCCCGGTTGGTCTTGAACTCCTGACCTCAGGTGATCTGTCCGCCTCAGCCTCTCAAAGTGCTGGGATTACAGGTGTGAGCCACTGCGCCTGGCCAATCCTAGTTCTTTTACTCTCTTGCTTTTGCTCAGCCTGTAAGTAGGAGTAGGAAGTTTCAAAAGTTACAATAATTAACATATTCACGCCTTTTTCACGGTCTGGGGGAGCTAAAGCAGGTGCAGGATAAATGAAGGAACTGAACCAGCTAGGACCAAAATCAGTAATTTGAACCAAACTTGATAGCTACTGTTTTGAAACTGTCATTCCTACCTATAGGTAGATAAGGGCAAGAGATTATAAAATCTGATGGCCACGAATCTAATTTTATGAGACAGTGTAATGATAAAAGGAATGAGGGAGGCTGATAAATACAGATCTGTATGTCTTCCAGTTTTAGCCAGCTTGTCTTGTTTCTGAGTTTCTTGAGTTTCTTCCCTGGGAATTGTTTTAGGCCCAAATGGTAAGCAAAAGGAATATGGTGTAAGTGGAATTAAATAACTCCCCCCAGCACCTCCTACTTTCTCTCCTCAGATGTGTGAGTGGTAAATACTTTGGAAGAAATACACCCCAAGCCTGGTGTGTTCACTCTGCTCCCAAAGGTGCTTGGGCAGTTGGTGGTGATGGGAGTGTTGGTTGATTGTAGCTCTGTATATGAGGGTGTCTGAGGATTGTAAAATTATCAGGAAATCCCTCTTGGTGTTGAAGTCATGAGCAGGTGCAGGAGAGGTGAAAGGAAAGGGCAGTGGGTATTCTTCCCCCTCAAAGTGTGGGAAGAGCAGTGCTCCAAGGCCACCCAAGGAGCTGGGATTTTTTCCTTCTAAGCTGGTTTTCCCTTTCTCCCCACTCCCAACTAGCACGTGGGCAGAAGGAAGTGCTTTATCTGCCTGCTACAGGGCTGGGAAATGTGGCCCGTGTACTGCCTCAGTGCTTGGGTCACCAGCGGAGATGGCTGCAGTCCCAGCCAGCTCTGCAGGAGCTTCAGTCAGAAACGCTGATGTTAGGATGCATTCTTCAGGGAGCTGCAGCTTTTCTTAGAAGGTGGAAAAAGAGAAAGAAGTGAGTAAGGTGAAGTCTTAGAAGAAGGAACAACAGAAACCAAGTTCAGTGACAGCCCACCAGGCCTGGCAGAGTCTGACAAGGAGTCTGTGAGGTAGGGAGTGTGCACGTGTGTCCGTGTGTGTAAAGGCTAATGGAATGGGAGACGCCCTTGAACAGAAAGGCTTTCACCCATAAGTGTGAAGTCTGGTTCGTCTTAGCGACAAAAGTTAGAAAACCACTTTCAGACAATAATTGTATTATTTTACAGCATTCGAAGCAACCTGAGTTGGTCTCAAAGGTGGCTCCCTCAGGCCTTACCTGAGGATGGGGACAGAGTTGCTCAAATGCTTTGGGATTACTGAGACTAGAGTCAGGATAAGCTCGATCCCAGGTTCCTCAGGCCATGCTTTTCCACTAGCCAATTCAGTCCCTTCAGCAAGTGTTTGTCGAGCACTTACTAGATAGCAGGTACTGCTCTTGGCACTAGAGATATTTGGTGAAAAGGTCAGCCTGGAGCTTCCATTCTACTCAGGAGACAAATGAGTAAATACAGGAGGTGATTTAGAGAGCACCTGCCTCCTGTAGGAAAGAAAGGGAGGTTATGCAACAGCACCTGGTAAGGGTGGTCAGGGAAGGCCATGTGGGGCTCTGGGACAGAATTTTCCAGGCGGAAGGAAGATACAGAGGCTTCAAGGCAGAAAGAAACATCATTGTGGAGTAATGGCAGGTGGCTGATCCCACTCTCTGCATGCAGAAAAGAGCAGCAGCCTTCTTGAAGCCTTCTTACCTTTCTCACGTTAGTACAATTCCACACCCTTGTGTGTATGTGGCAGCCACTGTCATAGGCATCAGGGATCCTGCTTTTCTTCCCCTTGACCAAGATGTGAAGATTTGTGATCAGAGCATCAGAAATAAAGTCCCTTGAGACTTGCAGATTGAGGAAAAAATGACAGGAGTCACCCAGATATGAAAATCAGATCTTGAATTCGTCTATTGATCAGGCATTAGGCATGGTGGGAGTTCAGTCCGTTTCAGCTTTAATGTCCTGTTGTTTTGCTATTGATTTCTTTCCTCAGGTTTCAATTGGTATTTTTTCCATGTTGTCTATACATTGGTCATCTATTTTAGTGATGCTAATTGTTTAGCTATTAAAATGGTGCATTAGTCCCACACAACTCTTATAAACAGCTGTGTAGTAAGGAGTATAATCTTTGTATCTGTAGTCCCCCTTAGGGTTAATAATTAGGTTTTTGACAGCCAGCTCAGCCGGCTTGTTTTCACAGTGCCCTGTTTCCCACTGGAGAATGCAAGGATGCAGTCACGGGAGGACCAGGTGGACAGCATTTGGAGGATTTGGGTGGATCTAAGAATATTTTCATTTGGAAGAACAGGATGGACACCAGAGGCCAAACCAAGGAGTAGAGGAAAACATGGCACCTTTCCCCCATCCCACCCCTGGAACTTTCACCCACAGTATAGGGTTGCCTTGAAGCTCTGGATTACCATGGAGCTTTCAATGAGTAGGAGGAGACATCCATTTGTCCTCTGTCTCCAGCTGGCCCCGGGAACTATTCAACATCTGGGATTGCTTCCTGCGGTGCCCCCTGACCCAACTCACCAGAGTCTACCGACTCTAGACCCACTGTTGTCCTGGGCCCCTGCCTGACTCTTTTACCCACTCCAGGATGACCCTGGTTTCTACTGACACCTGCCTGACCTAACTCGGTTTGTCTAGAATGCAGTTGAAGTTGCAGCAAGGGAGATGAGGAAGGGTAAGAATTGGTGAAAAAAATTACAAAGGTTTTTCATGGTTCCTACCCTCGATGAGTTTACAGTCTAGTCTTCATGAGGACATGTGCTCATTTGATCATAAGGCATTTTGTGACATGTGCCTGGAGGTGATTCAGACAGATGGGCAGGGCAGGAGGGAATGCTGGGGTGTGTATAGCAAAATGTGTTATTAAATTATGGCATCTGTTGTCAACAACCGGTTTAGACCTTCTTGATCTCCTGGGGTTTCTTTTCAGTTACAGAATTCTGTCATCATTACAGAAACAAGGCTTAGCCACTTACTGCTTTAAATACCAAAAAGAGATGGCGAATAAGATTGGGATCCATGGGGCTTTGAGAACCTAGTAGCGTGTGTGCTGTATCACAGTTCTCTTCTGGCTGATACTGGAGAGGGCCATGCAATGCTGGGGACGGACAGCTGTACTAGGGAGTCTGGATTCGAATTCTGGACATCCCTAGGCTCACTGTGTGACCTTCATCCCCCCTCCCCCCACTCCCTGTACCCTTTGAGTGCCCCTGCCTTCTTACTCTGCATGTGTGTGCATGTGCATGTGTACCCATGAGTGTGAGGAAGGATAACTCCAGTGTTGGGGGAGAGTCTGCCAGGAGATAGGTGCCCTGAGTAGTGGTCTTCTCTTGGGCACTTACCGACTGTGTCATTTTGGAAAATGGCCCCCCCCAAAAGATTTCCACATCCTAATCTCTTGAACCTGTGAGTATGTTACCTTACATGGCAAAAGGGATGTTGCAGATGTGATTAACTTCAGAATCTTGAGATGGAAAGATTACTCTGGATTTAGATGGGCCTACCCAATCCTTACAAGAGGGAGGCAAGAGTTAGCCGGAGAAGGAGCTGCAGTGATGGAAGCGCAGAAGTCAAGAGTGATGTAACCACGAGCCAAGGAATGTGGGCAGCCTTAGAAGCTGGAAAAGGCAAGGAAACAGGTTCAGCCCTAGAGCCTCCAGAGGAGCACAGTCCTGCTGACATCCTAATTTTAGTTCAGCAAGACCCATTTCTGCCATCTGACCTTCAGAACTGTAAGATACTAAGTTTGTGTTGTTTTAAGCTACTAAATTATAGTAACTTGTTATAGAAGCAATGGGAAACATACATCAATTATTCCTCTGGATATTAGTTGCTTCAGCTCTAAAATGGGGACACAAAATGTTTTCTGCCTGAAGGCTGAGAACTGGACCATGTGACTTTTGGCATTCCTTCAAGTTCTAGATTTCATGAGAGAGAAAATCGACCTGAAAATGCATTAAATGTTTAAAAACATAGGGAAGAAAGAAATATACAATTATTTAATGTCTGTGTATGTCATTTAATTCTTACAACCACCTGAGAGAGATTTTATAATTATTATTTTCTTTTAGTCATTCAAGTATTTGAGTGCCTATATGTGCCAGATGGTGTTCTAGGTGTTAGAAATAAAGCAGTGAACAAGACCAATAAAAATCTCCTGTCTTTTTGAAGCTTATCTTTAGGGAGACAGATGAGAAACCATAAGCATAATTGCTAAGTGAATCATCAGCTAGGTTGGCAATTGATAGCTGGGATGGAAGAAAATTAGAGCAGGTTGATGGGAGCATGTTACTGACTAGGATTGCAGGAGCTCAGAGGGTGAGCAGTTTGCTCAAGACCACAGCACCAGGAGGTAGTGGAGTGGGGATGAAACCCAAAATCTGTTGGAATCCAGAGGCCTGGTCTGATCCTTTTCTCAGGCTAGTAGAAGGCTCTGCCTGACTTTGCCTATTTGGATTCCCCCACTTTACTGAGGGAGAGGAGTCCCCACTGCCAGCTGTTGTTAGGACAATTGCTATCATCCTGGGTTTCATATTTTTAGCTCCTTTCCCATCTCTCTAATAAGTAAATGCCAGAGGGCTAGGGCTAGGCTGATGCTGGGAATGAGACGAGGAACACAGACGGCACAGGTCGCTTCATGAGTTCCAGAGGCTTGTACAGGAGACACATGGGCCGGCCACTGTTTCCTGTCTCTCTGAGGGAGCTGCAACTCCAGCCTTTCATCTCACAACTCAAGTTGCTTTTGCTGCAGCTGAGGCCTGAATGTGCATTTGTAACTCTGGGGAAAAGGGTGTTCAGTTATCAACAATTACTATTAGGTTGGTGCAAAAGTAACTGCAGATTTTGCCACTACAAGTAACTGTAAAAACTGCAATTACTTTTGCGCCTACCTGATATTTTTATGTTGCATGGCCTTTTCCTGGCAGTTTGATGTTTATCATTTCCTGTCATTGAGGAATGTGTTTTTCTAGGACAGTATGAAGGCTTTCAGGATCTTTAGAGGGAAGCTCTAAAATGTGCTTCTCTCTCCATTAGGTTGGCTCATCAGTCAGATTCTGATTTGAAAATGAAGGGTGCTTGGCAGTAAGAATAGTGGAAGTAAATTTTCAATATTATACATTAACAAGTCATAACTAATAACTTTTATGGGTTCTTCCCATCTCAGATTTCAGAGAATATTTTTGGGTTGTGTTCTATTGATGAGGGCTTAAAGAAATGCCTTGTTCTGGCTGGGCATGGTGGCTCAGGCTTGTAATCCCAGCACTTTAGGAGGCCCAGGAGGGCAGATCACTTGAGGCCAGGAGCTTGAGACCAGCCTAACCAACATGGCACAACACCGTCTCTACTAAAAAAAAAAAAACCCAAAAATTAGTTTGGGCATGGTGGCTCATGCCTGAAATCCCAGCTACTCGGGAGGCTGAGGCAGGAGAATCGCTTGAACCCAGGAGGCAGAGGTCGTAGTGAACTGAGATTGCACCACTGCACTCCAACCTGGGCAACAGAGTGAGAATCTCATCTCCAGAAAAAAAAAAAAAAAGAAAACCAAAGCAAAGCCTTGTCCTGTTGTGCTTGGTTTGAAACTGCCATTCCCTTTAGTTTCTGCTTACTGCTACTTCTACACAAGGTCAAGAGAAAGCCTGGCTTCAGAAGAATTACATAGTCAACCCCTGGGGCTAGCTAGCTGCAGAAGAACTTGAACTTTTGGTTAATTAATGGAGGCTGGGCCATAGCTGGCAAAGCGGGATGTGCCCATGCCTGGGTGTTGAGAGACTGGGTCTTGACATGGCTCTGCAACTGTCCATGTCATCTTGGAAGATCTTTCTGAGTTGGGACAGCTGAGAAACTTCATGCCATTTGACAGTTTTCTTGAGGTCATGAGCAAATTAACCAGTCAAGGAAGTAAATAAGTAAGTTTTGGTGGAACAAGTTTGTATGTTATTGGTGTGCCTTTTTTTTTTTTAATACCATAGGTGTGTTCCTGATGAAAAGGGTGTGAATAAATGGAATTTAAAATAGTTTTCCAATGAACGGAATCTTTCACATGTTAATATATCAGGGTCTTCTGCAGTGACAGCTTTGCCTGAATTTCATTTTTCACATTAGCTTAAAAATATTTTAAAGTAAAACATGTTAATTTTGAAACATATAGGAACCAGATAAAGGCAATATGTTTTTTATAAAATGGAATCATATCCTATCATTGGACTTTTGGCTGTTTTCCTCTTTTAACCACTATAAACCATGTTGCATTGAGCATCTTGGGGTAGCAAAATCACAGATTCCTGATTATTTCTTTAGAATAAACTCTTAGCCTTGAAATTGCTGCATTGAAGCATATACAGGATTTTTTTTATATGAGTCGCAAAGTTATTTGCTTTGCTTTTGCTTTTTGAAAGAGATAAAAGCTTAGACATCTTGACATTAAAAAAAACAAAAGGGTTAATAGCCCAGACTTTAAAGTCAGACATACCTGAATTTGAGTCCTGGCTCCACCATAACAAGCTGTGAGACCCTGACAATTTACTTCCCATCTCTAAGCCTCAGTTTTCTCATTTATAAAATGGGCATAATATCCTTAAACTCACTGTGAGCATTAATTGAATGACACGATATAAGTAAAACACCATACCGTACATGAATTCTCTATATGGGAATTCTTACTAATTTGTACCTGAACCTCTCCTTATTCACTAGAAGAGTGTGAAAACTTAGTTTCCTCTCTGCTCCACCCACGGCTTTCTAGCAGTCACTGTAGGCCCAAGGAAACCCACCACCGTCTTGGTGCACTGTAACCAGGGTTGAGGTGTCTGTCCTAATTTTGAAAGCCTGCCTTCAGACATTTATATGTTCAGACAAACTAATCAGGCTGAAATTTCTCATGCTTATTTGCAGCTAGATGAAGCAATCCATTTAGTTGCTTTGGAATTACCCAAGCATGGAAGAAATTGGTTTCTCAGCCTTGAGATATTCTGCAGATACTGAAGTACAGATGGCACCAGGGCCAGCTTGGTAAAACCAGAAACAAGGGGCCTGAGTTTGGCCCTTTGTCAGGGCCTCTGTCCTTGGGAACTGGTGGTTCCACCTGGGCCCCAACATAAGCCTCAGCTTTTCATTTGGCCAGCATGTATCATGAAGTTACTTCTTATTTCACCCTTTGGGGGACTCTCAGCTGCTCAGAGCTTTTGTGTTTTCTCTTTTCAGCTTCCTCCTCAATTGATACGGATGAAGTATTTGCTGAATCTGTTTCTCTTTCCTGAATCAGAGGCCCAGAGGCATTCATATAGTTGCTTTCTGGTAAAACCTTGCTGATCTGGTATTTGGGCTGTCATTAGACTGTAGTGCAAAAAGACGAGGTGAATTTTGGGACTCCAGATTTCAGAGTGTATAATATCTCTTGTAGTTAATATTCACAACCCATGAGATAGGAACAGACAGGGAAACTGAGATACCAAAAGTAATGTGCCCAAAGACGTGCAGCTAGTAAATGGCAGAACTGGGATTTGAATTCTTGCTGACTATGGTTCCATTTCAACTATTACTCAATACCACCTTTTAATCTGCTTATTATAATGTATTTCATAACTTTCTATGCTGTGGTATTGATCATTCATTCATCAGTTACACAATTATTGCATGGAAGGATACAAAGAGAAAAAGATATGGCAATGTGGTCCTTGTTCTTAGGGAATTTTCATAAGGTATTAACAGGAGAAGCAACAAGATAACTATAGATCATAATATAAAAATACCTCCCCTCTTTGTTAGATAGCTTTAACCCCCCTGTTCGCTGAAGGACTTGGTTCTGAATGATTGAAACAGATAATCCTCCGTGATTCCCGTACATGTCCTCTGTGCCCACCTCCCACTCCAGCGGTGAGTCCATTGTGTTTTTCCTTTATTGGCAACCCTAACGTGTTGGGGCACCCTCTCTAACTCCACAGTACGTTGTAAGTTTGGTGTTAGGAGAGAAATGATCTCAGGCCTGCACAGCACACTCTTTTTCTGTTCCCTGCCTTTTAAGGTCATGCCCTCTTGTCATGAATATAAGAATGCCTGTGCCCCCTTCGGAGACCGGTGCCACTTTCAGGCTGTGTGCATGCTCACTGCCCCTCCATCCTCCTTGAGAACCATCGATGTGCACAGAGGGTTGTACTGTTTCTCTGTACATCCCATCAGCATGGCTTACTCAAGCTTTGCTTCCTGTCATATGTACTAAGGTTTTCAATGTGAAAATATGAAATTACATTCTCATACTAAATAGGCTCCTTTAATCCACACTCCTCTCTGAGAACCAATCCACTTTACCAAGATCTACCCCTCTTGGGGCTGTGCTCCCTGGTTAAGAACAGCTGGTTTAGTAGCAAGGGAGAAGGCAGGAGATGATTTAAAACAGACCCTGGGATTCTAAAAGTCCTGGGATTTTATAATTCCTGGGATTCTAAAATTAGCTGGGAAGATTTTGAGTAGCGGAAAAGAGCCTGCCAACTTTAGCCATCCTGGATAATACCATTCTGTTTTAGCTTGATCACTAATTTTTCTGACCCCATGTAGAAAACGTATGTAAATCATGGTGGTGGTAGCAGCAGTAGTAGTAACAACAATAATGATAATAATCATGGCAGTAGCTCCCCTTTTTTTATTTTTTATTTTTTGAGACGGAGTCTCACTCTGTCACCCAGGCTAGAGTGCAGAGGCACGATCTCAGCTTGTCTTGGCTCACTGCAACCTCCACCTCCTGGGTCCAAGCGATTCCCCTGCCTCAGCTTCTAGAGTAGCTGGGATTACAGGTGCCCGCTACCATGTCTGGCTAGTTTTTGTATTTTTAGTAGGGACGGGGTTTCACCAGGTTGGCCAGGCTGGTCTTGAACTCCTGACCTCAGGTAATCGGCCCGCCTCAGCCTCCCAAAGTGCTGGGATTACAGGCACGAGCCACCACACCCAGCCTGTGTTAGATTAGTGTTAGAGTCACCTTATTGATCTGTCAACACTAGGTCTTATTTCTTCAATCTATTTGTACCCATTAAGAAGCCTTTCCTCATTCTCCCCTCTCCTCACCCTTCCTGGTCTCTGATAACTACCATTCTACTCTCTATCTTCATGAGAGCCACTTTTTTAGCTCCTACATATAAGTGAGAATGTGATATTTGTCATTCTGTGCTTGGCTTATTTCAGTTAACATAATGACCCTGGTTCCATCCAAGTGGCTGCAAGTGACAGGGTTTCATTCTTTTTATGGCAGCATAATATTCCATTGTGTATATATGCCACACTTTCATTATCTCTTCATCCATTGATGGGCACTTAACTTGATTCTGTATTTGACTCTTGTGAATAATGCTGCAATAAACATGGGAATTTAGATATCTCTTTGATATATTGATTTCCTTTCTGTTGGCTGTATACTCAGTTGTGGAATTGCTGGATCATATGATAGTTCTATTTTTAGTTTTTTGGGGAACCCCCATACAGTTTTCCATAGTGCTGTATTAATTTATATGCCCACTAACAGTGTGTGAGGGTTCCCCTTTCTCCATATCCTTACCAGCATCTGTTATTCCCTGTATTTTTGATAAAAGTCATTTTAACTGGGGTGAGGTGGTATCTCATGGTTTTGATTTGCATTTCTCTGATGATTAGTGATGCTGAGCATTTCTTCATATAACCTGTTGGCCGTTTGTCTTCTTTTGAGAAACATCTATACAGATCTTTTGCCCATTTTTTAAATTGGGCTTTTTTTTCCCCCTATTGAGTTGTCTGAGCTCCTTATATATTCTGGTTATTAATCCCTTGTCAGATGGATACTTTGCAAATGTTTTCTCCCATTCTGTGCATTACCTATTCACTTTGTTGACTGTTTCCTTTGCCGTGCAGTGGTGCAGCTTTGCTGAGCTATTTCTCTCCAGCGGACGAAGTTGTCCCTCTTGGAGAGTGAGATGCAGTTGCGTCACAGGATGTTGTCATATGCTGGGCATGTGGCACAGGTGAGGTCCCTAGAGCCGTGAAGGCCAGGAGGGCTGGTTGGGAAGCATAGACCTACATAGCATGAAACTGTGCTCTTCATTTTGGTTTTGCATCTGCGGCTTTCTGAGAGACCTGAGCTGACACATGGAACAGATATGGTTCTCCCTTGAGAAATTGTTCCAAATATTTTGATGTACTTCAGCCAGTCACTGAAACTCTTTAGAGTGGGAATAATGCTCATGCTTGCCTTGAACAGCAGTGGCACAGAGTGATTGAAAGCCTGAGCTTTGAAGCCAGACTGCTGGGGTTTGAATCGCACCTCGGATATTAACTGCTTTACCTTGGGCAAGTTTTGTAACCTCTTTGTGCCTCGGATTTCTCATCTGTAAAATGAGACATAATAAGAAATGTACCCCTTGGGGTTGTTGTGAGAATGAAATGACTTTCTACCTTTAAAGCACGTAGAACAGTTCCTGGGACCTAGTATATATAGATGGTATTACACTGTGAAATCATTTGATTCTCTAAATCAAATGAGAATGCTTCATAAATTGCAAAATACCACTCAGTACTCTTAGCGACAGAGGGAGAAAAAATGGAATATTGTGTTGGAAGCTATAGTTTATAATCCCACTTCATGTGGCAGCAATAAAACTGGCAAGTTATTGATGGGGAGCCCACAAACATGACAGGCTCCCCAGAACAATGATGCCTCATCTGTGCATGAATACCCCTGGGGAACTTCAAAATCCATATCCTATGGTTGATTTCCAGATTCACTGAATTAGAATTTTGCAGGGATACGGGGTACTCAGGAAGGTTTTGTTTATTTTTTACAGAAAGATTTCCAGGTAATCCTAATGCAGCTGATGTATGGACTGGTGTTTGGTAACTTCTGACCTGGATGCTCTAACAGTTGGTTATATTTAATGGGATGCAGGAAGATTTAGTAGAGGGCCTGACAGCAGGTATCTACATTTACATAAATTTTCATTAGGTAATGCGGATGGAGCAACACAGGCAGATTTGTCTGGAGGAAATTCTAGACATCTAAAGACACCTAAATCCTGGGGCTGAGAGTATGGCTCTATTTCTTATTGAGGTCAGTTTTCACTGGCTGACTGATTCCCTTACCATGAAGCACAAGGTTGATGGGTACTCTTAATTGTGTGAAAAGTGGGAAGTGGGAATAGTTGCAAAGGGAGTTGGAAGTAGGCAGTTTTGAATCCTGGCTTGCCTGCTGCATACTGGATGGAAGCTGCAGATGGAGGAAACAGTGCAGAAGACTCACTGAGCAGGCATTTGGATGACTGGCCAGCAGATGGGGAGTGGAGCTCAGTAGATAGCCATTCTGCACTCTTCAGGAGAGAAGAACAACCTGGGGCCATGTGTTCAATAAAGAGATGGGGCTGGCACATTGTTGAGGAGGAGAAGGAGGATTTCAAATGGAGGGCTTTTTGAAGAAGGCATTGAACACCTCCCCACCCACCCCTGCCCTGCACTTCTCCCTGTAGCTCAGAAACCTTTTAATAGCCATGGGACCAACATCTAGCAGCTGGCTTGGTTTTGCTGGTCCTTGCTTTAAAATGGGGATACATATCCCTGCTTTACAGACCTGCTGTGGAGTTGGATGAAATGGTGGATATGAAAGTGCCTTAACTGTAAAGTGCTGTACATACTTACAGAAGCATTGGCTACCATGTGGAGATGGCGTGCCCCTTGGTATTAGTAGGAGGGGACAGACTCTGACCCTCTACCAGGGGTAAAGCCCCAAATCTAAAGATCTAGAAACATTAGCACCTTCATTTCAAGGTCTGATATGTAAGAGGATGGACATTCCTAAGATTTATTGTGGGCAGAGTAGCATGCTCACCCCTGATGGTGACAGTATCCGTAGTGGGTTCTCACTGTGGGCTGTTGCATTTAGGCCACTGGTTATGCCTGCTTCCCAGAGCTCACATGTAACTCCATTCCTTTCTCCTCTACTCAAGAAGGTGCACTTATGTGTGTATGAAACAGGGACATTATTAAAAAGGTAACCTGAATCTACCTAATTAAAAGCACAATAAATTCAATAGGTTATTCAGATTTCCATACTGTACTGTTAGAAATAAATGACATTCACACACTGCATAGCAGTTGTGAAGGTGAGAACCGCGACTGTGGGTAGGGAGATCCTCCAGACATCAGCAATTCCCATGTAGTGTGAGACCACCGTGGAGGGCTCCTTTGTGTGTCTGGCACCGTGGGAAGTTCTTAGGGGGACAAATGAGGTATCATTTTCTGGCCCCTCAAAGTACTTTCATCTTTCCAGGAATGTGTAATTATGTGCCCAAATGAGTGGAAGGCTCCTAGGTTCTGTAGTTGTTCAGAGAAAGAAGGGACTCGAACTAATTGAAGTGATTGAATGAGCAGCACACTGAAAGCTAGCTGTCAAATCTGTAATTATAACTTCTGTGCAGTGCATTTGACATTTTACAGCATTTCTATAAGGATAATGAATTCTGATGCCTTCAGAAGCCAGATAGGTAACAAAAATCAGGGAAGCAGTTAGGAAGACTACACTTGGATGGTTAGTATTGTGGTGAACCAGAATGCGTGTGGCCCACCTTTAAGACATGGCGATCCAAAATTTAAAACAGAAGCATAGCACAGCACTTCTGATTTTCAAAGAACTTTTACGAATGTCCTGTTTCATGTTCACAGCATCCTATGATGCAGGTCTGTTCTCCCCTTCCAGAGATAAGAACACTTACCAAGATCAGTAAAGGTGGAGATAGCATGTGACCTGGAGACTGCAATGCCAGTGCTCAGAGCTGTGAGATGCTTTCCCTAGAGGCCCTGGGTCCCAGGACCAAGCCCTTGGGGAAAGAAGGTATCATGCTTTCCTGAAGTGTCTGCCCTCTCCCCAGAGCTTCCCTAGTTATTCTCTGAGCACAGCTCTGGGGAGATGGGCCTCTGGACCTGTTTGTTTCTACTGTTACCCCGTGACTTAAATGGGCCCAGGAGGCAAAGACTAGGAAACACCAAGAAGGCTGGTGTGGGAATTGAAGAAAACCATCAACTGTGTCAACAGACTGGACCCAATAATAGGAACAAAGTGCTGAAATCAGCTTTGCAGTCACATTTAGTTGGCTGACCTGTGATTTCTCAACTGTCTCTTTTTTATCTTTTAACCATCCATGTCATTTTTCACTGAAAGAAAAAGAGAAATGCAGAGATCCAGATGGAGTCCCTTGAACCCTTGAGCCAAAGTACAGAAACCCCTGCACTGTGGCTGGATGCCCCTGAAGGAGGGAGGCCATGTCAGTTACGATTAATGTGAGCAGCTTCTCTCATTCCAGAAATGTGACCTCTGGTTACAGCAAATGTGACAACATGAATTACCTTCAATTATGGTGAACTACGTTTAACTACATGATTGCCTCCACACCTTGGTGGGAACTGGCTGCTTTGATAGCCTTGACCATGGAAGAAAAAGACAGTAGAAAAGACTTGGAAATGACAGGCACCTAGAATCTGAGTCAAGGGTACAGTGGCAGGCCAAGGGCTGTGGGCTTTCTGTATTATCAGTAAATGTGATATGTGGTTTGGGCTTTGATTCCCACCAGTGCTTGAGAAAGGGATAGTTACCCACTTTATTGAGCTAAAATTTACTTAAAACATATGCCTTTAAGTATATATTTTACAGATGGATGTTTTGATAAGTATATACACTCTGTAACTACCAACCCACTCAAGATGCAGAACACTGCTATCACCATAAGGGTCCCTTGTGCCCTATCTAGTCAGTCCTCACCCCCAATTCCTGACCCAGGCAAACACTGATCTGCTTTTTACTACTATAGATTAGATTCATCTTTTTACTATTACAAGTTATATTCACGTTTCATAAGTGAAATGATATAGAATGTAATCTTCTGTGTGCATCACAAGTTTGTCCTTTTTATGGCTGTATAGTAGTCCATTGTATGGATATACCACAATTTGTTTATCCCTGTACCTGCTGTTGGACATTAGAGTCTAAACATTGGAAACATTGTTTTGGCTATGAAAAATAACCAGGTTTTGGCTATTACAAATAAAGTGGCTATGAACATTTTATATAGGTGTTTGTGTACACACATATATGCTTTTATTACCCTTGGGAAAAATAGCAAAGACTGCAGTTGCTGGGCCATATTGTATGTAGGTGGGGTTTTGGCCCTCATTATTTTTGATGCTCCCTGGTGATACACCTGTGAACGTATTATGTTACAGGGCAAAAGGGACTGACTGTGCAGATGGAATTAAGCTTGCTGATCAACTGACTTTAAGATAGGAAAATTACCCTGGAAGTGGGCAAGCCCAGGGTTATCACATGGACCCTTAAAATCAGAAAGGGAGGGCATAAGCCAATCAGAGAGACATGGTAGAAGGAGAGGTCAGACTTAAAGAGTGAGAACTCAACCTGCTGACTTTGAAGACAGGGAAAGGAGGCCATGAGCCAGGCATTGCTGATGTCTTCTAGAAGGTGAGAAGGACCCCCAGCTGTGACAGCAAGAGTGGGGACCTGTCTTATGTAACTAAATTCTGCCAGCAACCCGAATTAGTCTGAAAGTGGATTCTCCCCCAGAGAATAAGAGTCCAGACTTATAGTTTTAGCTTTTGCATGTAGCTCTATGATTCATTTTGAGATAATTTTATATAAGGTATCTGTGAAGTAAGAGTTGAAGTTCACTCCTTAACCTGAATATCCAGTTGTTCTAGCATCATTTGTTGAAAAACTATGCTTGTTGAATAACTTTGGCTCCTTTGTGAAATAAATTATGTATGTGTGTTTATTTCGGAACTTTCTATTCTTTCCTATTGGACTGTATGTCTCTTCATACACCAATCCCACTATGTCTTGATTAATGTAGCTTTATGGTGTATCTGGAAATCAGGTAGTATAAGTTCTCCAGTTTTACATTAGGTTCTTTGTATTTCCATATAAATTTAATAATTGGCTTGTCAATTTCTATAAAAATAGCCCTGTTTAGATTTTGATTGGGATTACACTGAATCTATATCTCAATGTAGGGAGAATTGACATTTTAATATCAAGTCTTCTGTCCATGAACATGTATATTTCTCATAATTTATTTAGATTTGATTTAATTTTTTTCAATAATGTTTTGTGGTTTTCAGTTTCAAATGTTTTGCATAATTTTCTAAATGCATCCCTATATCATTTGTTTCTGATGTTATTGTAAATGGTATTTATTTCAATTTTCATTTGTTTATTGCTAGGATATAGAATTAAAAGCAGCTTTTGTATATTGACTCTGTATCCCATAACCTTGTAAACTCATTTCTTAGTTACTTTTTCGGTGAATTCATTAGGATTTTAGACATATAGATCATGTCATTTGTGAACAAAGATAGTTTTCCTTCTCCCGTTATAATCGGTAAGCCTTTAATTTCTTTTTCCTGCCTTATTACATTATTTGAAACCTCTATTACGATGTGGAATAGGAGTAGTGACAATGGAATCCTTGTCTTGTTTGTGATCTTAGGGGAAAGCACTCATTTCTTCACCGTTAAGTATGATGCTAGCTGTGGGTTTGTTGCTGATGTCCTTTATTAGGTTGAAGAAGTTTCTTTCTATTTCTATTTCTCAGGAGCTTTTACCATGAGTAGTTATGGAATTTTATAACACTCTTTTAACGTATCTATTAGAATGGTCATATGGTTTTCTTTTTTATTCCACTAATATAGTAAATAGCATTAATTGATTTTTAAATGCTAAAACCACCTTGCTTTCTTAGGATAAACATCACTTGATTGTGGTGATGGTGCCTTATCCTTTTGATATATTATTGAATTTAATTTGCTGTTATTTTGTAAGAATTTTTATGTCTGTGTACATGAGGGATATTGGTTTATAGTTTTCTTTCTTTAAATGTCTGGTATTGTTGGCTTCATAAAATAAGCTGAAAAGTGTGCCTTCTTCCTCTGCTTTCTAAGAGACTTTGTGTAGGATTAGTATTATCCCTTAAATGTTTGACAGAATTTACCAGTGAAATGGAGTCTGGAGTTCTCTTTGTGGAAAGATTTCAAGTTAAGAATTCAAGTTATTAGGCCGGGCGCTGTGGCTCACGCCTGTAATCCCAACACTTTGGGAGGCCAAGGCAGGCAGATCATGAGGTCAGGAGATAAAGACCATCCTGGCTAACATGGTGAAACCCCATCTCTACTAAAAATACAAAAAATTAGCTGGGCACGGTGGTGGGCACCTGTAGTCCCAGCTACTTGGGAGACTGAGGCAGAAGAATGGCGTGATCCTGGGAGGCAGAGCTTGCAGTGAGCCGAGATTGCGCCACTGCACTCCAGCCTGGATGACAGAGCAAGACTCTACCTCAAAAAAAAAAAAAAAAAAAAAAAACTTCAAGTTATTAAATAGATATAGGACTACTCAGATTTTCTGTTTCTCTTCATCTGAGCTTTGGTAGCTTGTATCTTGGAAGGAATTTTCCAATTTCATCTAAGGCATCAAATTTATTGGCATAAAATTATTCATAATATTTCCTGATTATATTTTCAAAGTCTATAGGTATTCTAGTAATTGTCTTTCTTTTATTTCTGATACCAGTAATTCATTTCCTCCTTTTCTGCGATCAGTCTAGCTGGAAATTTCTAAGAGTCGTTGATGTTGAAAAAACCACCTTTTTCTTCCCTTGATTTTTCTCTATTGTTTGCCTATTTTCAGTTTCATTTACTTTTGCGCTTGCCGTTGTTTTTTCCTTCTTTCTACTATTTTGGATTTAATTTGGTAATCTTTTCTGTGGTAGAAGGTTGCACAATTGATTCTAGATCTTTTCTAATATCGGAATATTGGCTATACATTTCCCTCTAAGTACTGAGTTACCTATGCTCAGTTTTTTTGGTATGTTGCATATTATTTCACTCAAATGTTGAAAATATTTTATTTATCTTCTTTGACCCTTGGATTATTTAGAAATGTGTTTGTAAATTTCTACATATTTGGGTTTTGACCAACATCAAAAGGTCAATCATTGACTTTTAATTCCATTATGATCAGGGAATGTTCTTTGTATTCTTTTAAACATTTTCAATGTATTAATGCTTGTTTTGTGGCCCAGCATATTGTCTATCTTGGTAGATATTCCATATTAACTGGAAAATCATGTTTATTGGGCTGTTAATGGGTAGAATGTTTTATAAATGCCAGGTTCTATAAATTTAACCAAGCTGATTGATAGTGCTATTCTTTTGTATACATACTGATTTTCTTTCTACTTGTTTTATCAGTTATGAGAGAGGAATGTTGAAGTTCCCAACTATACTTGTGGATTGATTTATCTTTTCAGTTGTGTCAGTTTTTGCCTCATATATTTTGAAGCTTTGCTCCTGGATGAATTCACATTTAGGGTTGTTATGTTTCCTTGATGAACTGATGACTTTATCATTATGAAATGTTCCTCTTTCTCCCTGTTGATGTTCTTTGTTCTGAAATTTATTTTGTCCAATATTAAGGTACACCTACCTTGGAAAGACCAGTTTTAGTTGGGCTTTATTGTTCACTATGACAACTCTGTCTTCCAGTTGAAGTGTTTGTGTCATTTATGTTTGGGTTTTAAGTCTACCATCTTGGTACTTATTTTCTATTTTTTCCATCTATTTGTTGTTCCTTTTCCCCTTTTTCTGCCTTCTTTTAGTATAATTGAATATTCTTTGACATTCCATTTTATTTCTACTCTTGCCACATAAGCTATATCTATTTTATATGTGTCTTCTCTGTATACGTGTATTTACCATTTATAGGGCTCTTCATTTCTTTGCATAGATTCACATTTCCATTTGGTGTCATTTTCCTTCCATTTGAGGACTTTGCTTTAACTTTTCTGTAGTGTATTTCTGTTGGCAGTGAATCCTCTCAGCTTTTGTTTGTTGAATAAACTTCATTTTACTCTCATTTGGGAAGATATTTTCACTGGATATAGAATTTTGGATTGACAGTTTTTCTTGCAGCACTTTAAAGATGCCATTCTATCGTCTTCTGGCTTGCAAAGTCAGAACTTTCTTTTGGCCAGGAACTGTGGCTCATGCCTGCAATCCCAGCACTTTAGGAGGCTGAGGTAGGAGGATTGCTTGAGGCTAGGAGCTCAAGACCAGCCTAGCACAGGCAACGTAGCAAGACCCCATCTCAACAAAAAGTTTAAAAAATTGGCTGGGGATGGTGGCATGTGCCTGTAATACCAGATGCTCTGGAGGCTGAAGCAGGAGGATTGCTTAAGTCCAGGAGTTGGAGGCTGCAGTTGAGTCATGATTGCACCACTGCACTCCAGCCTGGGCAACAGAGATTGAGACCTTGTCTCAAAACAAAACAAAACTTTTCTTTGATTCTGTGTACATAATGTACACATAAGGTTTTTTTCTTCATTTGATTTCAAGATTTTTTCTTGATATCAGTTTTTGGGTACTTGATTTTAGTGAGAGGTTTTCTTTGTTTATTCACCTCTGGATTTATTGAGCTTCTTGGTTATGTGGGTTATAGTCTTTATATTTATTAATTTTTCAATCATTATTATTTTTTGCTTCTACCCCTCTGCCCAGAACTTCGATTACATGTATTAACCCAGTTGATCTTGTTCATAAGTCATTGAGTTTCTGTTCATCATTTTAAAAACCAATCTTTAATTAATTTTGGATAATGTAAATGTAGCCATGTTCATTAATCTTTTCTTCTGTAGTGTCTAGTTCAAGGATAAGCAAATTTTTTTCTATAAAAGATCAGATAGTAAATATTTTATGCTTTGTGGACCAGATGGTCTGTTACAATCACACAACTCTCCTAATGTATCACAAACACATGCATAGACAATACACCAAAAAATGAGTGTGCCAGTAAAACTTTATTTATGACAACAAGCTACGGTCTGGGATTAGGTCTATCGGCCATAGTTTGCTGAACTCTGGTCTAGTCCACTGTTAATTCCATCACATGTGAATTTTTAATTTTAAACATCTTCATTTCTAGAAATTTCATTTGATTTAAAAAAATATTTGATATTTCCTCTTTCATTATGCATGTTTTTAAAAATACTTGAATAAAATTATGATAGCTGATTGAAAATCCTTGATTGCTAATTCTATTACCTCCTCATTTCTAAGTCTGTTTCTGTTTAGTAATTTTCCAAAAACTGCTTATGGGTCCTATTTTCCTTTTTCATGACAATTCTAGTAATTTTTGATTGAATGCTGGGTATTGTAAAAATTATATTGTGGAGCATCTGAATTTTCTTCCTTTAAAGAATGTGTAATTTGTTACGGTTGACAGTCAAGTTACTTGTTGCTCATAGTGATCCTTTCAAAGACTGTCTTTAAGCGTTGTTAGGGTGGGTTTAGGATCACCTTTTAGGGTCTCTGCCTAAACCCCAAGGGATCAACAACATCTTTTGACTCTGATAGTTGGAAAATCAAATGAATGCTAACCCTATGCGAATGCTGGGATCTGTTCAGCTCACAGTTTCAGAGTTGCTTTTTGCTTAGCCTCATGGAGTTTTGTCCTCACATCTATGACTTAGTATTCAGCAAAGACTGGAGGGTTTCCCTCTTCAGATTTCTGGATTCTTTGCCCTGCAGTGTCTAGCCACCTCAGACTCCCTACATTCCAGACTGTTTCCTCAGCTCAGTGAGACCTTTGTGTTCTGCTTGGCGCCCCCACTCTCTGCTTCACGTTTCAGAATGAACCTCCAGGCAGAAAGCTGGGGCAGTCGTGAAGCTCACTTGGTTTGAGAGAAGGGAGCCCATCTCTCAGGCATTACAGTCTTCACTGTCTGTCGTTGAATACTAGAAATATTTGTTTTATATTTTTCCCCAGTTTTCAAGTTGTTTAAGGCAGGAGGATAAATTTGGTCCATTTTATTTCATCATTGCCAGAAGTAGAAGGCAGTCGTCACCTTTTTAAAGGTGATCATTTATAAACAGGCCGAAAAATGCAGTTCTGTAGGATTAAAGGGAAATTTCAGTTTGAGTTTTTAAAAGTGAGACAGTTAATAGGTTATGTAGGTAAGAGGGCACTTTGCTTCTGTGCAAACACCACAGAGTATGCTGCTGAGTTGCTCTGATTAACCCTAAATTTGTGAATTTAAGCTTATAAATTAAATTCTCTATAATGTATTTATCAAGTGCCAGGACAGAGCTATTATGGTTTTTCTATGCTTTGCATTGGCTTCTGCAAATTAAGTTTCATTTCCCTTTTGACCACAAAGAAGATGGCCCTATTCAAGACTTCCTCGTTCATAATGCCTCAGTTTGTTATCCCTCCCTCTTCCCTCTTCTTCCTGTACTTCCTGCTTCTCAGTAATGATAGTTGTTCTTGTGATCTAGTAGAGTGGAAAGAGCGTAGTATCTGAATAAGAAACCAGACGTTGTAATTCTGGAGCCACATCTGACTCTGTGACTTGGGATGAGACACTCCAGCCCTCAGCATCTGCTTCATATTCCTTATTTATATAATTGGCACGGCCATCTGTGTGTGTGTGTGTGTGTGTATGGATTCAAATATTTTAAAAAGGATGTGAGAACTCTTTGGAAACCATAATACATGCTGTGAGTGTAAGGTGTTTTTGAGGTCACTGTGAATTTCCTCACTGAGACTCAACCTAACAATGGAAATGTCTTCTTGTCCCACTAAACGCTCCTGCAGAAATACCCAGCTTCTGCTTGGATTGAGAACTGTCACTTTCTGACACTTCTTCCTTATATTGTATTGATACAAGGTTTCGGGCAGTTTCTGCTTTTTGTGATAGCTGTGCTGTTGGATCTCACACTTGCTCTATCAATCTGTATCTGTAACCAGGAGACAGAAATCACGTAGTAATTTGAATAACTAAAGTTCAATATAAGAAATTATTAACCATAGTGGAATTGGAGTAATGAAGGATTGGCTAGTAAGAAGTAGAACTCTAAAGAAGATAGGAATAGATAATAAGATACAGCTAGGTGTGCTGGCGCATACCTGTAGTGCCAGCTACTAGGAGGCCAAGGTGGGAGGGTCACTTGAGCCTAGGAGTTCAAGACCAGCCTAGGCAACATAGTGAAGCCCCCAACTCAAAAAAAAAAAAAAAAAGAGAGACAAGAAAGTACCCTTAGGGCTGAGATAGAGCACTTGAGGAAGACATCGTCCCGGGGCTGAGATCCAGATCTTGTTGCACAGAGCTTGACTGTGGTTCACTGAATGGCATAGAAATTGTTTTTGTGTCATGAGGATGGTGGGGAAGTCTCTCTGGTCCTGTGCTGGTAGAACTTGCTGGAAACCTATCCTCTGGAATTTGCCAGAAATCCGCCCTCTAGGGTGCCAAGGGAAGATGTGGGAGATATCTCACTGGAGGCGCTCCATTTAGAAACTCCCCGAGGTGTAGGAGGTGGGGATGCTGGAGAAAGTGCTGGCCAGTGGGTGCTGTTGTCCACAGGCACTGTAGGAGCTGGCCCTGGAGAAGGCAGGTACACTGCAGGAGTGTGCTGAGTGAGCACAGTACAACCAGGAACAAAATGCTTTCTTCCTGTTAAAGCGTCACACTTTGCCAGTTGACAAAGGAAGAATATTTATAAGGCCCACATTCGTTTCACAGAACAAGCAAACAGGGTGTACTTGGAATGGAGAGGTAATCAGTGTATAACTGGTACACCTCATGGCTACTCAGCTTCCATACGTCCCTTTTGTGTGAACTCCTGTGTGTCATAACAACTGTCTCTACCTAGCAAGATGCAGCTAACTTGGTTACAAGTGAAGAAGTTATCACCATTCCCCAAAATGAGGAGACACACAGTGCCAAGAGTCACCATACTCCTTGCTGGCTATCTTAATTACTCCTCAAATTCATCACACTCCTGTGGAATAGTCTGTTATCTACACACTAAATTGTACTTCAGTAAGTTAACTATGTTAATTTCCCACAACTTGTGTAGAAGATCAAAATGGGAAGGAGAGAGAAGAAAATGACTAACACATTTAAATAAGATGCAAAGATAACAGGCAAATAGAAAATATGCAAAGTTGCTGCAGCCTTCATTTTTTAAATTGGTCACCAGACCATCATTGACATCCGT
Source organism: Homo sapiens (assembly GCF_000001405.40). Lineage (NCBI taxonomy): Eukaryota > Metazoa > Chordata > Mammalia > Primates > Hominidae > Homo > Homo sapiens. The sequence continues at coordinate 53,615,124 of NC_000003.12, forward strand.
GGCTTCATTTTTTCCACTATCTATTTTATGTGTCCCCTGCTCTCAGCCCCATCACCTGCTGTTCAGGCTTCTTCACCTGGTAGAGGGACCCAAACCTTCCTTCCTCAGGGGTTCAAATCTTCAGTTCTCCTGCCTGGTTTTGGTTGCTGTAATTCTCTATTAACCTTTACTAGAAGCCATGGAAATAATAAGAGATGCACCAGAGGATCACCCGGGTTCCAGACCTGGCCTCTTTGCCTAGATTGGGTAGAAGCAACCCGGTTGCCCTGTGCTAATCATAAGCAATCACAACAGACAGTAGATTAACCCACCCTTTCCTGCCTGTTGGTTTGGTGACATAATGGGACCAAAGTGTCCAGGTGCTCATCCCGTGTTTAAATTCGGTGGAACCACTGCTTTATAGCCTGGTGGAAGAATCCCCATTTCCTCCCTTGGGGACCAAGATCTCCAAACCAGTGGGCTTAAAGTTGCTGAGACAGGAATGAAATATTCTGTGCATTGTTTATTAGCGAGAGGAGCCACCCTCACTTTCACCCTTTGAATTCTGGACCCACATATTGTAGCTGTGAGAGAGGCTGCACCATATATGGGTTTCTGGTCCAAAGCATATGCTGCATTCTATGAAACAGAATTCTACTCTTCAGGTTATTTTGTTCCAACTGGCGCTGTAACTTGGGTCTTTTGGAAGCCTTTCTACTTTTCAGTTAGGGCAGCCACTTCTGGGTGACAAGGAAATGTCAAACTCCTCCTTGGCAGTTCTTTTTTGACACTGTATCGATAGCAGGTTTGCTGCAGTTTCTGTATTTTTGTTACAGCTGGCCTGTCAGTTCTCATACTTACCTGCTTTCCAGTATGACTTGATGTGTGACATCAGGTAAATCCTTTCCTCTCTGTGGACCTTTGAGTCTCCACGGAAGAGTGGGAGGTTTAGACTTGATGATCCTTGGGAAACTTTCCCCTTCTAAAGCATTCTTGCTCCAGTGACCCTGCAGGGTGAGGGTGAGCTCAGTTGGGATGGTGCAGGTGAAGTGAATTGTGAATGCTAAGGGCTGTGCACGTAGCAGGGTTGAGGTATGATGTGTTCTTCTCACTATCAGTGGTTGTGATCAGCGTTCGACTTTGAACCTACCTGGAGCTGAAGAAAGGGTACCGGCCCCCCGGTTCATATCATCATGTCTCTGTTTCAGGACCCCTAGAGGCAGTGCTCATTCTGTGGAGGTGGGGGAAGGGACAACATTGTGGAGAGAAGGCTAGAAAAGGAATGAGGAAGAGGTTGACATTCCCAGTCTGTGTCTTCCTGTCCCCTCTTTCTCTGCTCTCCCTCACAGAGGCTCACACGCACATTCTGTCTCTCTGCCATCCAAACAGATGCAGCTGCTCTGGAGTCAACCAGACTTAACGAGGAGACAACTCTTCTGCTTTCTTCCGTCTTCTTCCTACCCACCCCCTGACCTAATGCTGTGCTTGCCTGTTACAGCAGGCCTAGGAGGAAATGCACTATGCCTTCCCTGTTTTTGTTTTGTGTGTGTTTTGAGATGCAGACCTAAAAATATTCTGCTGTATAATCGGTTATCCAATCAGCCATGCGAATAATCACTGTGCCAGAGCCTATAGGAAATGAGGCAGGAGCCTGAAACTCAGAAGCATGCCAGCTTTGCCTTGCCTTTTTTTCTTTTTTTTTTTAAATGTGCTCCCTTGGGATCTGGGTTTGAGGGTTGAGATAGGAGGATATGCTGGGTGGGTTTCCATGGAGGCAGGTGCAGGACACTGATGGTATGTCTCCCTGGTGGGTTGAGGGGAAAGAATGGTTGGTGTCACAGTAGGAGTTTTGCACGTAGTTGAGGCAGTTTGACTTATGCCTCTTGAACCTCTATTCCCTCCTCTGGGCCTTGCTTCCAGATGCTGCCTCCCTCCCCCAGCACACCTGCCTGGAATGTTCTCTCTCCTCCTCTCTGCTTTTCCAAGTCCTGCCGATCCCCTGAGGTCTAGCCCTCTATGTTGTCAGCAGGACCAACCATTCATAGCGGCTGTTGTCTCACGATACTCACTGTTGATAGCAGAAGCATCCAGCTCCCATACCTCTGTGTAGGGCTTGTGTTTCCAGAGTCACTGTGTGCTCTCCTCTCCACTGTCTCCCCCAATTCTCTCCAAAGCCCTCCGATGTCAGTGGGTGGGGTGGAGGTAGTGAGGGGAGGCAGGAGGAGGTAGGTAGTTTAGTGTTTAGGCTAAGAGCACAGGTCTTGGAGTGACAGATTTGCTACTTCCATGTAACCTCTGTTAAATTCTTTACCTTCTAAGCCTCAGTTTCCTCATCTGTGAAGCACTGAAAGTAGTATTTTCAGTTTCATAAACCCTAGGGTTTAGGGGTGTTATGACAATTAAGTGACGCATTGCCTGTAAAGTACTTAGCATAATGACTGGCTCCTAGGCAATGCTCAACAAACATGAGGTATGACATTGTAATTATCACCATCCCACTTTACAGCTGAGGAAAAGGAAGTGTGGGGAGCATGGGCGACTTAGTTCACTTGTACAGTAATTGACTACCCAGCAAGGACTATGGGTGGTCAACTAACAGGATTATTCAGGGCTGGCTCTAAGCCCAACCAAGTGCTAGATGCTGTACTGGAACAGTGACTCAGGCACTCAGCTAGGGACGCAGCTGGGGAGGTAGATATTTACATGTGAGCCTCAAATGTACTGGGGGAGATGGAATGGAGGCATGTGTGCAGTGGAAAGAGCCCTGGACTTGGAGACCAAACAGAAGCCCTGTAAGGAGAGTCACTTGTCTATCATTTCCACCCTTTTGTCCCCAGCACCCAGGCCAAGCCCAGGTATGTTTTAGGTGCTCCATCAGTCTCTGCTGAAGGAATGAAGAGGAGCCCCGAGCCACAGCTCTGGCTGGGCCTCTGACCTGGGGAACCTTGAACAGCTCTTTGCATCCACCAAGTCACAGGGACCTCCTCAGTACAGGGAGGGGTTGGACCTGTAGGGACCCGCCAGCTCTTGTGGTCCCACTTGGTAGACTCGACAGCTCCTAGCAGCTGCACAGTACCCAGTGTGTGTCTTTACCTCAGTTGTGCTTTTGGAGAAGCAGTTGGAGAGGTGAGGGCATGAAGGGCTGGGCTGACGGGCACCAAGGTCGCCCAGGTGCTGGCAGTGCTGCAGACAGCATGTAGCTGTCCTCAGATGGCCCAGGTCTGGCTGGGCTCTGCAGGAACACTTCAGCTCATGGGCAGCCTGGATTTGTGCTGATGCGGAGACTTCCCTGGCAGCCACAGTTGCTGCTGTTGCTGCTGCCTGGTCAGAGTTGAGGGCTCTGACAACAGCCACCACAGCTCGCGGTCTGTCCACTGCTCAGAAACCTCACACAAGAAAACTTCTGAGACTGCCTCTGAGGCCCTTTAGATCCTGAGAGCCCCACACTCACACTGCAGCCTCCCCAAATACAGCCAGAACCCACCCGCTTCTGGTTTTCCATGTGGACCATTTATTGCACCTGCCCCTCCTCTAGGCATAGCACTGCACTTTGGGCTCCACCCGGTCCTGCTCAGATGTTGTGCTCCTTAAGGAATCTCTGCTCGTTGGTCAGACTGACTGTTTTCCTCCAAGAGTGCACTAGAGTGTACTTGCTTCTGTCTGGCGCTTTATCATCTGTAAGGCAGGGCACTACAGTAGTTGACGGGCTGGCTTTGCTGTTGCACAGACTGAGATTGAAATTCTGGCCCTGCTGCTCCCTAGCTGTGTGACCTCGGGCAAGTCACTTCACCTCTTTGACCTCAATATCATTATTGGTGAAATGGGGTTAATAACTCTTAGGTCCTAGGGTTTTGTGGGATGATGCACTTGTACCCCTTTGCAGGCAGCCCTTACCCGGCAGCCCCCACTGCCAACGTCTCTGTTGTGTTCAAGTCTGTTTCATGAGCCAGTGTAACCTCCCTCCATGCAGAAACAACGCTGTAAAGTATTAGCATAACAGTAGGTCCATTGGGCAGAAACCACACCAATAAAACGGGCACACCCCACAGTGGCTCTGATTTCCACACCCTTCCCAACCCCGCACTCCCAAGCCTTGCCCAGGGCTTTCCATGGACTGAGCCTCAGTAGAAAGAGGTTGAATTAGATTTTGAATTTTCTCATGCCTCCTGTCTCCTGGCCCTCAGAAAATTAAAATCCAGCATTGGAATTAGTCATGGAAAAATCCCCATTTTCTTTCCTTTCATTCCTCTGTGAAGATCATAGGTTCAGGTTATTTCTTTGAATTAATTGGCTAAGCCTCAGTGAAACATGGGTAATTTACCTGGCACTGTGAGGTGCTGGAAATTATAACCAGTGCTCCTAAATGGATATGCAGCAACCAAGCACCTTCATGGTGCTGATGGGTTTGTCCTCACAGTGCTGGGAGATGGCTAAGCGGGTGCTGTGGCTATTACCATCCTTACTTTAGAGGACTGGGACTCAAGCCCTCATCTTGTGGCTCTAAGGTGAATGTCCTTTCCCTAACATGTCTGACCTTCTCCTTCCTCGGCATTGGGACCCTGGGTAGGAGGGCCAGTAGAAGATCCCTCAGCAGAACTTAACTGGCCACCAGTCCAGAGTGGAAGGCTGCTGCTTGTTTAAAATTTTAATCCCTTTCTTTAAGTGTGAAGAATACTGGGCAAGTGTAAAAGAAGGGAAGACATGGTCTCTTCCAACCAGAAATGTATAAACTCGCTGCAGTGCCTAGGACACATGCGTCTTTATTGAACAAATAGTTATTGAATGTCCGCTTGGTGCCTGGCCCTGTGCTAAGCATTGGTAATATGGTGGCAAAATAGAAAAGATACCTCTTAGGCTTCTGGCCATGGGCACAGACAGTTAACAAGGATAATCAAGTTACAGATTGTTACAAGTGCTATGAAGAAAATTTATGAAAAATTAAATAGCAATGTAAGTAGGACACACTAAAATAATACACTAAGTATCATGTATCAGCTCTGGCTGCCTCCCTCTCTTTAAAGCAGAGAAGTCCAGGCTCTCAGGGGTGCGACAGAGCCAGGACAGGTGTCTAGTGAGCGGCCTTTCCATGGGCAGTGTGTATGGAGGGGCCTGGAGGTGTGGGAGTGGCCATTTTAGAAGGGTGTTGAGATTAATTTCTACCGTTAGAACCCAGTTCTCGTCCATCTCTCTTTTCTTCTTCTTTGTTTTTGAGACAGGGTCTTACTCTGTCCAGGCTGGAGTGCAGTGGTGTGATCATAGCTTATTGCAGCCTTGAATTCCTGGGCTCAAGTAATCCTCCTGCCTCAGCCTGCCCAGTAGCTAGGACTACAGGCACACCAACACACCTGGCTATATATTTTTTCTGTTTTTGTAGAGATGGGGTCTCACAGTGTTGCCCAGACTGGTCTCAAACTCTTGCGCTCAAAGGATTTCCCCTCTTGGCTTCCCAAAGTGCTGGGATTACAGGCGTGAGCCATGATTCCCCACCTGGTCCCTCTGTTAAAGCAGAACTCACAGAAGAAAGCCCAAAGGAACAAAATTTGTACTTTCATGATGTGGGAACATCTCTTCCAGTTGAGAACTCTCTAAAGCATTTGCAATCATAGATTTGTGTAAGAACTTGATTTGCACCCTAAATTTTGGGATGTATTTATTACATAAGCAGATATACCTGGATTTGCATAACAGAAAGGACTATTTTGGGGTGACTTATGACAGATCTGCTATGTGAAAGCCTCCAGGAACTTTTAGCATCAGTTGAGACCTGGGGGAAACAGAGAGGAAGGAGCGTGCAGGCACTGAGGCCAGAGGAAGAAGGGATGTGCCTGTCCTCAGTGGCTAGCCATGACACTGCCAGAGGAGCACTGAGAAGGGAGCAAGAAGAGCACTTCCTAAGTGGCGAGAATACCCAGCTGCAAACAAAACCTCAGACACAGCCTGAAGCTCTGTGTCCTTTTGTGCAGCCCCTTCCTTACCCCATTGAGTAGCAGCTTGGAGAAGAGCTTTTTATTACAGATGACACCTATGAATGCAAGTGAGGGAAAAGAACCGACTAAGCCAGAGCTGTGAATTCCCAGAAATCAATATGGACGGGACTGGGGATGCAGCTCCCTCAGCTTCTCTCTCCATGGCCCCTATTTGAGGCTGAATCTAGGAGGCCCTGTGTTTTTGATACAGTGTCTCACTCTTTTTCTGAGGCACTTTTCAAAATTTCTGTCCCAGTGCTAAGCCTGGGCGAGCTCCACAGAGCTAACCTGTGTGTCCAGAGCCAGCCCTGGCTGTTTTTCCAGCTTTTCCTTATGCCAATAGTAAGATTAGGGCTGGGGACAGTGGTGGCGAGAGAGTCAAGTGTGTGTTTCTCAAAAGTTGCCTTGGGAGAGGAGTGAGGTGAAAGGAATCAAGGCAATAAGTGTAACATAGGCTTAAACATACTTGCATGAAGAAAACAAAGGACTTAGGTATAAACAAATGTTTCTAAGACAGGGCACAAAAAGCAATCATCATAAAAGTCTGATACAGTAACTTCATCAAAATCAAAACTTGTGTTCATCAAAAGATGCTGTTAAGAAAAAGTAAGTAAGCCACTAATTGGGAGAAAATATTTGCAAAACATCTATCTGATGAAACATTTGTACGCAGGACAAATAAAGCATCCATGCAACACAATAATAAACAAGCGAGCGATTTTTTTAAATGGGCAGAAAATTTAACAGATATTTTTAATAGAAGATATAATGGCCAAGAGGCTCATAAAAAGATGTTCAACATTATTGTTTTCAGAAAAATGCAAGTTAAAACCATAGGACATGCTACTACACACCTACCAAAGTGACTAAAATGAAAAAGCTAATAAAACTAATGTTGGTGAGGATGTAGAACAACTGGAGACTCTTAACGCATCATCGGAGGGGCTGTACAATGGTCCAGACACTTTGGGTAAACTTTTTTTTTTTTTCTTTTTTTGAGACAGAGTCTCACTCTGTCACCCAGGCTGGAGTGCAGTGACACGATAATCTCAGCTCACGGCAACCTCTATCTCCTGGGTTCAGGTGAATCTCCTGCCTCAGCCTCAGCAGTAGCTGGGATCACAGGCGTAAGCCACCATGCCTAACTAATTTATGTATTTTTAATAGAGACAGGGTTTCACCATGTTGGCCAGGCTGATCTTGAACTCCTGACCTCAAATGATATGCCCGTTAGGCAGTTTCTTATAAGGCCTGTGACCCAGCAATTTTATTCGTAGGTATTTGCCCAAGGGAAATAAAAACATGTCCACAAAAATATTTATACACAAATTATTATAGCAACTTTATTCATAATAAGAAAAATAATGCGGCCATTAAAAAGAACAAGATCATGCCCTTTGCAGGGACATGGATGGAGCTAGAGGCCATTATCCTTAGCAAACTAACCCAGGAACAGAAAACCAAATACTGCATGTTCTCACTTATAAGTGGGAGCTAAATGATGAGAACACATGGACACAGAGGGCAACAACACACACTGGGTCCTTTTGGAGGTTGGAGGGTAGGGGGCGGGAGAGGATCAGGAAAAACAACTAATGTGTACTAGGCTTGATACCTGGGTGATGAAATAATCTGTACAAGTTTACCTGTAACAAATCTGCACTCGTACCCCTGAACTTAAAAAAAGGTAGAAACAGCATAGATGTCCGTCGGGAGAATGGATAAACAAATTATGATATATTCATACAATGGAATGCTACTCAGCAAGAAAAAGGCATGAACTGTGATAGAGGGAGGTAACATAATTATGTTCAATGAAAGAAGCCTTTTTTTTTTTTTGAGACGGAGTCTTGCTCTGTCACCCAGGCTGCAGTGCAATGGCTCGATCTCCGCTCACTGCAAGCTCTCTGCCTCCCGGGTTCAAGCCATTCTCCTGCCTCAGCCTCCTGCATAGCTGGCACTACAGGCGCTCGCCAACACGTTTGGCTAATTTTTTGTATTTTTACTAGGGACGGGGTTTCACCGTGTTAACCAGGATGGTCTGGATCTGACCTCGTGATCAGCCGGTCTTGGCCTTCCGAAGTGCTGGGATTACAGGCGTGAGCCACCGCGCCCGGCCGAAAGAAGCCTTAAAAGAGAAAGCGCGGTGTATCAAAACTCACTAAATGCCACATCTAAGATTTATGCATTTCTCAATGTGTATATTTTACTTTAAAATACTCATAACCAAATATTAAACTCTAGATGGTGATATACATGTGTCAGGGTTTAGGGGTTGAGTGTACAGAGGTCTGCACCTTCTTTTGAAATGTATCTAAAAATAAGATAGATTGATGGATGGGTTGAGGGATGACAAGGTGTGTGATAAAGCTAGGAAAATCCTAGTTGCACAATTTAGGTAGTGGAATTGTGGGTATTCACTGTACAATTCTTGTAGCTTCTCTGTGTATTTGAAGATGTTTGTAATACAGGTTGGAATAAATATGCTCAAGTGGAGGATGCAAGTTGCAGTAGCATGAAGGGAAGATAATTATGATTTATCACCCTTTGTTACACAGTGCTATTTTGTTTATCTTCTTTAAAATTCCATTAAAACCCACCACAGGAGCCTTTGCAATGTAGCTGATTTATCAAATTCAGAAGAATACTTCCAGCGTCTCTGACTCATTTGATCACCTGGATACCTTTGAGTTAATCTTCCAGCCACAGCTCTGATTCTCCCCTTTTGACTGTGATCATCCTGAAGGTGTTTCCCTCAATGCTGAGTGCTTGGAGCCGCTTTAGAATTGCTTTCACTCTCTGTTAATTTGGAGAACAAAGAATCAATAAGTAGAAGGAGATTGGGAAATTAGTGATCGGGGACGGTGCAGAGTTCATAAATAATTTAAAATATACAGAGTTCTGGCTTTTCAACAGAGATTTTAATAAAAGATGAACAAGGTCATCTTCTTCCTTCTGATGAAAGTTACCCATCTGTAGTGCCATGGCGGATGCTGTGTACAAGAGCTGAAATGGTGGTTCCTGTTAACTTTGAGAGCTTTGGACAAAAATGCCAGATACATCCTTCTAGATAGCAATATCAGGCGAGCCTTTGAGTGGGGAGGGGAAGTTATAAACCACTGTAGAGAATCACAGAGTGAACCGAGGACAGAGATTGGATCAACACTCCATTCCTTTTCTGTTTTCTTGGAATGAAGTCAGAGCAACATTGTTTTCATTTTTGTTTGCAGTGAACCTAATTTTTGAACTGATCTATGTAGTAATAAGCACAGGAAAGGAAAAGTGGAAGAAAGGAGATTCAGCACATTAGCTAGTGAGGTCTTGCGTGATAACGAAGACAACACAAGCCTGAGCCCTCCTGGCTAGTGAGGTTGGCTCTGCCTGCCTTTGCCCATCCCACCACCTTCTCCCGTGCTGAGCCTTTCCCAGCCAGACAGTGTTTTGAGGGGCCTTTACTACCCCTCTCCCTGCCAGCCCCAGCCTAGCTGTAATCACCCATCTGGAAGGCGTGTTTTCCTGGCATTTACCTCCCATTATATGGCACTTCACTTGGGAAGTGCTCCAACAGAGGCACTCTGCTGTATCCCAAGAAGCCCTCAATGGCATTACCGTAATTCTGTTTATATGACGCACCCCCAAATTCTTGAGCTGTGGCTGTGACAGAATCAGTAATTGGAAATAGAATTTCTGTGATAGTCACTGAGTTCCCCCAAGTATTAGGCCTGGGAGTGGACTTGTCCAGGTGGTATCCGTGGGATTGTGTAGGGGCAAACAGCGATGGATACCCTGTTGATATACTGAGAGATGCTAAGAAATCCAAAGCATTCCAGTGACAGCGAACATTGCATTGATAGAATAGGGATGTAAGAAGGCTGATTAATTGCCACATTTGATAAAGGGTTGGAGAGGGGATGAAGGGGGAAGAACGTGTGTGTGTGCATGCACGCTAAGGAGTACCACGATAGTTTGTGTGTTTCTTCCATTGTTTTCAGCCCTGGATAAAGAGGGCCCACCTGTCTCCAAATCCCTGGTAGCAGGCAGAGCTCAGTACAGTAGGCTATATTGGGTATAGGGCATCTATGAGGCAAAGACCATATCTCACTCACATCCGGGTCTTGAGGTCCTGACATTGAGAGTGTGCCCTGGAAAGAGCACCGAAGGTTAGTGAGGGCAGCTGCGTCTGAGCACTGGTGCTGATGCTGGTGGGATGGACTACAGAGTCTGTCCCCACTACCTTTGGAAGAGCTACCCAATTAAAACTGAGTTGGTGGAGGTATTCCCACTGTGTCTCCCACACCTTCTCTCGAGGGTTCAGATATGTCGCGTTCTGACTTCCCAGCAGCCTGCATCATGCCTCTTGTCTCCAGCACTTCCCTCACTGTGTTCTTGCTCTACTGAGTACTCTCAGCTGTGTGGTTGCTTTAGGACCCAAGCGGTGCTGTTCCCTCCCCTAGGAAGATGTGCTCTTCTGGGATTTGGGAGCATTCATGACATCGTTCTCTGTACCACCCTACAAGCATCCCTTTCCCTACCAGGTTTGTAATATAGTCAACTTTTAGGGAGGGGGACATGTGTTCATTTATTGTTTTATTAATTATTAAGTGCCCTTGCTGTGTTGGGAATAGACAAGGAATTTGCCGAAACTATAATCCATAACCACCCAGATTTCTATTAGACCTTCATGTTCATTTACAGATAGGACTTAATTTTCTTAATCAGTTACCAATTGTTGGGTGACTGGTTCCCTGTTAATGTATGGTTGGGTGAGTGGGCCAGCTGGGTATACAGAGGTTCAGGGTATTCAATGCAGAAAGGACCTGAAGATCCATGGAGGTCATGTGGTCCAACTTTCTGCCTTCAGAGGAGGAGTGTGTGTGGGGTGCACATCTGAGAAAATTTACAGACTAGGCTGGGGTGGGGATAAAGGAGAGTCTTATCTGTAGGTCTGCTGCTTTGGGTTTCTTTAGATTAGCTTAGAAGCTGGAAACTGGCCAACGAAATGCACAGAATTGCTGGAATTCTGGAGAAGAGTTTGCACCTTACTCTGTACTTTCTAATTAAAAGGGGGACCCCTCAGAGGTGATTCCGATTCTGGACTCCCACTGGTGTAGTGTGGCAGGTTGAGTTTGCCGCCCCGGGCACATCCCCTCATGGTCAGAGGGATGAAGAGGAGGGGGTGAATGTCAGGTTCCAGAAAAGCCTGCTCTAAAGTCATTTCCTGGTCATGCTGATCTGGAAATAGCTGAGAACTGTGATTGAGACCCAAGTTTTGCCCCCAAAGCTAGCTTTATATATGGTTGTAGCAGTCAGGACCTACCAGATGGAGGGGACCTGTGGGATAGGGATAACAGGTGCCGTGTGCATTGGCACACAGGAGGGCAAGAGGGGAGAGAGGGAAAGGCTGCGAGGGGAAATGGAGAGAGAAAGGAGGCTCTTAGGAAAATCCCTGGAGGAGGGAAGACTTCTAACCTGAGCCGAGGCCCTGAGCCAGTTCCTCTGATTTTTTTTTTAAAGTCAAACATGGATAAAGTCACACTCAGGTGTCACTGTGAGGGGAAAGGTGGAGAAAAGTGACTGTGGTTTCAGTTTCAGCTTTAGCCACCATCTTGGCTTATGATGTTAGATCAGTTCTTGCCTCTCTCTGAGCCTCAATTTACCTATCTATATTTTATTAGTTGAGGAATCCTGAATTGTAACATGAAATGGTTGTATGTTTCCAATCTCTGCTTTTACCTGTGCCTTGTTGGATCTCCCTCTCCCCTTCCTAGATGACCTCTTGGGCAGACTTCCCATTTTCAGTTAACGAAACGTCAGTGTTTTCATCTGATTTAAGACTCCTTCTTGCTCCTGCCTTGCCACTGTAGTAAGGGGGCGTGGGCTGCTCTCCCTACCTCTCAGCTCTGACTCCTCCATTAGTGAGAAGGAGGCAGAGGGATAGGAGCAAGTACCTTTATGCTTAACTGGGCACAAGAGATGTTTTCTTCCTGGTTGGTTTTTGCAGCTTCTCTAGCTGAAACTGGCCAGGCAGCAGCACCCTTGGTCTGACAGGCATCTACGTGCAGATTCCTGCTGAAATTCTGTGGAGACCTCTCCACCTCACAGGTCCCAATAGGGATTTGTGGCTCTGGTTCAGCCACTCTGATCCCTGCTGCACAGCCTCTGGTTGCTAGAGTAACCTTGCATGGTGGCCAGTTCCCCTGGGTGAGATCCCAGAGAGAGCTCAAGCCTAGCCACCCTGTGGGGCCCACTTAACTTGCAGGAAGCTCATGGGTCTCTGCCAGGTCAAAAGGTAGCATGGCGACTGTCCTAGCACAGGCGAGCGGAGCAGCGGTTCAGGACTGTAGCCAAAGCTGAGAGTTCCCTGGGGTCTGAGGTGCTAGTTTATCCATCTTGCAAACGTGATTGTCTTGATGATTCTCTTAAGTCCCCGTTTCTTAGATCTAGGAAGGGGACCTCCCTCTAGCTGTTATCCTCTTCCACAAGGCTGCCAACATGCTGATGCTGTGTTCCCTCTCAAGCCTCACTAGCCTGTGGCTGTGGATGGGTGGGGGGTGGGGGATGGTGGAAAAGGGATGGTTGATTATAAAGGGCTGGCTTAGTGAGCCCTGGGCTGGGGAGATGTCTAGTTCCATCTGTTGGTTTCTTAGAAAATGAGGTATTCAGGCCGGGTGTGGTGACTCATGTCTGTAATCCCAGCACTTTGGGAGGCCGAGGTGGGCAGATCACCTGAGGTCAGGAGTTCGAGACCAGCCTGGCCAACATGGTGAAACCCCATCTCTACTAAAAATACAAAAATTAGCCCAGTGTGGTGGTAGGCATCTGTAATCCCAGCTACTCAGGAGGCAGAGGCTGAGGTAGGAGAATCGCTTGAACCTGGGAGGCGGAGGTTGTGGTGGCCCTGAGATCACACCATTGCATTCCAGCCTGGGTGACAGAGCGAGACTCCATCTCAAAAAAAATAAATAAATAAAATAAAATAAAATGAGGTATTCAGTTCTTGTTTTCAGCAGGGAGCCCTGTCTTCTCTAATACCTGGGTAACAGGAAGCAGTCACCCAACTCTCCTTTATGTACAGAATGAAGAATTTTATCATAACCCACACTACTATACCTTAGATACACACATAAGCACAAGTGTCAGATGCAGACCCTGTGCCTTTTATTTGTGTTGTCTTTCTGTGCTTTTGCTGTTCTCTCTGTGGTTATTTGTCAAAGTATGAGGGTAACTTCTTGTGGAAGGACAGATGTTAAGTATTCTTTAAGGCCATTGTAAGCTCCCCATCTTCCAAACCTTAGAGAGTCAACACACACTGTTCTGAGTCTGCTGTGTGCTTACATCAGTGCTGACAGACCAAATTATAGTACTCCCTAACCCAATTCTAAAGGATGAATGCCATGGCACTTAAAGTATTTTGCAGAAACTATTATTTTAACTTATTTTCACAGTGGCTATGGGTTTTTTATAGTCTTGTAGGAACTTTGGTTAAATACAGAGTAAAAACTGAAGCTGCTATGGGAATAATGAGGGATCAGGTCCTTCAAGGTCTTAAAAAAAATCTCTAAGTAGCAGTTTCTTTTGTGCCTGCAATTCTGAATTGCAGTGTGTCCCTCCAGACAAAGCTGAGCGCCATATGTGACTGTGCCTGTTTGTGTTTTCGAAAGCCTCAGCGGTCACTGCCATTTCAGTGCCTGCAAGTCTTGACAGGAAGCAGTGGTAAAAGACTGTCAGAACCTGTTTGTAAAAATGTTTGTGTTTGCAAAGATTTTTGCTAGTATTCCATGCATATCTTAGCTATTAAGCAAAAATATTATACCATTCATCTTAGAAGAAGGAACAAGGCTAGGTAATCACTAGCATTCTCTTTTCTTTTTCTGGCAGAGAACTGAAAGCCAAGAGCATTCTATCTCATGAGCACTACAGGTCTAGGGCAGGGGTGAGCAAACCTTTTCTGTAAAGAATTGAATAGTAAATATTCTAGGCTTTGTGGGCCGTGTGGTTTCTGTCACGGCTACTCAGGTCTGCTGCCACAGAGCAAAAGCAGCCTTAGACAAGAAAACAAACGAGCGTGGTTGTGTGGCAGTAAAGCTTTATTTACGAAAACCTGGCTGGTGGACCAGAGGCCATAATTTGCCAACCCCTGGTTTAGTGAAAAGAACAAGTTTCGAGTTGTCACCGATGGTTGAATTTAGCCCAAGATGGTAGCTTTGCTTGTCTGATTACCTTCATGCCAACCCACATTTTCTCTGGCTGACACTAACCAGGACAGAAGCCTAGGCTGGTCTTCCATTTTCTCTTAAGAAAGTGATCAGTTTATGGGATTGTATGCACTTTACCTCACCCACAGCAGATGTTCAGGAACTGAGTATCCAACATAGGATAAAATACAGAATGAAAGCATCCTTTAACATTGAGATGAGGTTGTGGTGAAGGGGAGGAGTTAGCAGTCTGTCACTGGGGTGACTTTCTGGGGAGCTCTAATCAGTCATGTGTTTCTGCTAGCAGCAGCATCCCCTCCTCATTCCTCATGTGGCATACATTGCAGGTCTTCCTGGCGCAGATGCTTTCTTTGCTCACACACATTCCCTCCCTTCTTTCGTTTTTCTCCCCCCAGCACACAATGCTGCTGCTGCCACACACCATTTCACCCCATGCTGGCCCACAAAGAAGACAGAGGTTGATGACATAGCATGCAACTTCAGAAAGTTCACCACTTTGAGCCCCGATGTATAAATGGTAGCAGTTGGTACTAACTCTGCCAGTGCGTTCAAAAGTCATCATAAGGACAATGTGATATTTATTTAAATACATATTGCATTGCTGACTGACAGTGTATTTGCAGTCATTATCCATTTCTAGAGACAAGTTCATGGCAAGCATGGTAAAAAGCTGGACCTCAGGAGGGAACTGAGGACAAAGTAAGCCCTGATGACTCTCACTGGCCTCCTGCTGCACCTGTCCTTATATTTGACCTGTTAGGTTGGTTACTTTAAAAAGCCAGTTACGGGGAGGCTCATTTAAAAAGACATAACACCTGTGAAAGATTATTTTAACGTGGAATATATGACTGGACAATTATTTGCCAATCTGATGAAGTAGGGCCACAGGTTTTGTTTTCATTATTCTGTATCTACTGATCAGCATATCCACTTGCTTGCACAGGCTACACCTATAATGTCCACAACTTCCAGTTGCCTCTTATGTAACAATAGAACAAGAACATAAAGATACAGAGGAAAGCTGAGAGCAATTCTAAATGTCTATGGTTTTTTCTTTATCTCTTGTTGTTATACATCCATATCTGATTCAACAATAAAACATGTAACATTGCTTATCCAGTACTTCCAATGGATTCAGCCTGGTGTTTTGGAAGAAACAACTCTTTCTTTTGCACTCGTATCTCATTATTTGAGACAGTACTTAATTAATTTAGGTAGTTACTAATCCAACTGACATAAACTTGGGAACCAACCACCAACTCCTGATAAGCAAACAGCTCAACTCTTGGGGAACAAAAACGTGTAAGCTCTTTAGAAATTAACAAGTCATGAGAGTTCAGTATGGCTTGGGCGTTAGTCATTACCTTTTAGCCAGAGGGAACAAAGAATGCCAGTTCAAATGACAAGTTGGTTAAAAGGAAATCTGACAGCTTCTAGAGTGTTGGAAAAGAGGTCAAGACCTGAGCTTCTACCCTCAATGGCTCAAACAGGCATACCTTGGAGATATGGTTGGTTTGGTTCCAGACTACCACAATAAAGCAAATATTTGCAGTAAAGTGAGTCACACAAATGTTTTTGTTTCCCGGTGCATATGAAAGTTATGTCTATACTATACTGTAGTCTGTTAAGTGTCCAATAGCATTATGTCTAAAAAATGCACATACCTTAATTAAAAATACTTTATTACTAAAAATGCTAATGATCATCTGAGCCTTCAGCAGGTCATAATCTTTTTGGTGGTGAGGGGCTTTGCCTTGATGTTGATGGCTGCTGACCGATCACAGTAGTGGTTGCCGAAGAAGGCTGGGGTGGCCGTGGCAATTTCTTAAAACAAGGAAGTTTGCCACATGATAGATTCTTCCTTTCATGAAAGATTTCTCTGTAGCATGGGATGCTGTTTGACCGCATTTTACCCACAGTAGAACTTCTCTCAAAATTGGAGTCAATCCTCTCAAACCCTGCCACTGCTTTATCAACTATGTTTATGTGATATTCTAAACCCTCTGTTTCATTTCAACAGTGTTCACCAGGAGTAGATTCCATATCAGGAAACCACTTTCTTTGCTCATCCATAAGAAGCAACCCCTCATTTATTCAAGTTTTATCTTGAGATTGCAGCAATTCAGTTCTACCTTCAATCTTCACTTCTAATACTTATTCTTTGCTATTTCCACCATGTCTACAGTTGCTTCCTCTACTGAGGTCTTGAACCCCTCAAAGTCATCCATGAGGGTTGGAATCAACTTCTTCCAAACTCCTGTTAATGTTGAAATGTTGACTTTCTTTAATGAATCACAAATGTTCTTAATGACATCCAGAATGGTGAATTCCTCCCAGAGGTTTTCAATTTACTTTGCCCAGATCTGTAAGAGGAATTGCTATCTATGGGAGCTGGAGACTTATGAAATATATTTATTAAATCATAAGGCTTTTCAGAGTCAAAATTACTCTTTGATTCATGGGCTGCAGAATGGATATTAGCAGGCATGAAAACCTTCATCTCCTTGTGCATCTCCATCAGATCAGGTGCATTGTTAGTGAGCAGTAATATTTTGAAAGGAGCTTTTTTCTGAGCAGTAGGTCTCAACAGTGGGCTTGAAATATTCAGTCAGCTGTGCTATAAACAGATGTGCTGTCACTCAGGCTTTGTTTTCCATTTATAGAGCATAGAGTAGATTGAGCATCATTCTTAAGGGCCCTGGGATTTTCAGAATGATAAAGGAGCATTGGCTTCAACTTAGTCACCAGCTGCATTAGCCCCTAACAAGAGAGTCAGCCTGTCCTTTGAAGCTTTGAAGCCAGGCATTCCCCTCTCTAGCTAGAAAAATCGTCGATGGGATCTCCTTACAATAGAAGGCTGTTTTGTCTACATGAAAATCTGTTTAGTGTCACCACCTTCATCAGTGATCTTAGATCGTCTGGAGAACTTGCTGCAGCATCCTCATCAGCACTTACTGCTTCACCTTGTACTTTTATGTTATGGAGATGGCTGCTTTTCTTAAAACTTATGAACTAAGCCCTGCTAGCTTCCAACTTTCTCTGCAGCTTCTTCAGCCTTTATAGAATTTAAGAGAGTTAGGGCCTTGCTCTGGATTAGACTTTGGCACAAGAGAATGGGCTGGTTTGATCTTCTGTCCAGACCCTTAAAACATTTTCTGTATCAGCAATAAGGGTGTTTCACTTTCTTATCATCATTTGTTCATTGGAGTAACACTTCTAATTTCCTTCAAGAACTTTTGCTTTGCATTCACAACTTGGCTAATGGTTTGGTACGAAAGGCCTGGCTTTCAGCCTGTCTCTGCTTTGAACATGCCTCCCTCACTAAGCTTAATCATTTCTAGCTTGTGATTTAAAGTGAGACATATGAGTCTTCCTTTCACTTGAATACTGAGAGGCTGTTGTAGGGTTATTAATTGGTCTAATTTCAATGTTATTGCGTCTCAGGGAATATGGAAGCCCAAGGACAGAGAGAGAGAGATGGAGAACAGCTGGTTGGTGGAGCAGTCAGAACACACACATTTATCAATTTTGTTCACAGTCTTCTATGGGCGCAGTTTGTGATGTCTCCAAACAATTACAATAGTAACATCGAGGATAAGTGATCATAGATCACCGTACCAGATACGATAAAAATGAAACAGTTTGAAATATCACAAGAATTACCAAAATGTGACACAGAGACACAAAGTGAGCACTTAACTGCTGGAAAAATGGTACCAATAGACCCGCTTGTTGCAGCATTGCCACGGATGTTCAGTTTACAAAAAATTGCATTGTCTGTGAAGCTCAATAAAGTGTGAAGTACAATAAAATGAGATATTCCTGTATAATAATAACTATTGTGTGCATACTATGTGCTGACCATTGCACATTATCTCATGTACTCCTTTTAACCGTGCTTTCACTGATTAGAAAACCAAGGCAAGGGCTGGGTGTGGTGGCTCACGCCTGTGATCCCAACACTTTGGGAGGCTAAGGTGGGCAGATTGCTTTGAGCTCAGGAGTTCAAGACCAGCCTAGGCAATGTGGCGTAACCACATTTCTTAAAAAAATATTAGCCTGTGTGGTGGCATGTACTTACGGTCCCGGCTGCTCGGGAGGCGGAGGTTGTAATGAGCTGAGATTGCACCATTACACTCCACCCTGGGGAACAGAGACTCTGTCTTAAAAAACAAAAACAAAAAGGCTGAGTTAGAGAAGAGCAAAGTGCTTGCCCAAGGTTATATAGCTTAGACCGAGTGGGGATTTTGAACTCAGACTGCTTGACTCCATATTTACTGTGCTCTCCAGCTTAGGGCAAACTGGTAGCCGGGAAGTCATCCAGCTCAATTTCAGCTTGCCTCCTCCTGATTTCCTGGATGTCTGGTTTTTAAAAAGTTAATAGCAAACTAGTATAGTGTTGGCTCCACAGACGTGCTTTTCAGAACCCACCTATTTGCCCTTTACTGGTAATCAGGGGTAATCCTGTCCCATATCTGTACCCTGATATGTCTGGGTTGTAAAAAGTGTAAGACTGGATGGTACAGTTAAGCTATTTGTTCTGGATTTGGGTTTTTTAAGTTTGGCATTTGAGCAGAATCACAAGTTGTAGAAAGTAGTAATTTCCAGACATTTGAGATCTGATTCACCAACATTACTGTAATTAAAGAAAAACCTATATTTGTTTGCTCCGTTTTGTCTCACTAGGATGTTTTATAAATAATAAACCTAGACATTTAGAAAATAGCATCTATTCAGCTGGTTAAGCTTTCGTGGCCCTTCATGTTCAGATGTCTCAAGGTGATATGAGTGTGCCTCAATTTATAGGGAGTGACTATGGATGGTGAACTATATTGACATATAAAGGCAGCTTTAAAATACAGACTACAGAAATCAAGTGGCTTGACAATTCCCTTAGAACATATGTTTATGAAGTATAGAGCTCAAATGTAATGATTTCAGTTGGTTACAGAGTATTAATGAATTTTGAATTGAGGCAATTGTGATCAAGCTTGTTGCCTTTTCTAACATGAATCATTATTAAAATGATGATTGTCCTCCATAGTTATGAAAGCATTAAAAAAGCATCTACCTATGCCTGAATTAACGGGACAGATGTGGTTTTCAGCTTTCACCTGGCCAACAGGACTTCCATGGTTGTGATTTCAAGGTGCTTGTTTATGTATATGGTTTTGCTGGTATTTTCTGAGTCTTCAATACCATTTCTTGTAATAGGGTGTGAATGGGTGTGTGTGTGCTTGCTAGTATGTCCCCTTGGTCCTTAGCATTGTGGGAATGTAAAGTGAAGCTGAGTAGGATGTCTCAATGTCCTAGAATCCTCCAGCCTTTGGTTTTTAAGAGGTACCCCTGTGCGAGAGCTCGTGGAGGCCCTTCTGTGTAACATTCACAACACAACCACCACATTCAGTGACAGCAGGTGCTGAGTGCAAACCGTGTGCCAGGCATTTCCCACCATCAGTATCAATCCTCAATTCCAGAAAGTTGGTACTGTTGTGACCATTGAGAGGATGAGGAGACCGTTGCTTGGAGACTTTCAGTGCCTTGCCTAGGGCCACACGATGGAAAAGAGCAGAACCAGGAATTGGACTGCTCTTCACCATCCTCATGGCTGCCTGGAGGGCAGGCAGTCTTGGGCTTCCTTAAAAGATTTTTGTTTTGGGAGGGCTCTTCACTGTCTCAAGAAAGCTGAGGGAAGAATTCGTCTCATTTAGTGGATGAGGATACAAAAACATATGTTAAAAATTACAGCCTCGGGCTCTGTGGACCCTGTTCAGGTGCCAGAGGGCTTTTCTCCTATATTGAGCACCTTTGCCACAAAGAAGCTAGAGGAGGAACCCTCCCCCGATTTCACCTTGTGAGTTACAGGTGTCTGACAGCCCTGTTCTTAGCTAAGAAGTGTGTGTGCACCTGACTGCAAACAGCCGCCATGCCTGCTGGAGGACACATGTGACACACAGTTTCTGGGGACCCTCCTGGGCCTACAGACTGCAGTCTCGGGTGGGTACCCATGGCCCAGGACTTCACATTCCTCACACTGCCCTGCCCTGCTTCTCTTCTGTCTGACCTGATGCCCCAGGCTTAGGGTGGGGAGGGGATGCTGGTGGGTGGGTTGTCATTTTCCTGTCCCAGTCAGGTATTTTGTATTGTTTCTCAATGAGCCATTTCCCATCTGGATTTGGGGGGGATCAGGGAAGATGGGTGGGTTATGAGTTAGTTTGCTGGGCATCTTCCCTTTTTTCTCTGTCCAGCTCCCAGGTGTTTGAGGCTTTTTCCTGCCTCCAGGTGCTCCAAATGTGGGGGCTGCCCTTTCTCTATCTGGGTTTCAGCCTCTCCAGCTCCTGCAAGACAGTGCTGTTGGATCTCTGTAGTGCCTCTTGGTTTGGCCACTCTGGGATTTGTGAGTCATAGTCTTCAGTTTGGTGCTTTTTCCTACTCCATCCTGCCTTCTGCTATTCATGCCCCATTGCAAGAACAGGCATTCTTCCTTCCCGTATAAACTTGCAACCTGGTTCCACCCATTCTCCTCTCTTCTTCTCCAGATAGTCGTAGAGATCGCTGCCTCCCAAAATAGCCCCATTTGATTCCTTAGGACAGGCAGGAAACTCGCTGCCCGACCCTGCCTGAGTCTCCGTTTCCTTAGCTGGAGAGACTGTCCTTGCTCTAGAAACCAACCACCGGAAATTCACCTCCATCCCTATCACTTCCTGGGGTAGTTCTTTCTGACCATTGGGTTTGCTTCTTGGGTGTCTGGCTCTGCATACAGTTAGAAGCTCTTTAAATACCTTTTAACTTCAGGGTTTTTGTGGATGTGTATATGGTGGAGGGAGAGAGTGTATACCAGTGAGCATGAGAGCAAGAGTTACTATTTATCACAACTGGTGTCCAGGGGTGGCTAAAGATTATCGACTTCTAGAGTTGTGTTTTTCAACTTTTTTTTTAAATCTTAGTGAGCAGTAATAAATACATTGTAACTCTCAAGCACACATAAATGTCATCTGAAACACGTTTGAAAAATATATGCGATTTATTTGTTTTTTGAGATGGAGTCTTGTGCTGTCACCCAGGGTGCAGTGCAGTGGTGCAATCTCGGCTCACTGCAACCACGGCCTCCTGGGTTCAAACAATTCTCCTGCCTCAGCCTCCTGAGTAGTTGGGACTACAGGTGTGCGCCACCACGCCCGGCTAATTTTTTTGTATTTTTAGTAGAGAAGGGGTTTCACCCTGTTGGCCAAGCTGGTCTCAAACTCCTGACCTCAAGCAGTCCGGCCTGCCTTGGCCCCCACGAAGTGCTGGGATTACAGGCATTAGCCACTGCGCCTGGCCGAAAACTATATACTCTTATATTCTGATATTTCCTGTGCAATGTGATATTTTCCATACAATTTTATTTCATTTTTCAAAAATTGCTGGATACAAAGCACTGAATTAATTTCATATGTATTTTATTTAAACAATCCTCTCTCCTCCATTACAGTATACATTTCATGGAGACAGGAATTCCATGTTATTCTACTTCCTATAATTGATGCTTAATACCTATTGTCAACTGATTCTTTTCTCTGTGCAGATCCTCTGGAGAAATATTTTGTTCTGTGCCAAGAAACAGTTTCATTCAACGGTTAAGGTGACTTGTGTCACTGATCTGATTTCCTTCTTTTACATTAACTATCAAAAATCTCAGACTTATTAATAAAGACATGTCTTCACAGGATACATCTTTACAATGGTCTTATTTTTATTTTATTTTCCTCGCTCTTTTTTTTTCATTTTACCTTATTCTTCTGTCCTAAATATTTAAAGTTTCAGCTGATTTTAAAGTAAAAGATGCTCAATGGGAAAAGCTCACACAAATCAGAGCTACCTAAAAGTAGAGTTGGAAAGTCCCAAGGATCTTTTTCTCTGAGGCAAGCCTCTTTGCTTCTGGGTGCTTGCCCTGCAGACTGGCTTATGAAGAGGTCACCATCTTTTCAGATTCCAGGGGCCTGTAATGTTCATACCACTGCAGTATTCGTATTACACACTGTAATAATCTGGAATAATAAGATCGTAGGCACTCTTTCTTGCCCTCACATGTGGATCTGCCTTCTCCTTTTAAACAGCCATGTAACGTTCCCTTTCTCACCTACTTTGAATTTTTATATTCTTGCTGCTCTAAGGTTTTTTTTTTGGAGCAAGGAAAGCAATTTAAAACATAAAATTTACTTTCAAAAGAAGAGTAGAGATAATTAACCAGCCCTTGCCACCTAACTCAATATAATCCCCTAGTAACTCCTCTTGGAGCCACCAGGTTCCCTGGGAGTGGAATTGCCTGTGGAAAGGCCTGTGTGGGTTCTGAGCTTGGGAAATGGTGACGGAGCCCTCTCTCTAGCCTCTGGGAGGTGTCAAATAATGGATGAGAGTGACCTTGGACTGGCAAGAGCAGGTCAGTGCAAGTGACATGGGTTTCTTAGATACTCCTCAGCTCAGTGTGGGTCTCCCGAGACTCAGTTCTGCCTGCTGACTTGCTCATTCATTTCCATTGCAGGGCTGCAGTTGGGTCATGCCTGGTTTTTTGGCCTCCCAATGTCTCTTAATTAACTTAATATTACTTGGTAATACTAAAGCAATGATGAATTATGTGCATGGAGTCATTAATCTTCTGTGTAAATATCTCAAACGCTGTGTCTTAATTATAGACTCCATACTTAAAATATTTTAAAGCTTCTATTCATATATTTACTTAGAAAGGTATGATCCGTGTTTCTATGGTGTCGGCACACTCAGTGGGAAAATGGTGTCCATACATTGGAGACGTTCGTATGAAAGAGTAGTTTCTCTGATGAGATGAGTGCTGCCTGTTCTCCACTGACCCACAGACATTCTTAGCCTTAGCAATGAATGGAGTTGGGGTAAGATTGGGCCTGGGGATCTGGGCCCTCTTTCACCTTCTGACTGTTCTGTCTATAGCAAACCATAGAGAGTTTTTCTGGACAGTCCAGGAAGGTGTAAGAGCAGCTTTAGATGAGGCAGCTGTCTCCCTCATAGCAGAGCCAGCCCTAAGCCAGGGCAGGGCCTCCTCCGGGAAGAATTGTGCACCTCCTTCAGGGTCATCAGTGAGTTAGGTACATTGTGAGTATACTAACTTAGTATTTAGCAGTTACTCTGCACCGGGCACCATGCTGTTCCTGGGTGGTGGCTGGTGGCTGGGGCAGGGCAGTGAGTGTTACATAGACTAGACACAGCAGTAATAGCCAATGTTCCATGAGAACTTGCCATGGGGTTTGCCACACGAAGACACTGGCTCTTGTTTACATAGGCTGCCTCATTTGCACTTACCAACAAACCTGGGTAGCTTCTGGTGTCTGTATTCTCATTTTACAGTGAAGAAGCTGCAGTGAGGAGGGGTAAAGTCACTTGCCCAAGTCTGCATAGCTAATAAGTGGCAGAGCCAGAACCTGAGCCCACTGTCCAAGGTGAAGGTGCTTCCTAGCATGGTGGCCACCTCTAGGTAGGAGCTCAGCTGTGCCACCCACTGGGACAGATACACTCCCAACAGCTGTGATTGGGTAGGGTGGCTCCACCTCCCAGATGGGTCCTCGGTTTGCTGAGTGTTGGTTGGATAACTTGACTAACTTTCTCAGCAGTCCTTTGAGCAGCTGAGGTCATACTTAGATGTGACTTACGTGAGACAACAGAGGAGTCCAGGTGAGAGCTGGCAGGCATGGGACCAGGGTGGAGTTGTAGTTTTCCCCACCAGGTGGGTGGAGCCAGGTCTCTTCAAACCAGAGGGCACAATTGCTGTTTGTATTGTTCACGTTGACTGTAGCAAAAATAACTCAGTGCCTGTGAACCTCATCTGTGAAATGTAAATAACCCCTTCTCTGCCTATTTGTTTTTTGAGACGGAGTCTTGCTCTGTTGTGTAGGCCAGAGTTCAAGACCAGCCTGACCAACATGGTGAAACCCTGTCTCTACTAAAAATACAAAAATTCTCCACCTATCTTACTCTGTAGCTTGGGAAATCACCGAGATAAGAGGTTGGAAAGTGATAACTGTCCAGGCATGCAAGTAGTATGTTTATAGGAACATGACTGAGCAACAGGGAAATGAGATTTCTCTCTCTCTCTCTTTTTTT
This sequence comes from Homo sapiens, assembly GCF_000001405.40. NCBI lineage: Eukaryota > Metazoa > Chordata > Mammalia > Primates > Hominidae > Homo > Homo sapiens. The sequence goes on from NC_000003.12 coordinate 53,639,398, forward strand.
TTTTTTGGAGATGGAGTCTCGCTCTGTCAACCAGGCTACAGTGCAGTGGCACAATCTCGGCTCACTGCAACTTCCGCCTCCTGGGTTCAAGTGATTCTCCTGTGTCAGCCTCCTGAGTAGATGGGACTACAGGTGCATGCCACCATGCCCAGCTAATTTTTTGTATTTTTAGTAGAGATGGGGTTTCACCATGTTAGCTAGGATGGCCTCCATCTCCTGACCTCATGATCCACCCACCTCAGCCTCCCAAAGTGCTGGGATTACAGGTGTGAGCCACCGCGCCCGGCTGAGATTTCATTTTTAACTCAGACGTCAATCAACGTAGCCATATACAGATTTGAAAAGCTTTTCTTTATCTCTGTTAATGGAGAAAAAGAATGACTGCTTTCTTGTCAAAATGAAAGTGTTCAGTTTTAAACTTAACCAGTTCCTGCCATTTTGAAATGTTCACTCATTTCTTACTTTTTTTTTTTTTTTTTTTTTTGACACAGAGTCTCGCTCTCACCCAGGTTGGAGTGCAGCAGTGCTATCTCGGCTCACTGCAACCTCTGCCTCCCGGGTTCAAACAATTCTCATGCCTCAGCCTCCCAAGTAGCTGGGATTACAGACTCGTGCCACCATACTCAGCTAATTTTTGTATTTTTAGTAGAGATAGGTTTCACCGTGTTTGGCCAGGCTGGTCTTGAACTCATGATCTCAGGTGATCCACCTGCTTCGGCCTCCCAAAGTGCTGGGTTTACAGCCGTGAGCCACTGTGCCCAGCCACCATTTCTTACTTTTTGGCAAAGGAAGTAGACATATTGGAGGGTTGACCTGAACTCCATAGATTCCCAGGGAGACAGTGTATGACTTTGATCAGCCCATGTAGGGCACATTCCCATTGCCATCCAATTTTACCTGAGCCATTGGGATGGGATGCAAAGGCCTGACATGGTTTAGAAATAAAGCATAACTCTGCAGTGCCAACTAGGATGGGGTAAATGGGATTCTGGCCTGGGTGACAACTAAGACAAGATTGCTGGCCCAGGTGCTGAGAAATGTAGCCCGAGATAATGGTTCTGTTTCTCCTTTTGTGTAGAGATGGGATCTTGGAATCTAGTGAGGTGAAGTACCCAGCTCTCTGCTTTGGTACTGTGAGGGGATTCTGCAGAGGTAGATGGAATATGGTTTTTGTCCTCAAGGCACTGACAAGCTGCAAATGATACGAGACAGTGTATCAATAGGTTCACCTTCCCAACCCTTCTCTGCTCTTGTACTTGGTTGGTGCTCAATTGTTTGTTGATATGATTTACCTTCATGATGACATGTCAAAACATGTGATATAATTTTTAGCTCTGGATGGCAAACAGTTTCAACTTGGATGCCAACTCTACCCAGTGGGTGCTGCCTGAATGGCAAAACATGTGACACTGCCTCAGGGTGCCAGGAGAAAGAGTGCCGTCTGATGACCAGTGGGAATGTCTGTTATGGCCGGGGGATGGGGGTTAGAAGCAGCAGGCATGTGGTGGTCATTGGTTCATCCTAAGTACATTAGGCTTTCAAAAGGGGAAAAATGATGCTCAGAGGAAATGAAACTCCTTAGTCTTCCCTTAAAGGGTGAAGCAGGATTTAGACAAACAGGAGTGCTTTCAGTCTTGGAAAAGAGCAGACGTGAAGACCGTACCTTCCAGTGAGTATGCAGATATGTGGGAGGCTGTGGGAGCTGAGGGACTGGAGGCACGTGGAGGAGGAAGGGGCATCAGGAGGGGCAGGGGCACTGTCCTCGCTGGACCCATGACAGACGTCAGTTGGTTGTTGGTAGGTTGAGTGTAGACAGATTGCAGAGGTCCTCGGGGATGCCAGATGGAGGAATTTAGATGTGATGCAGTCCTGTGCTTCTCAAGAAGCCTTCCCAGATGCTCCGGACACGATTAGCTGCTCCATCCTCTCCGCCCCAAAGGAGACTCCTAGTACTCTGCTTGAGCTTGGATTCTTGTCTGCTGTCCTGAAATGTTTATATATTATCTGCCATCCTCCTTGAGGATATGAACAGTGTTGTAGCCATCTTTGAATCCCCAGTGCTCAGGATCATGCCTGGTATGGAGCAGATAACCAGTGAGTGGTGTTGAATTGAGCTGAAATAGGGTCCCTGAACTGCCAGGCGAGATGGGATGGAAGTGGGCAGTGCCTTAGAGGTGAAGCTGGGTGCGGAAGTGGGAGGCTGCCAAGCATAGAATGTACCCTCTGCCAAGGGAGCTCAGAGTCCATGTCCCTGGGATGCACGGGATGGGAAGGAAGGCAAGTCTGAAGCGTCAAGTTTACAAGAGTGTGCACAGCACAGGAAACCAGTTGAAATTGAAGATGGCAACAGAGAACGGAAAAGATTGAAGGAGGGAATTTGGAAAGCTGAGCCTAGATGAATTCCCAGAGGCAGTGACTTATAGGGCTCGGAGGCCCTGTGTATAGGGAACCACCGCTGAACCTGTGGGTCAGAGGGAGTCATCAAAGATGTTGTCTCTTGAGAAATGAGGAGCTACTGAAGATTCTCTCTCTCAGATACCTCAACATTTTAGAGACATGGAGTGATCCTACAGCCCATTGTATTAATATTTAGGTGGGACTCCTTCATTTGCAGGTGACAAAAACTGAACCCAAACTAGCTTAATTTGGTGGCTTTTATAACTGAAAAGCCCAAATGGGGAGGGGAGGGGAGAGAAGGGAATTTTTGACTTCAGGCTCAACTTGATCCAGGGATGCATACAGTGGCCTCAGGGCCAGGTGCCTGCTTCTGAGTTTCGCTGGCTGGCTGGCTGACTGGCACACTTTCTCTTCATTTTTTGGCTTGGCTTCCCTTGGTGGGTGTTAGCTCTTCATCTCTATGTCCCCCTGGCAACTCTAGGCTTGTGGTCTCTCAGGGCTGAATCCAGCCAACAAAAGAACTTCTTACCTAGTTACCCCAGGGAAAGCTCCCAGACTTGCTCTCTTCGGACCCGGTTGGTGTGGGTTGGAGCTTATGCCTATCCCCGAACCAATAACCTTGGCTGCATGCCAACTCTTATTGCCCCTGGGATGAGAGCAGGAATGGAGCAGTTCCTGGGGGAAGGTCAGGGTGCTGTTACCCTTGGAGTTTTGCTGGGTGGCAAGGCCATCATTACTGCCCCATCCAGGCTAACTGTTGTAGTCTTGGCAGCAAAGCAGAAGCTGCCTTTGCTCTGCCGGTGAGGAGGAGAGCTCCCTGCCAGCCTCTGCCGCCCCAGGCATGCTGCTGCCCTCTTCCCACAGACCGCATGTCCTTGAAGCTGGGCTCCGTAGAGTGGTCCACCAGGTCACCCTGCTGGCCACCTCCATTTGTCATCCCTGGGCACATTCTAGACAGCATCTTGGGCCAGGGCCTTGCCCCACCTGGGTGATTGTGGGGTCACTGAACTGTCGTGGGATCTCAGGAGAAACCTCTTCAGAGAGTCTGCATCCACAGGGAGAAGTGTATTCACACTTCCCACAGGCTGGGGAGCTGTCTCACCTATCCTTAGTCAGGGCGAGCCTTCCATTGTGAGGTGCTTTATAGTTTGCACAGCTCTATCCAACTTGTTACTTAATCTGGCTTTTACCATAACACTGGTGGGCAAGGCAAAGCAAGAATGATTGTCCCTGTTTTATGGATGAAAGAACTGGGAATCAGGAGGGGTAAATGTCTCAAACGGGGCAACACAGCTGTCGAGACTAGCATTAGACTTGGGGGACACAAATGTCACATAAAATGTGTACTTTTAAACCGAAGGTGAAGAAAGATGAGGGCAAACAGACTACTGTAGCCAGTTTCTTCATGTAAATGTGGTGTTAAATTACCCATTGTTGTTCCTCTAAGTGCATACTTCATTAATACCTGCAGGGGAAAAAATGACCTCTATTTACAGCCAAGCATCTCTGAGCCGACGCCTGCCTGCCCACCAGCCTCCTGTGGTTTACCCACCAAAATTTTACTAGAGGTTGAATCGGCTTGTAGAAGCTGTGTGATAGCGCTGCGGCTCCCCTGGGTCACCTCCTGAAACGTGTAGGGTCGTGAGTGGGAGGGTGTCTCAGCAAGCCCAGCCTGAATGTGCACGATGGCCTCAATCGACCCAGCCACTTGAAAAAGCAGCCGCTGCTCTCGGTTCTTGCTGTTCTTGCTTGGTCAGCTCTTCCCTGGGGTCTCTGCGCCCTCACAGAGCCTCCCTGTGAAGCCTGTCCTTGGAGACTTTGCTCACCAGGTCATAGACAATTGTTGTTTTCCAACTGGAAGAGATCATCTGATTTAGTCTGTTCATTTCACACATGAGAAACGAAGACCAAACCCCGTACCGTGGCACCTGGGGCCCTTTGTGTCTGCCCTCCACTGTGTCCCTGCAGCCTGTCCCTTCCCTTCCCACCTGTCCTCATACCTTGTGCTTCAGCCATGTGGACTGCTCTTCGCCCTGAACAGCTTGCCTTCGTGCAGGCTCCTCTTCTGGATGGAACACCCTGCCTGGAGCAGGGAGGGCCATGATGAGGGAGCAGGTGGCTGTGCTGAGCCTTTCCCTGACATGCACTCATGGATGTTTTCCTGGAACAGAGCAAAACCAGGGGGCGCTGGTATCATAGAACTTCTTAGTGGGAAGGGACATTTAATAATAGTTGGTCAAAACCTCTCATTTTGCCCATTTATTTATTCATTTATAAATGCGGAATATCTATTTTTGTGACAGGCCTTGGGAATGCAATGATGCATGAAATAGAAATGATCTCTGGCTTTAAAGGAATGATAATTTATTAGGGGAGACAAATATTAAAGAGGCAATTTTTAAAAATTGACAAATAGCTACATAATTAGGGTGTACAACATGATGTTTTGATATATGCATACACTGCGGAATGGCTAAATTAAACTAATTAACATATCTATTACCTCACATGCTTATTTTTTTGTGGTGAGAAAATTTAAAATGCAGTCTTAGCAATTTTCAAGTATGCAATACATTGTTGTAACTATAGCCACTATGTTGTACAATAGATCTCCTGAACTTACTCTTTCTAGCTTTTGTATACTTTGAAATTTTTTATATGTTGATCAACATCTCCCCAATCTTCCTGACCCCCACCTCTGGTAATCATCATTCTTCTCTCTGCTTCTGTGCGTTCAGTGTTTTTAGACTCCTCATATAAGTGAGATCATGCAGTATTTGCCTTTCTGTGCCTGGCTTATTTAGCTTAGCATAGTGTCCTCTAGGTTCACCCATGTTATTGCAAATGACAGGATTTCCTTCTTTTTAAAGGCTAAATAGTATTTCATTGTGTATCTATACCACATTTTCTTTACCCATTCATCCATTGATGAACATGGAGGTTAATTCCATGTCTTAGCTATTGTGAATAATGTTATGAAGAACATGGGCGTGGCAGACATTTCTTTGACATACTGATTTCATTTCCTTTGTATATACATTCCCAGAAGTGGGATCACTGCATTATATGGTAGTTCCACTCTTAATTTTTTGAGGACCCTCTGTAACTGTTTTCCATAGTGGCAGTACTAATTTACACTCCTATCAACAGTGTACAAAGCTTCCCTCTTCTCCATATCTTTGCCAACACTTATCACTTGTCTTTTTGACAATAGCCATTCCAATGAATGTGAGGTGATGGCTCATTGTGGTTTTAATTTATATTTCCTTGATGATTAGTGATGTTGAGCACTTTTTCATGTATCTTTTGGCTATTTGTATGTCTTCTTTTGAGAAATGTCCGTTCAGGTCCTTTGCCCATTTTAAAGTCAGATTGTTTTCTTGCTATTGAGTTGTTTGAGTTCCTTATCTATTTTTGATATTAACCCTTTATCAGATGAATGGTTTAAAAATATTTTCTCCCATTTCATAGGTTGTCTCTTTATTCTGGTGGTTTTCCCTTTGTTGTGTGTAAGCGTTTTAGTTAGATGCCATCCCATATGTTTATTTTGGCTTATGTTGCCTGTGCTTACAGACTCATATCTCAAAAATCTTTGCCCTGTCTAATGTCAAGAAGCTTTTACTCTGTTTTTCTGTAGTACTTTCACTGTTTTAGGTCTTAATGTTTAAGTCTTTGATCCATTTTGAGCTGATTTTTGTATATGGGGTGAGAGAAGGGTCTGATTTCATTCCTCTGCATGTGGATGTCCAGTTTTACCGTACCCCTTATTGAAGAGACTGTCCTTTCCCCACTCTGTATTCTTGGCACCTCTGTCAAAGATCAGTTGACCATAAATGCCTGGATTTATTTCTTGGCTTTCTGTTAAAGAGGTAATTTTTTAAAATTTAAATTTCTATTGTGAATTACGGCTGTGGAAAAGTATAATGGGCTTTGACAGCATGTAACAGCAGGCTCTAATTTTGTCTGGGAGGTCAGTAAAGGTTTTGCTGAGAAAGTGTCATTTAAGCTGAGCCTTGAAGGGCAAGCAGAGTGTAGTCTGATGAGAAAGAGGGTTGGGGAGACTGTTTTAGAAAGAAGGGAACAGGATGTGGAATGGTTCCACTGTGGCCCAGGGCCACAGCATGAATCAGTGGCTGAGTTGGGACTAGCAGAAATCAGATCTATGGCTCCAAGCCCTGTGTTCCTTGCATTCAACCCCGCTGGGTGCGTTTTTGGCCCTGTATCACAGAGCTCTATGCTTATTCATCTAAAGAGGGAAGTTCATGTCCATGGGGCAGGCACCCTTGGTGGATAAAGCAGGGACGGCAAAGACATGGAGGTGGGAAGGTGGCTGGCATGTGTGGGAGGGAGCAGGTTGGCCCATGACTTGGAGTGAAGCACTCTGACAGAGGAGAGGTGGGAAAGTTGGAAGAGGAATCTAGGCAAGGATGAAAGGATGAGATCCTTAACCAAGAAGCTGCAGGTTGGGATAGCAGGGGAGGCCAGGTGAGATATTGAGATCAGCTGTTGTCCTAGCAGTTTGACTCTTTATTTCAGGCTTGTTCTAAAAAGGGTTTATGGTAACTTAGA